>NC_000003.12:156432846-156735877 GCF_000001405.40 Homo sapiens
ACCTTCTGTCTGACTTCGTTACCTAACCCCACCATTCTCAGGGCAAAAGAGAGGAGCACAGCAGTCCCCCTCCTTTTCAGTGCCTTCCAGGGAGGACTGGTTGGCTGTCCTGGCCCTGCTGATGGATTTGCTGCCTCGGATGTTGCCTGCGTCTCAGTTTGTGAACTCTTAGACACTGCGACTGACTCGGTCATCCCTGTAAAGCACGGCCAGGCACTTTTTCTGTCATTTTTTCATGTGTTCATGGATTTCACAAAGATGCAGTAGACGCTGTGCTGGGGAAACAGGGAGAAACGACACACAGATGCCTGCCCTCACAGAGCCTATCTAGGGAGTGGAGGAGACGTGGTTCTCAGGATGAATCAGATCCTTGGGCTATATGCCCCTAAAGGACACCCTGCATTTTTTACTTGCGTTTGATGGTGATTAATTTTTTAGCCTGACTTATTTCCTGCTGGATTATCAGTTCAGAACACATGACTAGAACAGAGAAAAAGGTTCTCAATATACACTCATTTATGGAATGACGAGTGAAAGAATTCAGGACCACACAGTCAGTACTCTGAAGGAAATATAAAGCGTCATGGAAACATGTACAAGGGCTGCCTAAGCTAGGGTTAAGGGAGGTCATGTAAGGCTTCCTGGAGGAAGAGTAGTAAAGGATAGATTGGGAAGGAGCCAGGTCAAGGAGAACACAAGGAAAAGAACAATTAAACAAGAATGTGATAGAAGTAGAGAGGCAGAGAGATAGAGGTACAAGACATAGAAATGGCCCAGGGGAGGAAGTGACCACCTCTTTTGGGGGAGTAGGGGAAAGTGCTGCTGGAAGCCACCTGATGTTGAAGGATGAATAGCAATCTGTCAGCTTGACAAGGGAAAGAAAGCCACAGGCATATCTTGTTAAGTTTTCTATTTACTCCTCACTTGGGTTTTGGCTTGATTGTTGCTTTCCTGAACATTCAAGTCTGGGCTAGAGGCTTCCTACAAGTTCCCATCACGATCCCTCTTATCAATATGTTGCCCCGTGGTTGTATTTATTTTCATATTTGCCTGTCTTACCACTGGATTGAGAGTTCTAGGAAAAAGAGACCATTACTATCATTTGCCATTTTGACACTACCATCTGGCATGGCTCTGGGGGAACATTGGGGGTTTAATAAATATTTTCTAAGTGAATTAATACATACATTTCAGGAAGAGGAGCAGCTTGGAAGCCTCAATTAGCATGGCCTGGAGAGGGAGCCATGTGGGAGAGAAAAATGATAACAGATGACTCAGAAAGATTATGAAAAGCACTGAAGCCATGTCACAAAGCTTGGTGTTTATCTGTTGTGTGATTGGGAGTCATGAAAACATTTAACTCCAGGAGTCACTTGGCCAGATACATTTTAGTCAGCTCACCATGGTCACAGTGCAGATGGCAAGGTGGTGAGGGTTGAGAATAGAGGTGGGGAGACAAGCTCAACGACTTGAGTATTCTCACTTTTACGGAAGATTAAATGTAGCAATACATCAATTGCCCACTCACTGTAAGCCAAGCTCATCATACTGTCAGCATATACAGACAGCCCATACGGAAGGTATATCAGGGCAGTAAGGTAAATGAGGCTTGACCAAATTGGCAAAAGCAGGTAGAGAAAATACAAAAGGAAATATATTTAAAAGCATAAAATAACATATCAGAAAAAGATCTCTAATATAGGTGTCATCATAGTAAACTACAAAGTTTCTGAGATTGGGTGAGGAAAAAAAAATGCTAGTTCCTAGATATTTTCTGTAAGGAAAAGGTCAAAGATAAATAGAAAATAAATAAATGGGCAAACAGACAAATCAAAGAAGAAAAGGAAATCAAATTTGAAATGTAAAATTAATATGAAATAAACAAACTAGAATTCAAGGCAAAGAAAAGACAGTAATGAGAGGTGATAACTAGTGGGGTGGAGTCCCTGAGAAAGAAGAAGGAGTTGGGATCCATAAGATAAGTGGAAAAATAAGCATTGAATAGAAAGGACACCCTTCCACAGTGGCAGGAAGAAAGGAAGAGAAGATGGTACTGTTTTAATTTATGTTCTCTTTGAAGCAGGCTCTGAAACAAGGATTTGAAGGCAGGTAGTTTGATGATTTTTTGAGATGTGAGATTGGAAAGGGAAGGTGATAAAGGACATATAATCAAGTCAGTGCTAGTGTGGGTAACTGAAGCTGGAATTCCCCTGGGACTCGAGCCAGTGTGGAATGCACACCTACCTGAGAGTGAGGGAGATGGGGTGTTTCCATACCATAGAGAGTCATCAAACATCTAGAAGCCCCAGGGAAAACGGGCAGGGCACCAATTGTGTCTGCCATGGGTCAGATAGTAGATATGGCAAGAAGTAGAGAGGGTTATAGTTTGTCTTGCTTTATTTTCTTTTTGAAGCAGGAGGCACTATTACCTGCTGAGGTTAAAGGAAGAGGACGTAGGACCTGAGGTTGAGAAAAGTGGGGCAGGTTTGAAATGCACACATTGGAGAAAACTGACTAGAAAACAGAGGACTGTTGAGGGTCTATGAGGGACTAGAGACAAAGAATTTACACTGTGTCAGTCTCTATAGTTTGTTAATTTCCCCAGCACAGCTCAGCACCTCGGTTATAGGTGATGAGCAGCCAGATAGTCAGATTTATAAGGATGTGGGTTTTTGTCAGGCAGGTGCAATGAAAGGACAGTGAATCAATGGACTTGAGAATAAAGCAAGAGAACCTTCTAAATGGTGAACCACATCATCTAGCCACCCTGACCCTCCTGGATAAGGAAGGAATTGAAGACAGACATTAGACAGAAGAGAAGGGAAAGAGTTTGAAGTCAGAGTATGTGGGGAGAATGTACAAAATCTGCAAGAGTGAGATTCTAGCTCGTGGAGATTAATGACCAGATCTTACATATATAGATATATTTGGAATTAAATAAGGCATACCTTCACCCAGGTTCTGTTGTGTGCATGTTCAGTTCTATTTTTCATGGCAGCATTGCTATCTTGTTGTATTTTTACCCCATCAACATTTTCTTCTGCTCCATCTAAAAGTCTATGTCTATCTTTTTATTTTATTTTAGTTCCAGGGTACATGTGCAGGATGTGCAAGTTTGTTACATAGGTACATGCCTGTCCTGGTGGTTTGCTGAACCTGTCAACTCATCATCTAAGTATTAAGCCCCGCATGCATTAGCTATTTTTCCTGATGCTCTCCCTACCCCTGCCCACCCCCAACAGGCCCCAGTGTGTGTTGTTACCCTCCCTGTATTCATGTATTCTCATTGTTCAACACCTACTTATGAGTGAGAACATGTGGTGTTTGGTTTTCTGTTCCTGCATTAGTTTGCCAAGGATGATGGCTTCCAGCTCCACCCATGCACCAGCAAAGGACATCTCATTCCTTTTTATGGCTGCATAGTATTCCATGGTATATATATACCAGATTTTCTTTATCCAGTCTATCGTTGATGGGCATTTGGGTTGACTCTGTGTCTTTGCTATTGTGAATAGTGCTGCAATGAACATATATGTGCATGTATGTTTATAAAAGAATAATTTATATTCCTTTGGGTGTATACCCAGTAATGGGATTGCTGGGTCAAATGGTATTTCTGGATCTAGGTCTTTGAGGAATCACCACACTGTCTTCCTCAATGGTTGAACTAATTTGCATTCCCACCAACAGTGTAAAAGTGTTCTGATTTTTCTGCAGCCTCACCAGCATCTGTTGTTTCTTGACTTTTTAATAATGGTCATTCTAACTGGCATGAAATGGTATCTCATTGTGCTTTGATTTGCTTTTCTCTAATGATCAGTGATGTTGAGCTTTTTGTCATATGTTTGTAGGCTGCATAAATGTCTTCTTTTGAGAAGTGTCTGTTCATGTCCTTTGCCCACTTTTTAATGGGGTTGTTTATTGTTTCTTCTTGTAAATTTGTTTAAATTGCTTGTAGACTCTGGATATTAGACCTTTGTCAAATGGATAGATTGCAAAAATTTTCTCCTGTTCTGTAGGTTGTCTGTTCACTCTGATGATAGTTTCTTTTGCTGTGCAGCTCTCTAGTTTATTTCCATTTGTCAATTTTTGTTTTTGTTGGAATTGCTTTTGATGTTTTTGTCAGGAAGTCTTTGCCTGTGCCATGTCGTGAATGGTATTGCCTAGATTTTCTTCTAGGGTTTTTATAGTTTTGGGTTTTACATCAATGTCTGTCTTGCATATTTTTTTTAAAATTGAAGTTTATACTTGAAAGTTTGTGATATCCACAGTGTCCTAAATGCATGCAATTTATATAAGCAGTGTAAATTTAAGAAGGATTGGTCTTTTATTCAGGGGGATTAGTGGCTGCTGTGTTGCTCTTCCAATTGACCCATTGGAACCACATGAAAACAGTGGATTTTCAGTTACCTCTGCTAAGAGAAGGGAACTGTGAAATCGAAAATCTAATTGTATTTTTGTTTGTCTTTGGAATGCACTTTCTATTTCTATTTGAATCTGGGTGTCACAGGCATAACATGTCAGTGGAAAATCAAGAGTCATCTACAGTTAATAAAATATGTAGGAACAATATAAAGATTTAGTACCCCATCTCAGGGTAGCATTCGGTTAAGCTTTTAGATTGCCATAATAAATTAATCATTCTGCATGGCACCAGTGGGAGAAATTCCACTCTGACCCCATCAAAGTGATGCGTCCCACTTGCACCTTACTCTAGCAGGACTGGTGGCCCTTGTAATCTTGTCCCAGAAAACGAGACTGCTGATATTATTTTTTTTTATTTCACATTTAAAAAAATTCTGCTAAGCTTCTTTTGCTACAGTCATTTGCTGCCACTGGGATTTTTGCAGAAGGTTAGTAGTACTAATAAAATGAAGGGCAAAGCACCAAAGAGAATCTTGAAGGAATAGTCTGTAATTCTTTATTTGGTCAGGGCGAAAGACCCTGCAAGGTATTACAATCTCCATTTTGGGGTCAAGGCCACCTTCAACCTTCCAAATTTTTCTTCATCCTCTAGGACCAGTATTTATTGTCTCTCTTCCTGTCACTCCAAGGCTTCTCACTGTACTGGGACCTCATAGAGTTCATTCCTACAACATCCCAACCCACTGCTTAGACAAGTTGTCATCTCGGCTGCCATTACAGTCACAGGGGGAGCTTTTAAAACATACCTGTGCCTGGGCCTTTCCTCAGACCAATCAAACCAGAATCTATTGCTTTGGAGCAATACATCAGCTTCCTAGGTGGTCCTCTTAATTGGGCCACAGTTGAAGATCACTGGCCTGGATAAGGAGCTCCAAATTCTGGCTTCCTGTGCAGCTGAAAGGTGGCCTGGCTCCCCACCTAAGTTACTTGCTCATCCAATGACTGAGTCCACTGGAGGCTTTGAGTACCTGGGAACATTTTTCTTCCCAGGCAGCTGCAGCAAGCACAGCCAGAGAGCAGGGCAGATGCCACTTTTGATGACCAATGCAAGAAGCAAGGGGCAGGTGAGGTATTTGTTTTTCACTTAGATTTCATCCCAAGTTAAAATTCAGAATTTTGAATAATGTTTGAATGTTTTAGTCTATTCATCATTCTTCATGTGTCACTTCAGAATAATCCATAATAAGTAATACATTTTTCTAAGCTTTGTTAAGACAGGTATGTGGTTAGAATTGATACATTCCAATGTCGACTGTGGCTTTCACTGTGAGTTCTGAAAAAGTCATTTATGTTCTTGTGGAACTTCTGCTACTTCATATATTATCTCTTTGGAGATAATAAGGAAAGTAGCATTTAGTGAGCACCTGTTGTATGCTTGTACTAGTACTATTTGTCTAGTACTATTGTCTAGTACTATTCTAGACACTGACATATACTATTGAAATCATTGACAGTGTAGGCTGACCGGGCGTGGTGGCTCACACCTGTAATCCCAGCACTTTGGGAGGACGAGGTGGGCCGATCACGATGTCAGGAATTCAAGACCAGCCTGACCAACAAGGTGAAACCCCGTCTCTACTAGAAGTGCAAAAATTAGCTGGGCGTGGTGGCGTGTGCCTATAGTTCCAGCTACTCAGGAGGCTGAGGCAGGAGAATCGCTTGAACCCGGGAGGCGGAGGTTGCAGTGAGCCGAGGTTGTGCCATTGCACTCCAGTCTGGGTGACAGAGCAAGACTCTATCTCAAAAAAAACAAAAAACAAAAAAAAAAAACCAGGATAGACTATGTCATCAGACTACCTGGACTCATCCTGGCTCAGCCACTTACCAGCAAATAAACTCAAATCACAGATTGGTCGTGGGTTTTAAACAAGATAATGTCTATAAAGGGTATAGCACTGTGCTTGGAACGATGTAAATTCTCAAAAAAAAAAGTGTTAATTTGCATCATTGTGATTTTTTTTTTTTTTTTTTTTTTTTGGTTCTCACAATACCGTGAGTAGGTATCATTATCCATTTTAGAGATAAACAAGTCTCAAAATGAACTAATTATCCATGGGCATAATCAATCTCAGGCGTGTTGGAAGGAAGATGAAAAACTTACCTTTCAGAATTGTTGGAAAATAAAATAAATAATTTCAGAATGTGTTACTTAGCCTGGGAGATAGTTAATCTGCAAAGCTGGACTCTGTTTTGATATTGGAGAGACAGTGATGAACAAGACAGACAGCCCTGTCCTTGCCAAGCGGACCTTAAAATCTCCATCTCACTTTGACACTATCACGAAGTGTGCACACAGGCCTTTTGATGGCACAGTCTTCACCACAGATGTATACTCTTTCCGAGTTAACAGAAAGTTCTACTCTCTTATCGTAAGCAGTCCTGAGGTTTGGGCCAATCACAAAATAATGAAAAATGGAGCATCACCAGACGAGATCTTTGCTCTCCAGGAGTGCCCTCTGGGAACATTTCCCTCGTTTCCCACAGCCAGGGCCCCTGGTGCCAGCAGGAAGAGAAATGGACGCCATCAGTGCTTTAAGATGGCAAATGCAAGCTTTATTCTACCATCATAACTCCCTGGATCGATGCTGACCTCCCAGCCACCCTCCAAAATGTTCTCCCATTGTGTATTCAGGTGTGGTGGCTGGTGAGTACCCAGACCACAAACTTACATAAAGGCCAGGAATGGATTCATTTAGATTAACTTATTTCCAAGCAATGAATTAATTAAGAAAAAAGCAACTGCAGGCAATACATGAATACATTGGACATTACTTCTCTGCTCATCACTTCTCCTCTGCTGGTTCTTGAATTCAATCATTCATATAACATTTCATAAGCACATCCTCTATGCCAGGTTTTGTATAGTCTCTGGGGATACAGAGTTCATCCTGAGATGTTGTTAATCTCGAAACTGTCTCAAGAAGGCTTGCCTTGTGTATTTGAGAACAATTCAAAATACTGTTGAGATAAAAATATTTATATTTTTTGATGTCTCTAGTTACCTAAATTTCTGGATAACTTTGCATACAGCTTGTTAGGAAATGTCACTTCATTCCTGTACAATTGGGACTATGGTTATAACATCATCACCTCTATGCCAAAGCATGGCTGGGAATACCAGCATTCTTACAATGGAAACTTGTCTTCAGGCCAGGCTGCCAGGAGCTGTTCTTTGCTTCTCCTGAACCATAATTAATTTATAGTCTATCATTTCAAAGGAGAATGACTCTGTAGAATTTGGACTAAGTGCAATCTCCCAAGATTGAAGATGTACCAACATTGTTTTATGATTTACTATTGCTCCATTTTCTTCTTTAACATGTTAAATTGCATATAATTACTGCAAAGGGAAGAAATAGACTTAGAAATAGACTAAGAGTCAGTGCATAAAAAGAGAATCTATGCATAGTCCTATGGGTGATGCAAAAATATCCTGTCCACTTGATACAGCTATAAATTTTCTTTAGGAAAAGGACATTACAGATTTTTTTAAGCCGAAATCATTAACAGTTGGTATCTATCAGACACAGATGAAATAAGCTAATCCTTATATGTAAATCTGTAAATCTACAGGGAAACATGAAAACTGGGTAAATTTGAGTGTAATATGGTTGGGAACTTTTTAAATCTTTGGGTTTTTGTTAAATTATCCCTTATATATTCTCTCAGTTTTAATTTTTCTGTATTTTAAAAAATTCTTAGTCAAAAAGTACATGAATCATTTTATATTCCTCTTTGAGTTTTTATTAATGATATTCAATACTCTAAATATCATGAAGTTCATATATACCTCAAGAGGAAGAATTTGAAAGGACTGTTGCAATATATTTTTCCTTCTTTTTTTACAACGTATTATCTTGTTTTCACTAAGAGAGTTTATTTGCCTTGCCATGGAATTAAAATTTATTTCCTCGCAGATTCTGACAGCTCTATAAGCACACACTGTGTTTTTTATGTACAGATAGAACAAGAGTTACTCAAAATTATTACTGTTTGGGAGAGAACAATTCACTGAACCATCAAAAAATATATCCCTGCACAAAGGTAAAGATTTGACATTAGCTTTTCACAGACAAAAGAAAGCATAAAAGAGGACACATTGACTTTCAAACTTCTTGACGGTAGCATTTTTCCAGACTTCTTTTCATAGTAACTTACTGTGGAAAACCAAAAGATAAATAAAAAAGAAATAAAAATGTATATTTGAACACATACTATATTCCAGACACTATGAAAATAATTCGCGGGGAAAAAAAAGAATTTTCAATCTTAATAATAGTTCCTATTTTAGAAGAAGATATTGAAAATATTTAAATTTGTTTTAAAAATCAGAAATTGCCATTTAGTCCTAGTGTCACATGGAAGGTGTCTAATTTTATTCTAACACTGTGTTTTTTATCTACATTAACTACTGGATACATTTACTACAGGAGTTCTTCAAAAAGCAAAATTACTAGGGCATAACAATGCAGATTGTTTTAAAGGCCCTGGAAACTTTATTGTAAGAAATAATTTTAAACATTTAAATGTCAGCAGGAGAAAATATGAGGAATTTTGACCAAGACATTTAGGACAAAATATTAAGAAAATGTAAACACTGCCTCCTTTTCATCTTTAAAATGTAGGAAGGGCTGTGACTTGTAGAAACTCTTGCTCATGAATGGATCTTCTAGTAACAAGAATATTTTTTAAATAAATTTTGCTTCTGATTATAAAAGTAATAATATTTATTTCAATAATGTGGGCCAAAAAACTAAAACACGCAGAGAAGAAAACATGTATCTAAAGACTTTTTGGCTTTATTTTATTTTAAATTTCCCTATCAGGCTCAAGATGCTAACTTAATCAGTTTGGGAGTGTCATGCCTACATCAGGAAATTTAAGGAAATTAAGCCATTAATTTAAGTTACTACATATCATGAATTCTAAGATCCAAGTATGGAGAGTAGGTCATTGTTTCTAGGGGTAGATTTAGTGCACTGAAATTTCATTCCTGTTTTGCCCACACAGCCTCTAGAGAGCAATGTCAATCCTTGCAGTCTGCTTTATAACACAAAACTGCCTCTTCTAAACTTCACATCCCCACCGTTCATCCTATTTCCAATGTCATTCCCTTGTCTTTAAACTGTACCAATCAGATTAATGGAGAAACAGAACAAAATGGTTCCAGACAGATTTGCCCTGAAACAAATCTTAAAACAAAATGGAGCTAACAGTATTCCTTGGCACTGAAATACATAAACCTTAAATCTAAGAAAGAAAGAAAATATCAAATACCTGTACATCTCTATAAGCATCATGAGGAACTTTAATCAATCCCAGATGTTTAACCCTCAAAACCTCAAGCTATGCACAGGCATTAGAAGGTCAGCCTCCAACTCCCCACAGGTTTTTCTGGGAGGCTCAGCCAGCCATCCCCATCCCAGCCTTTCCTAATGAAAGACTGGGCTACCCTCTGCCTCTGCCCTCCCAGCTGCAGACAGCCTGCCCTAGGATCCCTTCAACAGCAATCACATCTCATTGTTGCCCAGCTCTCTGCCCTGATCCAGAATTCTTAAAAGGGTTTGAGGGCTAAAAGTCAAGGATGGCTCTGTGCATGAGGTTGGAGACACTGCTCCTCAGATGACAAAAAACCTGAGATAAATCCTGATCTCAGGTGGGACTGAGAGAATTTGAGAGCAGGGAGGTGGCCGAGGAGAGTGAAGGCAAACATATGGAGTTCTTCATCTAGACAGCCAGTTTGGGGGCAGAGATAGGTGCAAAGCTTTTTTAAAAAATTTCATTTTTAGTTCCGGGATACATGTGCAAGATGTGCAGGTTTGTTACATAGGTAAACGTGAGCCATGGTGGTTTGCTGCATCTATCAACTCATCACTTAGGTATTAAGCACCACATGCATTAGCTATTTATCCTGATACTCTCCCTCTCACCGCCGCCCCCTCAACAGGCCCCAGTGTGTGTTGTTCCGCTAAACAATGGGAACACGAAGCTTATCATAAGGAAGGAAGGTTAGTGGGGAAGGCATTCAGCAGAGGGAAGAACATGGGCAGATTGTAAAGCAGGATGTTGTTACAAGCATTTAGAGCAA
This sequence comes from Homo sapiens, assembly GCF_000001405.40. Taxonomy (NCBI): domain Eukaryota; kingdom Metazoa; phylum Chordata; class Mammalia; order Primates; family Hominidae; genus Homo; species Homo sapiens. The sequence continues at coordinate 156,443,360 of NC_000003.12, forward strand.
ACCTGGGCCATACCATTTGGCTGGAATAGAGCATAGGGGCTGTGGGGAGGTAAAGGAGCATCATCACCAGGAATCAGCATGGGGCTGTGGAGTGTCCACTAAGCAGCTGTGGCAAGTCACTTCTTACCACTCACTGTCACTTTCTTATCATTTCCTCAGGTGAGGAAAATAGATGGAATCTTTCAGACCCTGTAGTTGTGATAGGGATTAGAGCTGATGTATGTAAAGCACCTAGCACCGAAGGAGCTAGGAAAGCACAATGGATCTACATGGTGGAGGCTGAGGATGTCTTTCTCATTTGGCCATAGTTTCCTATTTTATTAAGTGCTGACACAGAAACTTTAAATAGTGGAGAGGGTTCTAAGTAATATTTAGTCCTTACACACACACACACACACACACACACACACACACACACACACTATTCTTTACTTGTAAATGGAGATGCTGCTTGCACTTCACCTGCCTGAGGAGGCCCACCTTTATTTCTCCTGGCCTTTACCACTTCCTTACCTACTTTTATTGCTATTTCAAGCTCTTTTGTAAAAGGCAGGTGTGAAAGCATCCCACCCCTCAGCCCCCTTGAGGACCTGGGTGGCATTACTGGTACTTGAAAGAAAAGGTAATGAAAGTAAAAAAGAAAAGGCTAAGTTGCTATCACATTTGTCAACTCTGGCCAGATGCTCATTAGCAACAGGCTAGAAGCCAAAAATGAAAGACCAGGCTGCAGCTTGGATCCAAAAATAAGGGCCAGGCTCTGTGGAAAATACTGACAGATGCGAGCCAGAACAAGGAAGAATGCTTTGTGTGCGTCATTTGAAAAAGAACACGTCCAAGCACCCAGACATAGGTCTTCATGTAGTTTATCTTAGTGGCCACAGTAGGGTTGCTCAGAGCATTGTTTTGCCTCCAAATCACATGGGATGCTTGATAAACATACAGATGCCCCAGCTGCAGCTCATATCTGCAGAATAAGAATCTGTGTGGGGGTCCTGGGGGATTCTAATGCACCCTGAAGAGTAAGACCTATTGATCTGAGATTGGGAGAATTAATGCTTGAGCTATGATGGAGGCTGGTAAGCACTTAGGAAATTTCACTGCATTCTCCCAAAAATCCTGTGAACTAGTTATGATTATTACCATTACCATCCCATCTTGCTAGTGAGTGGTGGAGTCAGAACTCCAGCCCAGGCCTCCTGATGTCCCCTTACTTACTTAGCCTTTTATTCTAGGCCTCACCAGCAAGAGGGTATCTTCATTCCATGCCCTTCAATTGGTAGAGAGTGCCAAGGGCAAGAAGCCAATTCCTCACCTCCATTACCTGTCTTTACATCCCAGCGCCATCATGGGCCTTCCCCTCAGGCCAGATTTCTAAGAATTTGGTTCTGTTTGTTTTGTTTTGATTCTGCATGAAATAAAGAAGGTTAAGGTAACTATGTAGCTTCCCTCTCTTATTGAAATAACAGTGCCCTCTCTACACCATCCCGTGATTGCCAGGGTGCAGGAGCATGTCTGCTGGATTTAAATCCCAGCTTTTACTCCACCACTTACTAGTTATTTAAACTTTGGGCATGTCATTTAACCTCTGGAAAATAGAGATGGCAGCAATTGAGTAAAAGAAGAAGAAAGGCAAGTCAGGGTGTAAAGAAAAGGATGGGCTGGATGCTGTGGCTCACGCCTGTAATACCACCACTTTGGGAGGCTGCGGTGGGCGGATCACAGGGTCAGTAGTTCAAGACCAACATGGCCAACATGGTGAAACCTTGTCTCTAATAAAAATACAAAAATTGGCCGGGCACGGTGGCACGCGCCTGTAATCCCAGCTACTCAGGAGGCTAAAGCAGGAGAATTGCTTGAACCTGGGAGGCGGAAGTTGCAGTGAGCCCAGATTGTGCCACTGCACTCAGGCCTGGGTGACAGAGCGAGACTCTGTCTCTGAAACAAAAACCAAAACAAAGCACAAAGGAAAAGGATGAGATGCTACCGGTATGAGAAGAATATAAACTGTGGTTCTCAACCCTGACTGCAATTAGAGTTATCTGAGGATCTTTTAAAAATACTGATGCCAGGATTCCACTCCCAGAAATTCTGATTTCACTGGGGTGTGGTGAGGAATCAGGTCAGCAATACCATTTATATCCCCCCAGGATATTCAAATGCGCAGTTGTGGTTAAAAACCTCTTGTTGAAGATAGTGAGGAAAACAACCAACGTTCCACAAATGCTCTCTGGTTAGAGACACTTTCTTAGTAAGGGTGAGAATGCTTACTGATTGAACAAGCAATTATTACTCACTTACCCTGTGCCAGGCTCCAGTGCAATGGCTAAAATTTAAAATTTAAATTAAACTTAAACTTAGTCCCTGATCTCAGGATAGTTGCAGTCTAATGAGGAAGTCACAGCCAAAAATAAACTATGCGGTTACAATATAGTGTGGTCAATATGGTAATAGCAGTTAGTTCAAAATGGTAGGAGAAGAGTAAATGGAATGACTTCTTCTCCTTTCAAAGAAACCATAGAATCATGAAATAATAGAGATGAAGGAAGCTCAAGGTTCCTAATTTTGTGCATAAGGAAACAAGAAATCAAGAGATTGGAGGTTTCTCAGAGTCACAGAGTTAATGCAAGAGAACCTAAAAAATTCTAATGATGTAGCAAGACATACTTTAACTCACCAGGGGAAGTGCTAAGAAACTATGGCTTAGCAGCACTGGACTCTGAAGCTGGAGTTCTGGGTCCTGAAAAATAAGTAGAATTTGGACATAAAGGCATGGGGAAGGTTTAGATTTTCAGTGGAAGGCTCAGCCCATAGCTCAAAGGAGAACATGCTCACCAGGGTAATGACCTGGAGCTTAAGGATCTCAGGTGGTGGCCAACAGCTTAGGGCTCCCTCCTCCACATCAACTCTAGTTTTGGGCTTACACCTATTTCTTGCTGGATACGCAATTTAGAGGGATGCTCCCACCTCCAGTTCCACTCCTCTTTGGGGGTTATACTATACAACTGAGACATTGAACATGTTAATTTTACCTGGTGTATTGCTTAATTTCAATGTGACCTAGGGTTTGAACCTCTTATCTTAAATTCTTTAGTGACGTAACAGATTAACACCTCAAAATAGATGAAATGTCTCTCAATTATGACTACATTTGGTCAGTCTTGACTATATTAAGCTGCAGTTCACATGTGCTCTGTTTACCAAACTTAAAATCATTAAATCTATATTGAAATGTGTTGAATTGGCTCTCCATTCTCCCCATACTCTGACCTTGGTGTTCTCCTAGAGGTTTCACCTTCTCTCACACCCTACACATCCTTTTACACCAGTAAATACTATTGCTTCCCCTTCAAAATTTATCCAAAATTCAACCACTCCTCGCCATCCTCACTACCACCACCTTGGACCAAACCACTGTCATGTCTCACCTGGATTATGGGAACAGCCTCCTAACTGGTCCCCCATGTTTCAGCCTCGCCTCTGCAGTCTATCCTTAGCACAATAGCAGAGTGTTCCTTTTAAAAGAAAGTCAGATTGTGTCACTTCTGTATTCAAAATTATTCACTAGCCTTTCCTAGGTCCTTCCTATGATTGACATGACATGATCTGGCCCCCATGAACCTCACCTTCTCTTCTCTGGCCACACTGGCTTCCTCCTTGTCCTTGCTCATGTTGAGCAAGCCCCTACCTCACTGCTCCCTGCAACTGGAACACTCTCCCTCCAGATAAGCGCCTGGTGAGCCCCTTCACTTTCTTTAGGTCTTTTCTTGAAAGCTCCTTTCTTAGTGAATCTTATCTGGCCACCCTATCTAAAATTTCAATACTGATTCCTAGACATTTCATATACTCTATCCCTGCTTTATAAAATTGATTCTCTAACATTCATCAGTCAACATTATGTATTTTATTTTACATTTTATTTATTTGTAAAATTAACATTTATAAACACTATATATTTAACTTATTTTTGTTATTCCTTTTTCTTTACCCATATATCTGTTTCACGATGGGAGAAATAATTACCAGTTTTGTTCACTGTTGCATCCCAATAAACTAAGTACAACACCTGGCACACGGTAGACTCAATAAATACTTGTTGAATGAAAAAGTGAGGAAATGTTAACTGTGGCATAATAAATATTAATATTATAATTGCATTTACATATTCTCTTCTTGATAGCTATAATAATATATTCAAACCATAGGGAGACCAACCTGCACTATAGAATTTTATAACCTTAAGATGATTTAGACCCAAATTAAGGGACATTCTACAGAATACTTGATGAGTACTTTTAAAAGTGTCTACATCATGAAAGACAGGGAAAGACTGAGGAAGTGTCACATATTGGAGTGGATTAAGAAAACATACAATTAAATGCAATGTTGGATGCTGCTTAAGATCCTGGAAGAGAAAAAAAGACAATGAAATTCCAAAAAGATCTATTGTATTAGTACTGTACCCATGTTAATTCCCTGGTTTTGATAATTGCACTATGGTGATGTAAGATATTAAAATGATCTCATCTAAATGTCTAAATATCCTTTATACTCCAAGCAAGGCAGTCATTTAAATGGTAAACATGTTTTTTGAATGAGTACGCAAGAAGTAATTACCCTGATAATCACCAAACGATAATGAGGTAACCAAGATAGATGTGTGTGGTGGGCAGTTTTCTTCTTTTTACCTTTCATCCATCATTTTTCTGTGCTATGGTAGATTTACTCCAAGGAACCTAACACAGGTTTTCAAAGCAAATATTCCTTGGTCCATAAAGGGGTTTAATCAGAAGACACAAAATAGTTCAAAGAGTTATCTTTATACTCTCCCTTCTTTTAAAAGGTTAGAAATAACAATTGTCAGTTTAGTAAAATCATCTTGTAAATAACATCCCACTAATTTGAGATTACACAGTGAAATAATTGTATGCCATTCTAGGTCTCAGGAAAGCATGTTCTCATTAGAGGGAGAAAAATGGTTAAGAAAACTGTCACAGAGGGTTTTTGAGAATCATATTAACTAACAAGTCACCTTAGTTCTTCTGGAGTGGAGCACAGTGGAAAATAAAATCATAGAAACAGAGTTCTTCTGTCTAGAAGGCTGTTGCCCCGTTCCTCTCCAGCAGGAGGGGATGTGTCCTGTCTGTGAGAGGCAACTCCTCCTCAGGAGTAGAAAGTGGACCCCACCTACACTGGGCCACTTACCCATCTGCTTGCTGGAGGCATTTCAGCCAAGGAGAAAGACTTTCCCTTGGCCTTTTTCCACAAAGGGGCATAGCTGGGTGGGTACCCAGGGATAGGGAGAAACATTTCAATCATCTAGAGACTAGAAGAACTAAAGATTATTGATAAGCATTATTCATTTTTCTATAAGTCATAATAAAGATGTTTGTTTGGTAGGAAATATTCATTTTTCTATAAGTCATAATAAAGATGTTTGTTTGGTAGGAAATTATCCCAAAATTTTAAAGATTAATAACAGTCAACAAGGCAATGTAATTCAATTTAACCAACACTTACTGACCATGTACTAAGAACCCACTTCTATTCTAGGGCTGTGGAGATGCAAAGACGAATGAAATAAAAGTGTAGCCCTCAGACAGCTTACTCTCTAGTAAAAGATATAAACTCTATAAACAAGTAGGTAGAAAACAAATGAGTAGCAAGTGTCGAAGGGCCAGGGAGGTAGTCATCATGAACAAAATAAGCTGAATATAAGAATGACAAACTCCAAGAAATGGAAGCAAACACTTTATTCTTATTAAATTATGGAATAGGTATGTAATAATGTAAATATATATAATATTCATATGCTATTTTATATTAAATTTTAAAAACATTGAAAAAGGAAAACAATTATTGCTATATTTTTATTTCATAATTCATTACTGCTTTGACTTGGAATCAGAAACCTCACATCTTTTTTTCTGTACCAAAACATGTTTCAGGCCCTGTATTTTTCACTGTGATGTACAGAATGCAGCCTTAAACACTTATGCCAGGAGGGTGGTTGGTTTTTTTCAGATTAATTTTGGAGTCGAGCCTAAACATAGGCTCTTCCTAACATGGATGGAATTACTACTGTAAATGGTTCTTATATCTAGAATCACCTCTTCCAAAATGTGTGTACAATCCTGGCTTTCAGCATTGCTCTACTTAGACTTCAAATAGACTTCAGTACCGTTTTTGCATTACAGTTTGATAATGTCTAATCATAGCCCAACATAGGTGCTATCAAAAAATAAGAAAGGTAAGCTAAATAATGTTATTTCATTTTCATAAAGTTTGAAGTCTGAGAACATTTTTAGAATTTGGTTTTCAATGGCATAGTTTTAGAGAATAAATTTTATGGTATCTTCATTTCTGGAAACTGATCTCAATGTAGGAAAGTAGATGAAATTATTCCTTTACAAATGAATTTCCCAAAAAGTTACCTTTATCTGGACGGAGAGAAGCTCACAAATGAAACATTTGTGCAATACTTGTGACTGTACCTATAGAAAAATAGTCAAAAAATATAGATAAGTTGTAGAGTCAGCAAAAAGCTCAGGACTTTGGGCTAATCTTCACTGCTAAGCAGAGATAGGGCTATCCCCTGTGATGACATTAACAGTTAAAAAAATCTCTTCTGCACCACAGTGCAAGTAAGCCAGCAAATTCATTAAGCAAATGTTGACCTGATTTTGCTCAGAGACATAGAAGAATAGCCAATTAGTGGTATTAATTACTGAATCCATGGCTTCTCCCATTTTAGCTTTGTGCCCAAAGCAATTTCTGATGAATGAGGAAATTAATGGACTTGGGGATAGTGTACCTACAAAATAGTGCCACCTATGGGCTGTTACTTGACCGGCCTGACATTAACTCCACACATCCTGAGAGCTCCATCTATAACACTTGGTGACTTTGACCAATGCATTCTACATCCAAATGGTCTGAGACCTTTTTCATAACACAGAGTCAGCCATTTCCTGATGTTTTGCCTTTCATGGGCTCCTGTTTCTGAAGTTCCTTGACCCCTTCAAAATTCTCACCACACCACAAATAAATATAGTTAACAGTGTGCTATTCTCTATATCTGTGTTCTCATTTGCTGCAAGAGAAAATGCCACCCATAAATTAACTTGTCCTGAAAGTTCTCAATCTTATTTTTAACATACCAAGCTACAAAGTTGCTCATTAGACTAACATTTACAAATGCCTGTTGAGGCTCTGGACACATAATTTCTGCAGCATTCAAAAGAGACTCTTTTATAAACTGTGTTGTCTGTAAAAAGGTTTTGATACCCAGGCAATTTTTTCGCTTAATAAAGAACTGTATTTCACAGCAACTCACTTATTTTATTCTCATTCAAAAACAAATGCTGCCATTTCTTCAGTCCATTAAATTTTCCAACACCCATCTTTTCTGTGTAGCAGTCAAAGCTGATTTTTTTTTCAATGGTGCCTTAAGATGTAATTTTTCTTTGCAAACATTCTTTGTCTGGATACACTTCCCATCCACCCACCCCCCCCCAAAAAAAAGTTATGCTCCTATTTTTTTCTTATAATAATTGTTTTTTAGGAGATGCACAAGTTCATTTTCCTCTTCTTTTTACACTAAGAAAAATATCAGTAAACACATGGTGGTAAAAAGCTACTACTCTTTGATTTCAGTGCTGGGAATACAACAGGAAGATGTGGAGGCTTTAATTAACTGAGAGGGCACAGTCCTCTGATTTAGGGGCTGTCTACCTGGTGAGGACATCAGCTCTTTGCTGTCAAAGGCAGCTGGAAATCAAAACATTTCAAGAAAAATCTTCTAATTGTTTAAATGTTGGCAACTTATTCAAAATTTATTAAAATACCAAGTGGATCAACAGCATTCTAGTCAAGCAAAACAAGGCGCCCTGTGGGCTGCCCATCTGCAACCTCTGGATACGTAGAGTATAAAAGTAAAACAATTTATACCCTACTTTTATTTTAGTCCCTGAGAAGTAAGAGAAAAGGTACAATTATATGAATGTATTCCTATGGAATATGAACTCTAAGTGCCATAATTAATTTGGAAATGGTCTAATAAGGCAGTGTGGTGTGGTAAAAAGGATACCCTTCTTGAAGCCAGTCCGTTTGGGGAATCCTGGGTATTCCACTTATCGAGTTGGTTAATTTTCGATTCCTCATCTGGAAGTAAGCATAAAGTGATCTGGTAAGCTTCTTAGTATACTGTCTGGCATTTGGAAAGTGTTCTTCCATAAATGGTAGCTAGGACTGTTATTACAAAATGCAAAATATGCATTTTCGACCACATTTCTTTGTATGCCTCCCAAATATCACTTGTGCCCAGGCTCTACTGCTCTCACTCCTGCCGTCCCTCCCTGGTGCTCCCACATTTCATCTCACGGCCTGATGGTGTAGGCCCCTGCTCATCAGCACTCTCTGGAGTTTCCCACCTCCTTTCCTGGCCGGTGCTCTTGCCTCTCCCTAGAATGTCTGTCCCTTTCTTCTTCGTTCAGTTAACCCCTGTGAGACTCGACCTAGCTGTCACCTCTTCTAGGAAGTCTTCCTAGAATGCCACCACCCTCCAATCTAAATAGAGCACTCCCTTTTATCTGCCTTATGTTCACCTCAGTCATAGCATTTGTCAAATGGTCTTATAAACCGTGAGCTCCTGCGAGACAGGAACTGGGCCAATCATCTCACTGTCCCTTACACGTGAGTGCAATGCTTTTATGTGGCATGTAATTAGGAATCAAAAGAATTCATTCCCTCCTTTAGGAAGGGAAAGGAAGGGAATAAATCCTCCTTTTAGGAGGATCTATCCATAAAGGATGGAATGAATAAATGAGGTGCCTGGAGACCAGCATAGCAAGTGCCCACTCCACTTCAGCTTCCCTTCTACTTTACAAAGTTTCAAACGTCTTTGGCTGCTGAGTGTGCATCTCTCCCCTTGCCTTCCCAAACCTTACTCCTGCTGCTGTCTCCACTCTCACCCAAACCAGTGGAGATTTCCATTCTGGAATGGCAGGTTATGACAGAGAAGGCACATAAGTGTCACCTCCTGAGTCTTGTAAGTGGGCACTGGAAAGACCTCTAAGAGGGTTTCTTTTGAAAAGTAATAATGAATAAAAAATACAGCCACTATTTGGAGGCAAAGAAGGGGAGAACTATAACCATAACCCAAGGTCTTACCTTCACTTTCAGAACATGTGGCTTCTTAGCTCAGTGGGAGCAAGAATGGATCTTGTACACTAGCATCCATGGTCCAATAGCAGAAGGGAAAGCATCTTCTAGGACAGGGCTTCCAATAGTATGTACAGTGGCTTTCAGTAAAGAAACAGCAGCCCTTTCTCCAGAGGGATACAGACCCCTTCTGGAATACTTAGTGAGAAGAAGACAGACTAGACCAACTAGACCACAGCCCACATGTGCCCCTCATCCAGGTACCTTTGTGAACTACCCATACAACCTATTGAGGTAGTCCCAAAGTAAGAATTTCCCTTATTACGCACAATATTAGAAAAATGATGATGAATAATATGCAAATATTTATTATTTTCTAGGAACATGGGTGACATTTGGAGGTCAAATTTCAGATGAGGTAAGTTACCTTTGGCCTCTATTATGCTAATGAAAGAAAATGCAGAGAGAGCTGTATTGCAGGAGTCCTCTTCCTGGGACCCTGACACTCTACAGGGATAAGGTTTAATTCACAGGAAATGGTAAAATTGACTCAGAGATTATTGTTGATTTTATTTTTCCTGTTGTATTTTTTACATTTAGACTATTAATAGCCCTTGAAGCTGTACATTATATATGCAGGTTGAACAGTCAGAGAATGAAACAATTTGGAATTAACATTAGTCACTTTATGAAAAGATTGTATTGCTGTGATGTTGTTTTGCTTTATTTGTTTGTTTACTTTTAGCTGCAATTAGGATGACTAATTGGTCTCAGTTTACACAGAAGTTTCTCAGTTATAGTATTGGAAGCCCACATTGCAGAAACCCTCTCAGTCCTGGGAAAACTGCACAGTTGGTCACCTGGCTTGGGCGACTTAATCTAACCTCTCTGAGCCTCAGTCCATCCTATATAAAATGAGATGCTAATGCTAACTTTGATGGTGATCTGTTGAAAGAATTAACACATCATGCTTATCAGATGTTTATATAGTCCTCTGACTAGTAGGTAGCAGACACTCAATAAATGGCAGCTATGGTAATTATATTTACAATAAAATTCCTTTAGATCATCATTTGCACAGTCAAAACAGTACTTACCAAAGTGATATTTTTATCATTTCCTTTAAGGAATACCTTCATGGCATAAGTGAGGTATGCAGGCATTGAGCACCAAGAACTCCCCTGAGGGCAATGCCCTGAGTCCCTCTGATCCTTCCGTGTCTACCTGCAAGAAGAGTCAGGGATAGTGTCTCTGAGTGGGTGCACTGAGTGGGATCCAGTCCCACTCTACCATTGACCGACCTGGTTTACTAACATTTATGTGTACTAATGGTGGCCACATCAATAAAATGCTCTAACCCTCTAATCAGCAGGATGGTGGTTAAGATTAATGAGATGATGCCTGTAAAGTGCTTAGTGGGGTACCTGGCCCAGAATAAGCCCTTTACAAAGGTAGTTCTTACTATCATTCCTAACGAGACAGTTGGGAAACAGAGGCTTTTCTCCACAGCTCCCCAAATCACCAGTGTTATTTAGCAGATCTGAGAGAGAAGTCTTAACTGTATATTCTTGTCCATCCTAATGCCTGTTCCCTGTATTGGGCACATGTCACCTTATAAGGCTTGTCTCATGGGGGCTCCCCAGGGATGCAGACTTTAAGCTAGAGAGTAGCATGCAGGACAGTTATTAGGAAGTGTTCTCAGGATCAGCACAGGGCAGGGAAGAAAGCAGCACTGGGCAGACAGAGAACTTGGGTCATGATGCAGCCTCAACAATGACCTCAGCCAACTCCATGGGGATCTCCAAAGCTGAGATGGTTCTGCAGAGTTGTCTCAGTTTGGGACAACATAAAGGACTGGGCCTTTATGTCCTTTTACTGACCAGTCATTGGACCAGAGGCTGATCGGGAAGCAGGTCTGACCTCGGGCTAGGTGACTCTCTCTAGCCAAGTGCAATTTCCAGAGAGGGCTGACAGAGGAAGGCCATTTGATGGCAGCATTCCTAGCAGCTCAGGGAATAAGTCCCTCGGTTCCAAAGGAGAACCTGAGGGCACATCCCAGAGTTTACTACAGGACTCTGTCTGACTGGCACCAGGAAGGGGTGTATGGAGGAGGCACAAAGGGAAAGCCACAGAAACCAGAGCACAGGCTATGGACTTGAAGTCCCATACAAAATAGGTGGCAAGCAGGGAGGGAGGCCTACAGTTAATAATCCACTGTATCCAGCACATATATAACCTACTACTGATGGTGCTTGGAAGGGAAAAAGACAGAAATATCTTCCCTTTCTGAGCAGATTGGCCAAGTAAAGTGCATTATTTCCCCCTAGTCTTCACTCTCCTCTTCACAGTGTCTGCTCTCTGCTGCAATGAGCCAAGCTTGCCCGGGTCGTAGTGTGAAGGGCTGACCTCTGAGATGAATAATTTCAAAATTTCAAGTCTAAAAACTACGATAAAGCTGTCATGAATGGCTGCTGAAGCACTCACCTCAGATGCAGACCAGGAAAATAGCTATTGTACTTCCAGAGAGCATCTGTGGCCTTCCCTGGGTCCCTGAAGAGAGAATACCAGCAAAGAGAAGAAGGGAGACACAGCCAGATTCAGCCTCACCCATCACAGAATTATTTGAGCTCAATGCTTTCCGTGTAGCAAAAATGCGGACCAATAGCAGTGAGTTCACCTACCTCGATTTTCCTGCTTTCTCTCTGGCGTCAAATAATCTCAACACAAAGTACATGCAAATATGGAATACTAGGGCTGGCCACACCACAGTGTGCTGAGTTAATTGTTGATAATTACATGACTGTCAACACTTTCTCAGGAGGTGGGGATGTCCCCATCACTGGGAGAGTTCATTTATTGAATTACCATTTGGCAGGGATATTATCAAAAGGATACAAACACCAAACTCTGTAAGGTGCCTCTCAAAGATGATTTGGCTTCATCAAAAAATAAAGATAGATGTTACTGATATGAATAATTATTTACTTAAAATAATGATGAGAGCATATTAACATCTTATAGCACTTAATTTTCGGAGTTTTATTTACATTTTTTTATCTGTAAGGTAGTTAAGGTACCTTTAACTATAGGTAACAAAAACCCAACTCAAATCAGGTTAACCCATAAAAGAAAAATTATTATGACTTTTACACTAGAAGTGTAGATGAAGAGCAAACTTCAGGGCCGCCTCAGTCTGTGACTCCCAGTCTGCTTCCCAGCGAGTCTCTGGCCGTGTGGGTCTTTGTGTATCGACTGCTTAAGAAAGGCAGCTGCCGGAAACCTAGGCCTCAATTAGAACAGTGACTCCGGGGAAAGGGTGTTGCTCCTAGAAACTCAGTAGGAACAAAGAATAATGTTCCTAGAAGTCTCCGGCAAACTTCTCCTCATATCTCATTGGCCAGGGTGTGTCACATGACCCTTCCTGAGCAACTCACTCGTAGGCCCCCCAGGCCCCCGCTAGAGGGAGGTGAAGTCAGCTTTGCCTGAGGCCTCTGGGCTTCATGCAGGAGGAGGAGATCCCAGAACAAAATCAACCCCATTTTGCAAACCAGGAAGCTAAATTTACAGAGAGGTCAGATGATTTGCCTACGTTTATTTTTCTAGTAAGTAGGACCCTCAAGGCCAGAAATCACTCTTCAGACTTAGTTGGTGATGTTTTTCATTATTTCACATTCAGTCCTTCAAGTTCAATGATTGGGAAACATCTCTGTCATCATTTAGTTTAAATCTTCATCCAGAATTCTCCATCTTATCTTAAAAAAACTCTCTAGATAAGATTTGTGTACATATCCAATAATATACCAGTATGTCATATGACATACACAGGCTAATATAAAATAGAAGCACAATAATTTTTAAAACATAGGACAGTCATAACAGGAAAAACTTGTCTTAACTTTTAATCTCCAGTTAGGATATAATTTAAAAATTGTAGGAATATAAGATAAATGTTTTAATGGTAGTAAATTAAAAGCAGTAATAGCATACTATTATGCTAAAGAATCTGGATGGACTCCATTTTGCTAGCTTAACATTTTTCTTGGTAGGCTAATTTTTAAAGCAACAGAAAAATAGTTTATTTTGGAAATGCGGATGAAGCAACTTTAGCCTGCCATCAAAACATAATGGAAAAATCAATTAAAATTATTTGTGAGGTGTGTAATTTTTCAAATGACTAGTAAGTCAATCGGCAAAATGAAAAAATGGCCCTTCTCCACTGCTGTTTATGGCTATCCCTCTCTGGCTATTCCTTAAGCTGTGTATAGCTATTCTGTACTCTTCTGTCATACTCACCACTTGCGTTCAGCAGCACAAAGCAAGGAACAAGGAGCTTTGAGGTCTGTTTGCAGGCGGAACAGTGAGGAGCTGGGTTCCTGGTGAGTCAGAGGCACGCTGCCGCCTCTCTGTGTTGATTCAATGGCTGCTCTACAATGGCGCCTGAGATTTTGCTGAGCTGTGGGTGGCAGGAGTTTTACAACAGTCACAGCTCTGTCTCAGCCTCAAGGAAAAAGTCACAAGCTTTCAGGTCAGGAGTCATCCAGCTGCCAAAAGTTATTGGCTTGGAGAAAGGAGTTGAGGAATGGAGTCACACAGTGATACAAATGGCCCTCTTTGTCAGAAAGATTAAGATGCCATAAAGAATGTTGTCAAACCAGCTCTTCCCAGCCCAGTGAGAAACACAAATCTATCCACTTTGGGCAGGCTAAATCCCAGCCTTCAAGTAACCCCTCAGTGCCCTATGTCTGAAGGAAAGAATACTTCTGTCCTATGGATACTGGCTGAGACTTCTTTCTTTCCCTCTCCACTAAAACTAAGAAAAATAAGGAGTGGTTAGTGAGAGGTCAGTGTTCCTAAAGACCGGTAGAGGACTCAAAGTTGCTTCCAGGTTTGGAAAGCATTTGGCTTTTCTGAGTGACCTTTCTCTCCCCTTGCAGGTTGCTGAACGGCTGATGACCATCGCCTATGAAAGTGGTGTTAACCTCTTTGATACTGCCGAAGTCTATGCTGCTGGAAAGTAAGTCAGTACCTGTTTGTGTCACTCAAATGGCATCTGTAGCACCAAAAGAATCAGCCCAGACCATTTCCAGCATGTTGGTGAAAAGGTTCTGTCCTTTCTCCACGTGTTGGCAGCTCTGCTCTGTTCTGCCCTCTACCACCATTACTAGAATTGGGGATATTGACTGTCTCTGGCACTCTCTGCTCACCCAAACCTTCCTGCTTCTGGACCCTGTATGAAGAATGGGCTGAAGGGGTATATGACCAGGAAGCAATTGCCATGTCTATGTGAGGGGCAGCGGAGTCTGATGCCAGAGTAGTGGCAGAGGAGATTGAGAAGTATTAGTTGAATACGTGAGTGACCAAATGAATGAACAGATTCCAAAATGGTTGCTCAAAAGTTAGTCTTTTTATTTCATAACCATATCTCATAGTTTTTCAGCCCCTGAGGAACTGGGACATCCTCCTTGCAGGGAAACAGGAGCTCTCACTGTTGAACTGCCTGTCCCTACACTAGCATTACAGAAAGATTAGACGTCAAAGTCAGGATCCCCCAAGATGCCAAAGAATCTATCATCTTTTGTAAGAGGGGATCTCAGAGCCCATTCTGAGGACAGGAAGGGCTGCAGAGAGTCCTCGCTTCTTTTGTGAAAGGAGTCACATCCAACTGCAACCTTCCTTTGAACCCAAGGCAGATTTGGAGCCCTAAGACAGGGCTTGTTAAACCAGAACACATAGGAAATGCGCCAGGCCAGGCCTCAAGGTTCAGGCCATCCAAGTCCCAGCCTAACCAGCACATTTCAGAATAGATCTGGGGCTCCCTGGCCTCCTACTGGGAACATGGATGTCCAGCTCTCAGAACCAAGGAAACTAAATAGCTGCCCAGCTGTTTGAACAGCTCTGCAATTTTCTAACTGAACTGTGAGGTATAATCACCTGCAGGCCTAATTCACCTCCTTCCAGGTTAGAATTACAATCAAATTGCTGGACTTGCTGAATCAGGATGATCAGTGGATGGTCCCAGTGCATTTTCCTTGCATGAGTTTCCTCCTTTTCAAGAAGAGGTCTATGTTTAAGGACCATCAAGGAGGTTCAGAGCTCACATTCTTGATGCTTTCTGTTGAATCCAAGGAGAGAAAGTAAAGGTTATATGGTCTTGCTCCTTTCTGCCTTCTACCCCTTTCCATTGTTTTCTTCTTGTGGAATCCTGCTTAGTACCAAATGGCACTAAGGTAGAAAAAGGGAGAAGTAAGTAGCAAGTCTGTTAGAGTCCTGTTTGTATTACTCCTGTGAGGATAATCGCTCTGATTAATTATTGATTGTCGGTCTATAATTGAGATAGGTTTCCACTGTGAAATGCAAGGTTGCAAAAGGTAAAGGAGAGATAGGGAAAAACAAAAGCAACACCAATGTAAGACTCAATGCTTGTCTCTTTGGGGCATGCTCCACAGCTAACCCGCATCATGGCTTATTGCAAGCTATACACTCTAACAAAGACAGAACTCTCACTTAAGACCAATAATGACTAGCCATGACTCCCATCCATAGCATCCTAATGGACAAGGTGCTAATTCCACTGATCTCCCATTCACTAAGCCTCTGAGACCCCAGCTGCTTCTGACAATGTTGGTCTTACTGGGAGGGACATAGAACATTTGTCTCCTCAATCTTGGGTCCCAGCCTGGGTAGGTGGAAGAGGAGAGGATGGTGGATGCCTTCAGTATGCCTCTGCAACCCAGCCTTAGGGGCAGGAAGGACACTTCGTTATGTCTTCCTCTGTTTTGCTCCTATGACAAAGTTTGTCACTGGAACCTAAGATGTTCTGTACGCGAGTGTTCTCTATGTGGGACATCTAAACCCACACATCGGTTCTCAGTTTATACCTGGGAGCAAATATTTTTTATCTAAACAATGTGAGGTGTCATTGTTCTCCATAGTCACAATTGAATTGCTTCACAGCAATTAGAAGGAAAACTGACTCCCTTTGGACACTACCAAGCTGGACATTTATATATGGGATCATTGGTTCAAAAACACCAAACTGCAAAATGACTGCTGCTGCTTAGTATCAGGACTGCAGGCGGTCTCCTGCCAGCGTGTCAGGATTTGGCAGGTGCTTCTGGAATGCTCCGGAGCAGGATTTTGCAGGCACAAGCAGAAACAGCGGAAACTGTGCTACCAGCCGAGAGCGGCTTCTATTTTCGGGATATGTAGGCACTGAGAGTTCAAACAAGGAATGGTTCTTGTGTTCTGGATTGACTCTTGCTTTTCCAGGACACTGCATTCTAAGACATTATCTGTTTCCCCTTCCAGGGCTGAAGTGATTCTGGGGAGCATCATCAAGAAGAAAGGCTGGAGGTATTGCATTCGCCATAATTATTTGTTTTTAAAAAGGTATTATTTTGCACCAGAGAAGGAAAAATAAAATTATATGACACCTGACCAAAAGGCTGTCAAAAAAAATCAACTGTTTTTAAAGCAATGATTTATAGTGGCTTGAAAATAAATGCCGGCAAGTTCACTTCTGGAGCTTCAAAAATTACTGACTAGTCATTGATCACAATGAATTACCAAAGAGTTGAGCAGAGAAGGGGGGGATGTTCATGAAATATTTGTGCATGAAAAAGTGACAATTTCATGGCTTCTGACTGCCATTTGTGCTAATCTCTTGCAGGAAGTAACTTGACAAGAAGCTGATTATCCCCCCACACACATGCATTTATGTTTGCTGTTTATTTTATTAACTCTGGATGCAAAGGAATGATGAAACAAGAAGACTTTGGGATAAATACCCCAAAGCTTTCTTATCTGAACACATTTAGTCAGCATCTCTCCTGTGTGCCCAGGAACCCTATTATCTGGCTATTCAGAACAATGCTTCATCTGCTATCCTTGAGAAACATGAGGGGCTGTGCTTACACGTCCCTTTCCAACACCTCCTGTAGCCAAAGATAGTGGTAATAAGGGAAGCTATAACATCTATGGGCAGTGGGGAGGTAATACTTCCCCATTTCACTATAGATTTCAGCCCCAACAGCCACTACTTCCCCAGCACGAGTACAGAATTAAGCAAAGCCCAGCAAAGGTTACTGAACAAGTTTGGGGTCCTCCTCTGCCCTGGCATAATATCTGCTGATTACCAAATAAATGACAGTGTAATGATATTAGTGAAGACAACTGTGGAAAGAGCTGTGTACTCATGCTTCAACACTTAGCATGTATTTTCTAAAATTTAGTCTAGAGAAAATGGACATTCTCAAAGAGTTCAAGAGTGGTTTTATTATGCTTTTGCACACATGATTTAAACTCTCTCTAGGAAGCAAAACTAAGAAGGTGAAACAGACCCATGTATTTTTAGGGCTGCTTACTCCCCACTCTGAGATAAACTTTTGGTAGGAATAGAGGGCCCTGTGGAAACAGAAAACCAAATATTTATAGAGATATGAACAAATAAACTTTGATGACCTACTTTCTCCTTCTCCCTTCTCCCTCTCCCCCATCCCAGGGAACTGTAAGGATGTTAATAGAAAACTATATTCCACCTTATATATGGAAAAACATTCATGTTCCCACTCAGTCCTTCACCTTGCCTGAGTTACTTTCCCACTCAGAGTATTGGTTTACCCATCACTGCCTAAATAGAGACTGTATCCATTCGCTATGGTTGCTGCAACAAAGGACCAGAAACTGGGTAACTTAAAATAACAGAAATTTATTCTTGCATGTTTCTGGAGGCCAGAAATCCAAAATCAAGGTTTGACTTCAGGGTTGGCAGGGCCATGCTCCCTCTGACATTCTGGGTAAAGTTCTTCCTTGCTTCCTCTTAGCTTCCAGTGGTTGCCAGCCATCCTGGGCATTCCTTGACCTGCAGCTGCAGCACTTTAACTCTTCTCTCATGTGTCTAAGTGTCTTCTGATAAAGACACCAGTCATATTGGATTACGGGCCTCCTCTACCTATTAACTAATTATATCTGCAGTGATCCTATTTCCAAATAAGCTCACATTCTGAGGTTCTGTGGGTTAGGACTTTAACATATCTTTTTGGGGTACACACTTCTTCAATTATAACAGAAACCTTGGAGATAATTCCACTAATAGTACAGTGAGGTCTGCAACAAGGCGTAGGCTGCTGGAGTACATCTAAGGAAGGAGGGAAAGTATCGGTGCAGTAGCTCTTTTCTTTCTTAACACCCAGAGAACATTAAATTATCACTCTCCATAGCTGCAGAACCTATTTTATATACCTTTTGTAGAAAATAGATCACCATGCATTTTCCACAAACTGCCTTTCATTCTTGCAAATAAAAACTCAAGCTATTATTATACTCCATAATGTTTATATCAGTTCACAGTTGCCCCCGTGAGACTGGTGAAAAGATAAACCATATCATCATAGCTTTGAGCCTATAAAAGCTGTTTCAACTAGCACACTTGACTTCTGGTCCTGGCGCTACCACTTGCTAGCTGTGTTATCCAGGACAAGTTATTACACCTCTCTGATTCTCAATTTACCCACCTGTAAAATGGACAGCATAACAGTTCATGAAGTGTCATGCTGACAGAGTGAGATAAGGTATGCAAAAGCATTTTGAAGGCTGTGCTGTATCACTGTAAAATACATTATCATTCTCTACCCACTCAGAAGAGTTGCTCTAATAGCCTCTGTGGGAGTCAGTGACAATTTGCCAGGCTGCTGTCTACTCTTGCTCTTTGAACATATAGTTAATGTGCATATCCATATAGGCCAAATGTTTTACAGGAAGCCTAACTTTGAAAAACTAAGTCTGTGGCAGTGTTTGTATAGAATATGCAGCTTTGAATAATCAAAAGGACTGCATTCATTTTTTATAATATTCCATCCAGCTTTTTGTTGAAGGTTGAAAGTGCTAAAGGAGACCGGGCTCCCCTGTGGCAGATTGCTATTATAATAGGTATCATGAGGTTGATGTATTAACCTGGAAAGTACATCAGCCCTTTCAGGTTGTGTTATCTCCAGGTACATGTATTTATCGACCTTCCATTATAGTGATTCAAATTACTTTTGGGGGGATTCACTTCAGTGGGATGGGGCTGCTAACATTTTCAACAAATTTTTCTTGTTGCAACCAAGTTGTCAGAGTTGTCACCATCATTCCCCATTGGTTATCATTAATCATACTAGGTTTTTATACCTGAGAGCCCTGAGGCGTTGACCCTACAGATGATGGAATTATAAACGCCTTATTTCAAGCGCTCCTGAAGATTGGCCTTAACCTTTGAATCTCAAATGATGTTTTCTCTAGACCAGTGCGATCAAATTACATACCGAGGGAAACCAAATTGCACTGAGATCTGCTTCCCAATTTTATTGTATACCTGTAGTTCTCAAGACATATTTCTTATTCCATGATCATAATGCTAGGATTGCATTTCCTGCCCTTGGTTGTGGCTTTCAGAAGGTAATAAGTTTGCTGATGAGATATGCACATTTCATTCCCCTAGCAGTAAAATGGTAGAAACTTGAGTTAAGGACTTTAGGACTGTTTTCCTAAAATGACATTTCCATTTAATAAGACACTCAAAGACATTTTTTTCCTGTTTGTTCTAAATATTTACTATTATAATTCACTTCATCATTTAAATGTCTATGTAGTCAGTTCCTGCCTGTGAATGTGATGTTAGAAGGGATAATAACTTGGAGCCACAAGGATCCATGTTCCTTGGCAGAGTGGAGTCCTCCTGGGAGGAGTTCATATGCAATCAGCGTGAGGCCAGATACTGAATACGTGTTCATTGTTGTTTGTTCATTTGACTTACTAAAGCAATTCATCCCCTCAGTCTTTTCACTTTCATCCCCACACGCCATTTCTGACCCTCCATGCTGGCCCACCACTCACCTTTACTTTGCTATGTCGACATGGGCTTGCTGTCAGTTCCCAATCTGACTTGTTATCACTGCCCTCCACCTCCTCCAGGCAAAGATCATTTCCATTCAGCCTCTTCCTCTAGGATCCGACTTTGAGTCCCCCGCACTAGCTTCCCTTTGTCTTTATTTCAGTGAGATGGATTAACAAATTTACCTCTTTACCAATTTTTAAAATGTGAGGTATAATAACAAATTCTTTCTGGTGCTATTATAATAATATGACTCGGTACAATAACCTGCATTTATTTACTACTTCTCTGTGTTTGTCTTTTTGATATACAGGAGGTCCAGTCTGGTCATAACAACCAAACTCTACTGGGGTGGAAAGTAAGTTATTTTTCCTACTAAACAGAAAACAACTAGTAGTTCATGCTTTTTTGCTGTTAGGCAGTTATTTTACATATAACGTACCAAAATTAATTGGCTTAGAGAGAGGGTTTTTTGTTTTTTTTTTGTTTTTTTCTCACACTAAGGAAATAGCAATTAGCCTAAGATTTCATTTTAGCAAGGTAATCCCAAAGAAATTTAGTGCAAAGCATGTGGTCACTTGTTACTAAGTGATTAATGTAGATTTTTCAAATACCAATCTCATACTTAGAATCATTTCCAAAATAGAGTTCAAATTTGAGGAAAGAAAAATAGGCACAAAGCATCACAGAAGAAAAGTCACTCAAATCTGCCAAAACTCAGAGACTTCTACAGAATGCAAAGATAAAAATATCTTGTCTGGCTCCATGTCTAAGTCTCTGATCATTTCTGCAGAGGGCTCTGAAAGTGCTGATCAAAAGGACCATCTCACTGGAGAATAACATGGAGCTACCTGTATCACTCGCTGTCAGGCCAAATGAAAGAGAAATGCTCTCTGTTGTGGGATACAGAGAAGATTTCACAGGATGAATTGGCTTCTTATGGGCCTGCTGGCATTTGAACTGGTACTTACATTATTCAGCAGGACTTAGAAGGCTGGCCTTTTTGACAAACATGTAAGAAAACAGCAAGATATTCCATATACCAGAGCAATCATTGGTACTGTGCTTTTCCATCTTTGAGACAGAAATCGCAAAAAAATAATAATAATAATAATAATAATGCTGGAGTTTTAACAAAAAGCAAAAACAAACAAAACCTTATTTACCTTCCTATAATTGATAGGGAATTTTTTTTAATTAGAGGCAGAGGCCAATTCTTCTTTAGGAACCTTCTAATCAAAATGTCTATGTGTATATACACACTTGCAAACACATACTCTATTTTGTTGTTGGTTTTGAGCCTATTTATAATGATATGAAGACAGAAAGATGGAATTTAAATTTTTTATTCCTGTAGTAATCTGTACAAAAATAAAGCAACATCATGCCTATGAGAAATGTGGATTTTCATTGCCCGAGCTTTGATTCACAGTGCCATTGCTCAGTGCTTTCGAAATGCTACAAAACCTTTCAGGAAATGAGACAGTCTGCAAGAACCATTATATAGTAGAATATGTAGTAGAATACTACCTACGGTATTACTAATGTACTTATTAAGAATACCAAATAAGAATACATTCACAAAAGTGAATGGTAAATATTATATTTAAAAAGAAGCTGCCAAAGGTATTGATGTTGAAGAAACATGTTATGGATACTTTAAAATTCAAGTACCATATTTCATTCTAATTGGCCAGAGCTTGAGAATTGGGAAGGCAAAAGTCCTTATGATTAAGGGTCTGTCTTCTGGGGGTACGAATTTAAGGAACATTTGCTTCATCACATTTTAATTTAGTTTTAAAATTTATTTTGGAAGTCAAAAGGCACTTCCAAATTTGCTTCCTTTATCAGAAAAGCTAACAAAAAAGTTCAGCAGCCTGGCAATCTTACAATAAACTCACAAACCTATGTCAAGCCTTTTTATTTTCTCTAGATTGGTTAAGAACAAGGTGAAAAGGTCGTACAGTGTCTTGAGTTAAATATGGACAGAGTGTACGTGGCTGAGTTGCTGTTAACTGGAGCCTGGTGTTGAGCATGTTAGTGGCTTGGTGACAGTCGTGGATGATTCATCTACTGAGATCTCCAAAGAAAAGGGGTTCAGTGTGTTGCCCACCAGACTTCTCTCCTTAGCCTCCCTCCAGTGGTGTAGAATTTGATAAGAACAGGGTGCAAAATTAGCAATTCAGACCAGAGATTTAGAGAAGAAAAGAAAGCACACTCTCATTCAAAGTTATTTGCTTCTTTTTCTTGGCAGAGCTGAAACAGAAAGAGGGCTGTCAAGAAAGCATATTATTGAAGGTGGGTACTTCTGCTTCAATTTTATTTTTGGTTGTGGGCCCCTCATTCAAGAAAGGTATCAACCAAACAAATTCAGAACACACTGGAAGAGGAAAAAGTTCTATATGAAAAGTGCCACAATCAACCAAGTTTCTTCTTGGGGTTAAATATAGGGAATGCAGAGATGTAGAGGGGAGAATGGGAACTCAAAAGGAAAAGGCAAAATTGTATAGAACTCTTCTCATTTTCAGCTATTACTAATATTAATAAAACATTCTCATAAGACTTTTTAAAAGAGCTTTATTGAGATATAATGTACGTATCATGAAAGTTTACCCATTTAAAGTGTACATTTCATTTGTTCTGAGTATAATTACGGAGTTGTACACCAAACACCCTAATCTAATGTGAAAACATTTTTATCCCCCCTAAAATAAACTTTATACCCACTAGAAGACACTCCCTATCACCTCCTCACCCCCTCCCACAGTCCCAAGCAACCATAAATCTACTTTTTATCTCTATAGATTTGACAATTCTGGACATTTCATGTAAATGAGATCTCATGATATATGATATTTTGTAACTGATTTCTTTCACTTAGCATAATGTTCATTCATGTTGTAGCGCATGTCAGTATTTTATCCCTTTCTTTGCCAAGTAATAGTCCACTATATGGATAGCCACATTTTGTTTATCCATTTATCAGTTAAAGTGCGTTTGGCTTATTTTCACTTTTTGGCTACTCTGAATAATGCTGCTATGAACATTTGTGTGCAAATTTTTGTGTAGACATATGTTAAGACTACTATAGTTTTTAGTTTTTATTTTATTATTATTTAGATTTTTTCATATATATATTTTATTTCAATAGCTTTTGGGGTACGAGTAGTTTTTGGTTACATGATGAATTGTATAGTAGTGACCTCTAAGGCTTTAATGCACTCATCACTGAGTAGTATACTATACTGTTTTAGAAGGGAATATACATATGCATAAAAAATGTGTAGAAAATTACCACTAGGTAATTGATTCCTGGTGCATTACTTTTGCAAGGCACCCAAAACTTTGTATAATTTAGAAATAAACAGGAAATAAAACAGTCAACAAGAACCATTATGTAATAAAGTACTACTACTCTACTTAATCGTGAAGATTGTGAGAATTGTGAGTAATTTTTATTTCTTGCTTGTCTATATATTATCAAACTTTACACTTATACTTTTTGCAGTAAAGAAAAATGTTAAGAGTTTATACTAGTTCGTGAAGTACAGATGCTCCCAAATTTATGATGGGATTACATCTCAATAAACCCATCTTAAATTGAGAATATCTTAAGCTGAAAATGCGTTTAATACACCTAACCTACTAAACATCATAGCTTAGCCTAGCCTACCTTAAATATGCTTAAAACACTTACATTGCCCTACAGTTGGGTAAAACCATCTAACACAAAGCCTATTTTATAATAAAGGCTATTTTATAATAAATTAAATGTCACATGCATTAATAATTTATTGAATACTGTTCTGAAAGTGAAAAACAGAATGTTGTATGGAAACTCCATGTACAGTTTCTACTAAATGCATATCACTTTCACTACATCATAAAGTTGAAAAACCATAAGTCAAACCATTGTAAGTTGTGAACTATCTGTATTTCAAAAAAAATCCAAGAATTTTGTAACTTTGGATTCATGATTGATCATTGAAACAAGTGATTTTCTCCTTTTTAAAAAATATTTTCATTTAGGAAATACTAACATCACCAAAAATGTAAAATGTGCTCTAATCTCACCACTTCGAAAATCAAAATAGATAAGGAAGCCAGGTTCTCCATTTGCTCATCCAATCTCATCCCATCCTAGAGTCTGACAATCTGGTACACATCTTCTTCACCTTTTCTCTATGGTTGTACTGACTTATCTGTCTATCCATCCATCCAAACACTGGCTTATATTTTAAATATATATATAAACAGTAGAACCAGGCCACAAATATTAACCTAAGCCTTGATTTTTTTCTTAATTAAAATACACAACTTAACAGATTATTTTCAGTTTTTAGCATTTTAAAGAATTATACAAGTGACCATCCTTAGGTAAATGGGGTAGATTCCAGAGTGGCATTGCTAAGTCAAAGAATTATACAAATTTTAACACAAAATCACTTTCTAAAAGGAATATGCCATCCTGTTAGATGAGCTGGTCTTATTTATCTCCTTATTTATATATTTATTTATTAGTGAGTTTGAGCTTCTTTTAACAATTTTGTTCTTTTTCTGGAAATTCACTCTTCATGTTGTCAGGCTATTTTTCTTTTGATTTCTTTGTCTTGGTCATAATACTTTGCAGGAGCTCTTTGATACTAGTGATGTTCACTTTTTGCTTGGTCATATGTATTGCAAATATTTTCTCTCAGGCTGTCGTTTCATTGTGAACTTTTTTCTCTCCTTGAACCTAAGAGCTAATGTTTCATTTGAGTATTTTTATTCCAACTTGGAAGCTGAAGATCTTTATAGACCTATAAACAAGACTACGTTGAAATATCTTAGACTTGCAATAGAAAAAAAATAGTTTCAGTATTCAATCACTGAATTTAAAATGAAGACATTTGAAGCCAGATCTCAGAATGTATATATATGTATTCTTTCTTGATTGCCAGTGTGAACCATATGTGTGTGCATGCGTGTGTGTGTGTGTACATAGATATATGCCATAATAATTAAATCACCCCATTGTTTCCAAAGTCTTTGTATAGGTTTGGTATCTCTCACTGACTGTTTTTTTAATATAATTTTAAGCATATGGGCTTTCAAATCAGACCTTTGTTCAAGTTCCAACTCTGTGATTTATGAGCTGGTGACTTTGTGCAAGTTACTTAACCTACCTAGCCTCTGTCTCCTTAACTATAGACTATAAATATAAAGGTTACTATATGGGGATAAAAATTATATAATTCACATTGAGCACAGTGTCTGTCACATAATAAGCACTTAACGCATGTTATTTTTGTCATCATCATTGTCCTTATAAGTACAACTGCTAGTCTTCATTCCATGGATAAGGATACTCTTTACTAAGTAGTGACATTCTGAAACAGCTACAATAAGTGACAACCTTCTAGCCCTAAGAAAAGCATCCAAATTCCTCACCCAAACAGCATCCCTGCTCAGGCCTTAGTGTCCCATTTGACATTGTAAAGTCAAAGCTAAGCTGCCTCTCAAAGCTGTTACTGCCCTAGCATTCCTGCTCCAGCATTTGCCCTCATGACTTGTATTCTCTTCCATGGAGTTTGCCAGTGACAAATAACTCAAGTCAGCTTACAGAACCACGCTGAATGAACAGGGCAGCAGTATGTTTCCCGAAAAGTTCTTGTTTTTTGTTCTTTTCTTTTTAATCTAATTAATTAGAAAAGAGAGATTCGGAAAATGGTTCACACTGGCAGTTAGCAAAGAAATATAAAATCGAAGAGAAAAAGAATGGAGAAGGTCTGCTACTATGCTCCTCACTGCATCTCCATTGCTTTAATATTTACCAGAGTGTGTACATAATTTCAGGGTTCTCTCTTTCTTTCTTTCTTTCTTTTTTTTTTTTTTTTTTTTTTTTTGGAGACAGAGTCTTACTCTGCCACCCAGGCTGGAGTGCAGTGGCACGATCTCGGCTCACTGCAACCTCCGCCTCCAGGGTTCAAGCGATTCTCTTGCCTCAGCCTCCCAGGTAGCTGGGACTACAGTCATGTGCCACCGTGCCCAGCTAATTTTTTTGTATTTTTAGTAGAGGCAGGGTTTCTCCATGTTGGCCAGACTGGTCTCAAATTCCTGACCTCAAGTGATCTGCCTGCAAATAAGCATTTTTTCAAGCCTCATATGACATAATAGAAATATCTTAAATTCCCTCCACCTTTAAATAAGTCAGGAATTCTCTTAGGAACTAATCTCTGAGGATGGATAAACCAGTTCAGCTGAAATTCAAGCTGACCCAGATTCAAACTTTAACACAAAATTTCAAACTTTTGAGATGGAAGAAGAATTGAGATCATTTGTTATTATGTTGGTGGTGGTGGTGTTATTTTACAGTCCATAGTTTCTGCCAAAGATAAAGCCTTGTGATTACAAGAGAACTAGCTCAAAGTATTTTCTAGGCAGGCTGAAATTAGGGAATTGAGTGAGTTTTGCAGAAAAGCAAGGACATGAGATGAGACCCAAAATAAAGTTTAAAAAAGTTTACAAGTTATTATCCTTGGGTTTCATTGGTACTTGGTTCTGTGATGAAGGTGACCTCACTCGACATTGGAGATTTGTATACAAATTAAATTAGAGAAGTACCATTAGAGGATAAGACAGAAAGTTCAAATTGATACAGAGTTCAGGCCACTTCTGTGCTGGGTGACCTTAGCCACCTGAGTTAGTTTACAGAGTATACAATGAGCTTGATTTGTGCTTAATGTAGGTTTGAAAGAATTCATATTGAAAGGCCTTTTTAATGAGCCCAAAGTTCTTGACTTAGATCTGCTTAGGTGTAATGTTCTCCTTAGATTCACAAGGAAGAGGAAGAAATTTCACTAGCAGATTGATTACACTCATTTAGAATCACAAAGTCCCCTCAGGTTCTAAAATCCAATTTACTCATTCAGCCATTCCACAAACATTTTTTAAACCCCAATTTGAGCCAATCTTAGAATTTAGCAGAACAGATTCCTTTGGTACTGGCTGGGCATGGTGGCTTATGCCTGTAATCCCAACGATTTGGGAGGCTGAGGTGGGAGGATGGCTTGAGGCCAGGAGCTTGAGACCAGCCTGGTCATCATAGTGAGACCCTTGTCTCTACAGAAAAAGTTAATTAATTAAGTTAAAATAAAATACATTCCTTTAGTGCCTAATGTGAAGGAAAAGAAATAGTTTGGTAGGTCACCAAGTAAGAATAAGTAAATCGCTTGTATATTCCAACAGCCAAAAGCTGTGTCCGACTCTACATTTGCCTTTCAGGTAAACAATTTTGTTACACAATTCAAAACACAAACCCACTGCCATTGTTTTTGGAGTAGGAGAGGAAAATAATCTGAGAAAGCTCTGCTTGAAACTTTTTAATTAATAACAAATCTTAAACTCTATGAACTTTAAAAGAAAAAGACAATCTATGATTTTTCAATTAAAGAATACATTTCTGAACAAATGGATTTGCCACAGGATTTTTTTTCAGTGTACTACGTTCATGTAAACATACATCAGCCATCAAGGATAACCACGTTTTGTAACGGGAGGCACAGCCATATGCTGAATATGATTCCAGTACAACCCAGCCTTTATAAAAGAAGCAGGTGTCTCAAA
The DNA here is from genome assembly GCF_000001405.40 of Homo sapiens. NCBI lineage: Eukaryota > Metazoa > Chordata > Mammalia > Primates > Hominidae > Homo > Homo sapiens. The sequence continues at coordinate 156,470,994 of NC_000003.12, forward strand.
TTATGATGATAGGTCTGCTGAGAAAAAACTAGAAATTATATAAACAATGTATATTATTTAAGGCAACTTTTTTTGCAAGCTAGATAGAAAAGCAAGTGCGTGGTAGGTGTAAAAGGTGACAACACAGCATGCTTAAATAGAACCCTTGCAGAATCTCCAAACTACTGATTTCCTTGCTTCCACACAGTCAAACCTGCAACAGTGAACACCCCATCCACCTCTAACTGTGCCAATCTGCTGACTGTCTGGAATAAACATATTTCTTTAGAAACCTGTGAAATACACTTAAATTGAATTAAGGTTACCTTCTAAACAGTATGGTTCTTGTTAAACTTTGGAACCTAAAAGAAAAATGGACTTAGATTTTTTTTTTACTGTAGTCACTTGAAAACTATTTTCTTTGAGTAATTTATTTTCCTGTGGACTTTTGAGAAATTGCCAGTTTACTTCTAATTATCTCCTCAAGGTCAGGGAGCATTTCTCCTGCTTCTCCTGTTTTCCTCTTTCCACAGACGCTGGGTTAGTGCGGAGGCACAGGCTAAGGTCAAATAGCCTCCAGCAAGTACATTTGCTGCACTGGAGCACTTACCTCCTTAGGTTAAGATTGGCTGCCCAGCTGCCCTTCTGGAGCCAAGGTTAATGCATTTTTGCATGTCTACTTAAACTTAAAACAATACCTGGCCCTAAGCCAGCACTCAACAATCATTTGCTAAATGGAGATAGAACATGATGACTTGTTTTTTGAAACTAAACGTAAATGGCTCTTAAGGAGATACTCATGAAACATATCTTAATGTTGATTTCATTTATGTATTTCTACAAAATTAAAGCATCCAGAGAGGAAAAAGCAGGAATATCTGATTTGGTTTGCAGTCACATGAAAGACCAAAGCAGGAAGATCACCAAGCACCATTTTGTCCTTGGACAGATGAGGAAACTGAGGCTCAGAGAGGCTAAGGGATATCACAGGGTCATTCGGGACAGCCCAAATCAGTACCCTGAATCCCAAACCCTGTGCCTCGCCTCCTCTGAATGCCAGACTGGTCCATCCAGCTGCCAAGAGCTCCATGTAGTGACTGAGGTGCTACTTAGACTCAACTTGGCTCCCCGACCACCTCCGGTTGGCTTTCCCCCTGACTGCCCCATTTAGTAACAGTCGCTTCACTTCTCAGGCCAAAAATCTAGGAGTCATTCTTATTTACTCTAATCTCCACACCCTATGTCCAGCACACCAGCAAGTCCATGTATTACTACTTACACAACCTGTCCCAAATGTGTACACCTCTCACTAACTTTGTCTGAGCTGGATGAGCTGCGGTGGCTGTGCCTGCCTTCACTCTTGTGCCTTCAGGTCCCTCTCAGCAGGTGGAGCCATCAGTTCAAAATGGAAATCTGATCATATTATTTCCTCTGCTTAATCTCCTCCTCACTCGACCCTCCCCAACCAATGTCTTTAAATCTCACACAGAATCCAAAGTTCATACCATGGATTACAAGACTTTACGTGATTGAGATTTTTAAAGTGAGTGGATAGTGTCCTTTAGAGGGACAATTTCCTTTCACTCCACTTCAAAGTCAGAGGAGGGATCACTGGCCTCAGATACTTGAATTTCTTGCCAAATATCAAGAAAGTGCTTTTCAGAGAAAGAACTAAAGAGGTGGGAATGACCAAATACCATGAGGCTGACCTTAGGATCAAGTCCATATCATTAGTTCCAGGTACATATTACGACCTTGAACAAGGAACCTGTGCCAATAGCCGCTCTCAATATGCACTGTTAGTGCTCCTTGGGATGAAGACTGTGTCTGTGCATCTTTAAACCCCGAGAGCCTGGCACGGTCTCAGGATAAAATTGGAACTCAATACATGCTCATGGGATGGAATAATAAATGACAAAATCACACCTGTCTGTGACATGCCTGATCACACAGTGCTGTAACAGTGCCAAGTTATTTGTAGCCTCTTCTCCTAGTTACTCTCAGCCCACACTGAGCTGTTTAGAAGAGAACGGAGAGAGAGGGCCATTGTCAGAAAACAAGATACTTATTTCCTCTGCCAGGCATAGGCCAGAACTGTCATTAAATGCCCCTTTCCAAAACAGGGGGTCTAGTGAAAATTTTTGGCATTTGGTCTTCTGCTGTCTTCCCCCTGAAACTTTCCAGATGCGAACACCATGGTATAATTTCACATTCTGGTTCTGTAGACTATGTTACACAGCTCTCCCAGGAGCAGCAATTCTGAAGGTGTCAGTATTGTTAGGCCCACTGCAGACTAGAGAATTGAGTCTCAAAGAAAGGTCAGAGAACCCAAGTGGGGTCCCTAGCATGCTAGAGTGCAGATTTCCGACCTTTCAAACCTTGTGATACCCTGTTATTTGTTTACTTAGTATTCCTGTCCTTTCCTTACCTCCTCCCTGCATACAACTGTCCCCAAAAGTGGCTCATATCATGATACTTTTTCATGTTAATTTAATTTCACACTGTTTCTTGAGATAGCTGGTGATACCCTGTGCCTGAGCATCACAGAAGGTTTATAGGAGAAGGCATTAGACCTCATAACATCTGTCTGCCCTAATCTCTTCATCAAAGCTTTTAACAAGCTACCATCACAGACAATCCTTTCTCAATGGATGGAAAATATTTCCAGAACAATATTCAAGCACTCCATTTTCCTGTCAGAAAAGTAATTGTGGCTGGCTGATAAACCAGTATGAAAAATCAAATTTAAATGAACCAAATTTAAATTTATAAGAGCCTCATTTAACATGCAATTAATTTTATGCCTATAATAAAGAGACTAAAGCCTCTGGTCTCCCTGAGGAATTAAAGAGGCTGATAAGAGAATGCTAAATGCTGTGCCCCATGGAAATAGGGTAACATGATTCTCGAACACTGTCATCCTTTTGGTTGCATAATATTATATACAATACATTCTATTTCAGGGAAGCATTAATTTTACTAAAATTAATTTTTTTCTGAGTATTCATAGAAATGTGACCAAATGGTTAGGGCTGAAACATAGGCGGTTGGTTCCTGACTCCCTTTTTAAGTTCTTATTCTCTCCTTCATATTACGTCTTCAGTCTTTATAGCATTAGCGTCCAGTGTTTTTGTTTCTTCCCCCAAAACAGAGAATAATAGAAATGGTAGAGCTCAGCTATATTTTATGTTCCTTAAACTTTGTTCCAATTAGTAAAATGTTGAGCAAAGGCTTCATTTGCTAACCCCTTTATATTACTATTAAAACCAACATTTACATTAAGATGGGGTTGGGGCAGTCATTTATTTCTGATTTAAACCATTTTAATGAGTTTTATGTGTAATAAATGTACCTCTAGCTCACTATAAGCCTATTAAGTGATCCAAAATACATAAATATTAATTTGCATTGTTCAAGAAGAAAAACACTAACTGTTGGAAAGAAGCTGCTTTTTATTCTAAATTTTGCTTCTGGATATTGCCACATACAAGTCACTGTGAAGGTCATTCCTAAGTGTATATTTTCCTGTGAGAGTGATAATATTCCTGAAAAAGCTCTAAGACTTTTTTTATTGGGGGAAGTCAGCCTTTCATATATTTTTAAAACGTTCTAGAGTCAATTAACAATCATTGTATTCAACGCATTTTTGAAACTATTCCAATTCTATTTTTTTAAAGCAAATTCTTGAAAGAAACCAAACTTCAACTCTGAATAGTGCTCATATTTAGATTTTGGGGTTTGTTTCCTGCTTCTGCTCCCAGGATTGAAGGGCTCCCTCCAGAGGCTGCAGCTCGAGTATGTGGATGTGGTCTTTGCAAATCGACCGGACAGTAACACTCCCATGGAAGGTAAGTTAAGAAAGCTAATAAAATACTCTAGAAATCTTGATTCAGTTTGAGGGCTTATTCTGCTCACAGCAGGAAATGAATTGTATTCAGACTGATCAAACTGAATGTGAAAAATAAAAATGTTTCTGACTGATGCCTTTTGGCCTCAGCGTTTAACCCCAAAACCAATGCTCTGCGTGCTGCGTCTTCTTCTTTTAAAGCAGTTGAAGGCATTGGGCTCGTGGCTCCCGCTGGTTACAGTGCTCACCTTTTCCAGGTTCATTTCACTTTTGTGATTTCATCAACTAAAACAATAAAGTTAATTGGAAAGGGGCTTTATAACTCAGCCATCATCGCGTCACAGTAAATCCTTTGAGGGTCTTCCTATTTTATAATGGCTCTAAGTCTGATTAGTTTCCAGTCTGTGGTAGCAATGCTCAGTGGTGCCACCAGCAGGGATTCCACAGCAGTGACTGCTTCAAAATAAGATATCATTGCAGTTTGATTGTTGAGTCTCAAGGAGCTGCAACATTTTATCCCCCTTCTGTTATAACTGTTTGAGGACCACAGTTTAAGCTTCTCCCTGTGGAAGCTTTCAGAATGTTTCTAAAACCAGATTTTCTTCGATTTACATTTATTTACAGAACTTGCTAGGATGTTTGAGACAGAAGATAGTTTGAGAGGCTGAGGATGAATTAAAAAGAATGTTCCAGTTAACTGAAGTTTAAAATCATATGGATTATCACTTACCTGAGGTGATTGAGAATGAAGATATTTGAGAAAAAGAGCAAAAATGAATATTCTGGTTATTTGAACAGTATGATGTGGATTACCACTTTTAAAATAATTAGAATAGTTTGATTCACATGAGATTACATTGAAGGTAACTTTGTCCTTGATGATTCAAAAGGCAGGATCTTGTAATAAATCAGGCTCTGTAAAGAGTGGTTCTTGTTATAGGGTTATAGAAGGGTTATAGTAATGGAAAAGTATAAATGATTGACATATTATAAATTTTTCTGGGTTGTATTTCTGACCATAAAAAAGTTATGGAAATTATTTTCCTTGCCATTTGTCTCATTCTCAACTACAGAGAAATGTAAAATATATATAGTCTTATAACTAACTTTCTCCTACAGTTTTCTTCTTTCTTGAATCCGGGTAAAATTAGGAGTTTATTATAAAGCAGTATCAGCGTGGGAAATTTTCCATGGAAATGACATAAAACTGCATATTTTTTGTCAAAGCAAAGATTAGGTGTTTGAGAAAGCAAATCATAAGCATTTTATTAGTATAAGAAGTATTTATTGCAAGGATAATATGACGTTATTCAACTCTTTTTTTTATTTTTTATCTTATTTTTCCATAAGTTATTGGGGTACAGGTGGTAGTTGGTTACATGAGTAAGTGCTTTAGCGGTGATTTGTAAGATTTTGGTGCACTTATCACTAGAGCAGAATACACTGCACCATATTTGTAGTCTTATCCCTCACTCCTCTCCCACTCTTCCCCCCAAGTCCCCAAAGTCCACTGTAGCATGCTTATGTCTTTGTGTCCTCATAGCTTAGTTCTCACATATCGGTGAGAACACACAACGTTTGGTTTCCCATTCCTGGGTTACTTCACTTAGAATAATAGTCTCCAGTCTCATCCAGGTCACTGCAAATGCTGTTAATTCATTCCTTTTTATGGCTGAGTAGTATTCCATCATATATATATATATACACACACACACACACACACACACGCACACACACACACATATACACACACACACACATATATACACACACACATATATATATATCTCACAGTTTCTTTATCCACTCGTTGATTGATGGGCATTTGGGTTGGTTCCATGATTTTGCAATTGTGAATTGTGCTGCTGTAAACACGCGTGTTCTTTAAGGAATATTCACACTGTTTTCCATAGTGGCTGTACTAGTTTACGTTCCCACCAGCAGTGTAGAAATGTTCCAGTCAATTCTTAATGACACATTAAAACAGAGCACTAAAGTTATTTAGTCTGCAATAGTGTCAAGTAAAATGCCATTTAGTGGGGTCTATGAAAGACTGGAATTGCTTCACATTTTAAGTGCCTAGTGACTATTTTCCTCTTTTAGACAGTGTTCTTTGCAGTTATACCATGTACAGGATAGCAGAACATCTGAGATTTTTAAGAATTTTGTTCCCATCTTACCCCTACCTTTAATTTTAGGAATATATTGTAGGAGTCTCTCAAACAGAAAACATAATTTGCATTATATTTATAGAAGAAGGAGGAAATCCTCAATTAGGAGCCAAACTATGTGATACCAACAAGATAATGATGTCTCTTGTATCAATATTTATTACATGTTGAAATTTATTTTAAAAATCTTCAAAGTGTTTTAAAAAATAATTGCTGCTGCCCAGTGGAGTTCGTAACTGCAGCATTATTTAGCCTTTATGGGAATCAGAGAAAATTTACATTTTTCCTGAGTAGTTTCTTATATACAATTCCACAAAGCGGAATGGGAAGCTATTTTATCCTGAGTCATTTTCCAAGCTCAGAAGCATAATGAAGGGTGTCAAACAATGGAGATTCGCCACTTGTTGATAAGGTCAAGGCACATGGCATTTTGTAGCACAGCAGCAATCAACCACCTCATGCTGGAATGTTGCCTGCTCCCCCTCACTAGGAAGGGGAGACTCACCCCAGCAGGCCAATCAACCTCTGAGGCTTATTCTTCTGGGAGGACCCTGCAGGGACATTCCACAGGCAGCTCCTCATGCAGGACTTGTTCCAGATTGAAATAGCTTCCATGTGAGCTTTTCCTAGCTTTCAGAAAATGTTTATCCTCAAACTTAGTACACTCATTTGTTCCAAGGTGGGCCCACTGGAACAACCAGAGTTTGATATAAGTCTCTGGAAACACATCTATACATATAGTCTTTTCTACTTTACTGTACCGGGGGAAGGTACTGATCTGGGAAATAAAGAAGAAATAGGAAATAAAGAGACAGGACTGTCCGGTGGACTTGGGTACATTTGGCACCCTAAAAATGGGGGGAAAACAAGGTGCCTGTGTTAGTTCTGGATTCCATGTTGTTGAGAGTCACCTTTGCAACAATTTTGTAACTCATACAGTGTGTGTATGGGAATAAAGTTGTACATGTACAATGGGGGTATACCTTAGGAAGACTATCAGTGTTTCTAAAAACATTACAGAAGGCAAATGTTATTTATAATCAAATTACCCTTGAAAACACTACAGTAACTCTGTTAGTTAATGATATTCTATTGGCGTTAATTAATTATTCAATTTATTTTTCAAATGTGGTGAAAAAATCATCACCAGATAGTTGTCCAACCTTTTTTTTTCGGTAGTGGCAGAAAAATCCTTAATATCAAATGATACTACTTTTTTTCTTGTTTCAGCAACTCACGTTGGCTATTTTAGGTTCACTTGCATCCATTTCTGTTTAAGTGACACAACAGTGGTTGCCAAGTATATATTGTTGAGTATTTATATATTAAATCTACATTTATTAATACTATGGACCCTTAGCATTTGTAAATCATTTTTATTGATTTCAACTATTATTTGCCAACCCCATGGAGTCACAACCCACGCTGACATAATTCTGCTGAGGCACCTCTTTTAAACACAGGGGACGTAGCACTTTCAAATGAGTTCAGCCCAACCCAGTGCTTGCTCTTATTTGTCACTGATTACCAGGTAGCGCGGAGTACAAGAACTTGGGGACACTGAGAGTCTCCAGTCATAAACTATGCAAATGTCAAGGGTCATGTGTGTGCCCACAATGAGCATCGCTAAGATACATTTTAAACAACTTCCATTTAAATATTATTAAAATGCCAATTGTATTCATGTGGTTTCTACCATGAAATGATGTTAATCGGGAACATTTTAAAAATAAACCAAGACGAGCTTCATCCAGTTTCTACATATCATACAGCAACCATTTGAGCCAGAAAAAGATTAACTGCAGCATCTTTATAACATATTGGCATCATATATCTAATTAGTTTTTTCCTTCCCTTATTTCTTAGAAAATCAATAGACAAAAAGCGAGTCCTCTCAAAAGAATGGCTGTAAATTCCAAAGGTGCAATCAGTGGAGAAAGGGGTGAGAAACTTCATTCGCAATCTGCAACCCCATGGAATACAGTTAGACATTTTCAGGCTATGGGAAGATGTTCCTGACAATGGAGGGGAGCTTGTGTACTTTTTCCTCTGTCCCTCTTGTTTATTTTTTCTGGTTCACCTAGTAGTAAGTCATTTTTCTTTCACAGCATCTGCCATGCCATCTGTCTCTGCTACAATATCTGGCAACGATGGCATGTTTTCCAGTCCTAGAAAAAAATCAGCCCCACATCCCATTTCCTCCTTCTTATGGGTCTGTGTTCCTCCCAGTAGAGTCACTGACAGTTCTTTATGCTCTATGAAGCTCATATCCCTAATTCTGTCACTTCCACAAATCCCTAACCTGTATTTCAAAATCTTCTCTCGAGCTCATTAGACAAGAAAAAGTTCAGGCAATAGAGTCAGTCTGGACATGGATGGACACAGAGCATTTGTGTGTCCAAGGAGCCATATGAGGAGTTTTTTGGGTTTTTTTGTTTGTTTCTTTTGACTTTCTGTCATTCCCAAACACCAGGCTAATATCTCTACCTATACTCTTCTCACTGCTCCAGGAAGAACAGATTGAGCCTAACTGTGGTCATGAAAGGAAGGTATAAGCCTGTACCACTTGTAGACAACAGCAAGAAGAGGGGACACACTAACTTTTCGATCTGAAAATATGATTTTTAAATTAAATTAAATTTTAGTTAGTTTTTTATTTTAAAAACACTTGGATTTGAGTCCTTACTTTTCATATAGAGCTTGTTGCCAAGACTGATTATTCTTACAGAATTCCTGAGTCATTAAATATTATTTCCATGCTGATAACGGTTCCAGTTATTAATTTTTTCCTGCCAGCAGATCAGCACAGACATAAAGCAGCCCAGATGTCTCAATTTCAAATAAGAGAAGCAAGACCAAAGTTAGCTTCACTTATTCCCATAGTATCATCTTGTCAAATAACCCATTCCATAAGTATTTACTTCTTTCTAAGCCATCTTTTTTAGTGTTGTCATGTGAAAGCAGGCATCTATGGATATTCAGGGATTCAGGATATCCAATGACAACTTAGAAAATGCCAGAAAGCAAAAAACATTGCAGTATCCCAAATTTTCTACATTTTGACAGTTCCAAAATACTGGACCTAGATATTTAACTTCCAAAGTAAAAAGTTTTCAAAACCAAAATTAACCACCTAAAACCTAGAAACATCATTTAACCACAGTAGATCAGGCCTTCTGCCTCTATCTTTTATTATCTTCCCTGAAAGTTACCTTCAAGCCATTCGAAAAAACATGATATAGAAGGAAGAAATCTTCTGCAAATATTATCAGGGAGCTGTCCAATAGAAATATAATGCAAGCCACATATATATAATTTAAATTTTCTATTAGCTACATCATTAAAAAAGTAAAAAGAGAGAGGAACAACACATATCGGGGCCCGTTGTGGGGTGGGGGGCAAGGGGAGAGAGAGCATTAGGATAAATACCTAATTCATGCAGGGTATAAAGCCTAGATGACGGGTTGATGGGTGCAGCCAACCACCATGGCACATGTATACCTATGTAACAAACTTGCACGTCCTGCACATGTATTTCTGAACTTAAAGTAAAAAAAAAAAAGTAAAAAGAAACAGGTGAGGTTAGTTATTATATTTTATTTAATGTGATATATCAAAACTTACCACTTCAGCATGATCCATTAGTATCCAAAAGTTACTAATGGCATATATTACATTCTTTTTTTTCCCTACTAAGTCTTTGAAATCAGTTGTGTACACCCTAATTTGGAGCAACACATTTCAGCTGCTCAGTAGACAATTTTAATTAGGATCAGCCACATTTCAAGTGCTCAATAGCCACATGTGGCTAGTAGCTACTGTACTTGACCACGCAGGCTTATAAACCATATTCCCAGTCTGACAGAGCCGCAGACACATAGTAGGTGCTCAATAAATATTTATTGACTAGCTGGATGAATGACTGAGCAAGTGTTTGAGTGATTGAATGAATAAAGCTCCAAAGTTAAATAGCTCCAACTTCATTTTCCTCTACTTGAAAACCCATCTTGGTTTCCTAACCTCTATAAACATTCTAGTACCTGGTTCAACATATTTCAAGGAGATGTTGACAGGTTGCTGCCAAACAGCCCCAGGACACTTACATGCTGTTTCTCATCTACAATCACAGTAGCATCCAGATGCACTGCATCTCTCTTTAGAAATCTGATTGATATCTAAATGAGCAGAAATGAATAAAGGGACAATTTGGCAATACAGCTGCCCCCTGAGTATTACTGTATCAATTAAGATTATTTAATGCATTTCATTTATTACCCTGGCCAGGACGTTCCCAAGGCCTCTGGTGTACATCAGATCAATTTAACCCCCTGGTTTGAAAGCCCGGGACAGTTGAGTTTTCAAGAAATTAATTTGGAGAAAATGATTTTCATATCCAAGAAGATGAGCCAAACCCAGCCAAGCTTGTTGCAAAAAAAAAAAAAAAAAAGTGTTTCAATTTTAAAAAGCAGTTTTGTTTCCATTTTAACTGCAAATTCACCAAAAATTTTCCTGATACTTTAGGCCTATTTAGCTGATGTTTTGTCCTGTACAGACCAAAAAAATTGTGTCATAAAAAGACAAATTTATTTCATCCGTCCTAAGAAATGACAATGGGGGACAGTAGGGTTCACTTCAGGTTCTTTCCATCTCAAGTTCGTCTGTTTAGAAAATCTCATGTTTCTGTTCATAGTGGACCTCCTCATTGGAACAATATTTCTGCAGAGTGGACTAGGGCATTAGACAGACACAACTTCAAATTCTGGCTTTGCTACCTATCAGACTGTACACTTGGGAAAAGCTACTATCCTCACAGAGGCTCACTTTCCTCACCTGAAAACAGAGGAAACATAAAGCACCATCTGAATGAGTTAACAATGTGGTTACAGCACCTCACTCACAGCTGGGGCAAACAAACGTAAGCTCCATTTCTAGAATGCCCTAGGTAAGGCATGTAAAACTCTCCTTTCTCTGGATCTCTTCTCAGAGGTAATCATGGGAGAAGTCCAAGGCCCTGAAATTATAATATGATGAAAATCTAATGGAGATAGCCAAGCTGCAGGGCTGCACAGGATCTGTGATGAAGTCATGTAAGATTCAAGCCATGGAGTTGGCAGTGTAATTTTCTTATAGCCCTTTTTTTCCTCCTAAAATTTTGCTCTGAAACTCTTTATGCCCTTTAAGCTGATTTAATCATAAATTTTCCAGGGTTAATCTATTCAGCCTGAAAGGTGATCTTGTGCCTGTGACTTTATTTTCAAAGATGTCTCTAGAAAAAAAAAACAACTCAATAATAGGATTAACTCATTCATTCAGTTGATATTCACTGAATACTTACTATTTAAGCACTGTTTTGGGCACTTGGAGAAGCAGAAGTTAATAAACAAAAATCCTATCCTTAGAAAAATCACATTCTTGTTGGGGAGACAGACAAAAAGTTAGTAAGAAAGTTACATTAGATGGTGATAATAGAATGGAGAAACAAACTAATCATGGGAGGGGGCTAGGAAGTTATGGGGGTAGATTTTAGTTAGGATGACCTAATAGGAGGAAATGGTGGGCAGTGGGGAGGGGGTTTGGAAAATAGCTTGGACTCCTCCAAAATAGCAAAGGTATGGCATTAAGAGTCAGACCTCAATTCAAATCCTCTTTCTGTTACGAGCCAATTGATCTTAGGCAAGTTATTGAACTTCTCTTGTCCCTGGTTTTCTTATCTGTAGAACGTAGGTAATAATATCTGCTCTATAGGGTTATTGTGAGGATTATTTGAGATAATATACACAAAATGCTTAGGATGTTGCCTAGTAACTACTCGAAATTTAGAGCTACCATTTTTGTTATTATTACTGTTTGTATAGTACTGCTGTAATTTTTTTATGCAGGAAATTACCTTGATGCAATTGTAGTCTCCAGGTCTACTACCAGGTTATCCTAGAGGTCTCAAAGAAGAAGGCTAACACAACAAATTAAGATGCATGAGTCACATGGTTTATCAAATCAATTAAAACACATTATGAGAAGAAAGAGGGGAAGAGATAGGGACAGTTAAAATAATTACACTAGAATTCACGCAGGAGAAAGAACCCAGCTACTTAAATCTTGGGACACACAGTGCTCATGTGACCTGTTCTCTCTATCTACCACATTGACCTTCTCCGTGGTGTGATTATATAGGTCAAATCTGAGGTTTCAGCAAGGGGCTCAGCAAGGAAAAGATGCCCGGGTCAGTAGTATACTTGGAAAGACACAGGGACAAGCCCACCTGGCCATGACCTGTAGCTCATCATTTGGCCTGATGAACAGCTAAGGACTATTTGCATTCCTTGCACAGAGGATTTCTGTGGCTAGAATGGGGGTCACCAATGGGTGGCTGACTGAAGACTTAAGTTCTCATATTTTATGTATTTATATTTAGTATATTTCAAATGTTTGATGTCGTATGCATATGGATATGTTGTCAATATCACCTCTTTCCATTCCTCCCTCCTATCTGTGTTCAGCATGCACATTCTCTACTTTGTTGATGGCCACTATGACTCAGGGGTTACTAATCCACTTAGTTTTACCATGCTCATCATATAAATTCTGCCTATGTCTCACAAGCTACTTGCATCTCCACCCAGTTTCATTTATCCTCTTTCTTTGTTTCACTTTCTTTCTTGAGCAGAACTGAATAATCTTAAGTCATACAGCAAAGGCACATTACAGAGTTCACCACTCTCAGTTGTTGACATGTTGCCTCAGGTCCGGCAAATCTTCCAGGCCTGTTGAAAAATTTCCAGCATTAACAAGAGGCCCACAAAGTTCTGACTGTGGATCATTCTGATATGCATCTATAAGAACAGAGCCCCTGGTTAACAAATGATCTTTTCCAACTGGGTTCCATAGAAAGAACAAGAGCTTTAGAGAAATTACCTTTACTAGAACTACTGAGAAGTTAACAATTGCCAAGGCTGCAGAAAATATGTGAAGAGCTGGCTTTAAAGAAAACTATACTCCAGAAAAACAATTGTACTCATCTGGTGTTGTATTTTCCGCTTTCTTTGGAAATCAGTGATTCCCAACCTTATTCCATAAAGTCCTGGTTTGAAGGGAAGATTCTAAAGAAGGATATGCTTATATGCTATGCAGTTTACTTCCTCTATTTTCTCTCCTCCCTCCCCCACCTTTTTTTTCTTTCATGACATCTTTACTCAACAGCGAAGGCAGAAGAGATTCAATCTGTATCATTCAGTAAGTTAAAAAAGGAAAAACAAGGTGGGCCAAATGTTTGGGAGACTATTGTACCTTCTCACAACAAGTCTGTGGACTTCACCAAGCTCCAAAAGGATGCTTTTTTCTTCTTCTTCTTTTTCCCTTAAGTTGTTTTTAGTTAAGAAAAAAGAGAGAGAGAGAGGGAGAACAGAGAGTGCTTCTGCTCACCCCAGCTGTCAGGTGAAAAACAGAGCTGCTTAGTATTCTGGGGCTGTGGGTTTATGACTCATGTGCACTTCCTTCTGTGAGTTGTCATTTCTCTGAGAGATATTTGGAGTTGTGACAAAATTTAACTCCATATTCTGAGGGGATGTTGACTGGATCTCAGGAGAATTCATTTCTGTAAGTTCCTCGATCTGCTGCAGCAGATCTGCAGTGACATGCAGAGGACTTGGAGACTAACATGACTTAGCAGCAACACACTCTGAGGGTTTACTGGCATGCTGATTGAATGCAGTGAGCAGAGCCACCTGTGTCAGGGTAATCGAAAATTCTCAGACAGCCGGGGATAAACAAATACCCTCGAGTCTCTCTCTTACTTTCTGTACAAAAGGAAGTATTAATAATGAGAGTAAGTGGTTTTGTTAACCCCCCTCCTGAATATTTAATATGTGTCCTAAAAAAATATGAGGTCTGCAATCAGAAGGTGAGGGCGTTAGTCTTAGGTATATAAACTTGGCTGAGTTGCTCAGACCTTCAGCTTCTCAGTTTTTCATTTGTAAAATGGGAAGAATAAAAATATTCTAGCTATTTCCAAGATTGTTGTGAAGACAAAATGAGATAAGTGGAAACATGTTATAAATTGTAATTGTCCTGCACAAATATTTTGAGGTTGTTGTTGTTACATATGTTTACACTTTTAGGAATATATAAACCTTGGAAGATGTAATAATCAAAGTTTCAGCCAGACACCAAGAAACAATTGAAATGACATTTTAGAGTGAGATGCCAGTTCTCCATTTGTACTTTCAAATGAAGTGTGCAAGAGCTTGTTCCATAGCTCTTTCTTCCCCCAACTTTTTATTTTGAGAAATTAAAAACTTATAGAAATGGTGAAAGAATAAACACCCAATACTCTTCACCTACATTTACCAAATTGTGCCACATTTTGCCTTTGTTTTTCCCTCTCTTGTTCTTTGCCATTGTGACATTTCATTCATAAATATTTTCTCCAGTATCTCCTGAGAATAAGGCATTCTTCTATATGACCATAACACAATCATCATACTCAAGAATATTCAAGCCATATTCAAATTTTCTAAAATGTCCTTTATAGGATTTATTTGTTTTGCTTTTTTGGGGGGGGCATGAATCCTGCAGTACATTTAATTGTCATGACTGTTAAATTTTTTTATTTTATTCTATTTTAGATTCGGGGGTACATGTGCAGGTTTGTTACATGGGTATATTACATAATGCTGAGCTTTGGGCTTCTAGTGAACTGATCACCCAAATAGTGAACATTGTACCCAATAGGGAGTTTCTTAAGACTCACCACCCTGCCACCCTCCCCTCTTTTGGAGTCCCCATTGTCTAGTATTTCCATCTTCATGTCCTTGTGTAGCCCTTGTTTAGTTCCCCCTTACAAGTGAGAACATGACGTATTTGATTTTCTGATTCTATTTCACTTAGAATAATAGCCTCCAGCTCCGCCCATGTTGCTGCAAAGGACATGATTTCATTCTTTTTTCTGTCTGCATACTATTCCATAGTATTTTCCACACTGTTTTCCGAGGGCCCAGGAGGGTTGCTGCATCCCATTGCTGGTCCTGTTCAGGTTGATCACTCGATTCAAGTGATGTCTGCCAGGTTTCTCCCCTGTGACAGTACCTCTTTAACTTTATAACTAATAAATAACCTAGAATGTGATTATTTGAGACTATGTGAATAGCCTGTCCCCCACAACCTTGTTTTAGCACCCACCAAGGATCCCTGCCTGTGTCCGCTTTTATAAGGAGGGCTGTGAGACGGTGCTTTCCTGATTCCATCAGCTCCTCTTTCTTTAGGAGTTGGTTTTCTTCTACAAAGAGAAGCTTTCCCTTCTGCTCTTACCCTACTCTCTGTTCAGTGACTCTGGAGCTCCTCACTGGCTTCAAAAGTATAAAAGTTGAGAGAGGGGAGTAAAGGGGGTCTAGTGAGAAGGGCACGTATGAAGAAAACTGTGCTGTGAGCTCCATCCACCCCAGCATGGGAGAAGGCTGCCTCTTCATTGCCACCCTGGTTGGGATGGGGGTTTGAAGGCCATTCAGATGGTTTAAAACATTACCCCCATGACTGGGGAGCATAGTGGCCTAGGAGCTGATGCATGCCTGGAAAATCCAGGGGTAAAGAGGTGGGCTGACTATCTGTCTTGGTGGCACCACTGGGGGAGTGCTGACCTCCTGGGACTGGTAGGGAAGGTAGTTACAAATGTCTCCTGTGTGGGGTCTTCTTGAGTCCTGCCCTTCAGGGCCTCCTGGAGGATGAAGGCTGGAGGACAGGGATTTGAGGGAGAAAATAGAGAAACAGAGAAACCAAACATACCTGACACTCTTGTAGTCTTCTAGCCTAAACAGGTCCCAGCTTGGGCAGAGGAAAAGAGTTTGAGTTTGAAGTTTGATTGAGATTGTTGGAGGATGTGCTTATGACTTAAAATGACTTTAGGTCTCTGTATTACCATAGAATGAGCAGAAAAGATGTGGGACCAGTCTGAGTTTTCATCAAGGCCAAAGGATACTTGCTCTACTGAATGTTAAGGACCAGTAGGAGATTTAAAAAAATTAAGCTGAAGGATTACATTATCATTAGTTATGCTTGTTACACGTTTAAATACCTAAGTTTAAATCTGACTTAAATTACATGCACATGCCAAAAAAATTTAACTCTTAGTTTCAGAAACAAATTTGTTTACTTTATATGAAAATACCATTAAGTCCAATATAACTGGAAGTTTAGGAAAACCTTATGTGCTTAAGATTCGAGTCTCCATAAATTACAGAATAAAGCACTTGGCCCCCTGTATAAAATTCATACATTATACAAAGACATCCCTCATACTCCAGCACTACTTCACCCCACATACCCTCCTTGGGAATCTGAAAACTTTTGAGGTGTCACTTCAACTTTGGGAAGTAATTATTTGTTAATGTTCAAATAGTGGAAAATATTATATGCCACAAAAGCCTCAACCTCTGCAGTTTGGAATTTACCCATCATTTCTAAATGTATCCCCATGTTAAGTTTTATGTATTTGTTTTAAATTCAAAAGGGAAAGCGTGTGTTGTGTCTAGCTCCAGTGAAGCCAATCATACAAAATTGCTGATAATTAAATAAGATACTTTTAGACTTAAAATTTTGACAATCCAAATATAGTCAGCTCAGAATTTGCTTATTCAAGAAAACCATTTTGTTTGTTTTTAAGGGCCAGTGGATGGAACAGTTTGTACAGGGAAGCAGTAGGAAGGGAAAGAAAGCTTAGTGTTAACCAATATTCTTCTGTATTAAGGGCAAAAAGGAAAGCATTGTATCATCGCCTTTGAAACTAGAAGCAAGTTTGGTAATTAAACAAACCCAATAACCACTTTAAAATGAATGTTTTTATCTAATGAGATAGGAGATAAACCCATCTGACAAGAGAATTCACATAAAACTTAACAAAAAGCCAAAAAAGGGAGATAAAAAAAAAATAAAAAATGGGTAAGAGGAAAGAATGAAATTTTGTTTCTCTCATCCCTACTCTCTTCCTGAGCAGAGATCAAATGTTGCAAGACCCTGTCTCAAAAACCCTACGTAATGCATTTTAAATGTCACCATATAGTACTCAGATGACCCACAGAAGAACATGACATAGTATAAACACTCAGGTGCAAAACCTGGCCTTGTGCATTTATTCATATCCAACTAATATTTATTGAGTGTCTACTGTATACCACAGCATACATAGGATTTATTAGAGAACAACATAGACAAAGATCCCAGCCCCTGTTGGGCACATTCTTTCTGGCAGGAGAGATAAGAAACAATAATATAACAAAAAGTTAAATTGTATAGAATATTAGATGTTGATGGGTGCTATAAAAAAAAAAAAAAGAAAAACTAAAGCAGGGAAATTAGAATGGGAATGCTTAGGAAGTTGGAGTTGGCCATTGAGAAGGTAGGGTTTGAGCAAGGACTTGAAGAAGTCAGGTGAATAGCCATAAGAGAGATAAGGAGACTACTTCTGGCTGTAGAAACAGTGCAAAGGCCCTGAGATGGGAGCCTTCTGTCATGTTTGAGGAACGTCAAGGACATAGATGTGGCTGCAGCAGAGTAAGGAAGGGGGAAGGTAGAAGGAGACGAGTTTAGAGAAATAAGTGAGGCCAGATCTTTGGGCTCTCTGAATTTTTGACAAAAAAGTGACGTGACTTGACTTACATTTCAAAAGGATACCTCCTCCTTGGATTGAGAATACGTTATAGGGGCAGCCTTCTCAATAGCCAACTCCAGAGTCCTAAGCATTCCCTCCTTGGATTGAGAATACATTATAGGGGCAAATGTAGGAGCAGGGAGATATGTTAAAAAATGGTTATAGCAATCTAGATGAGAGAATAGGGTGCAGATGAGGGCACTAGCCGTGGACTGTAATGTGGTTCAGTTTGGATAAATAATGAAGTTAGAGGCAACGGAAGTTCCTGGTGAATTAGATATGAGCGTGACTGAAAGAAAAGAGTGAAGAATGACTCCAAGGTTTTAGGCCTGAGTCACCAAAAGGATGGAGTTGCCATCAGTTGATATGGGATTCATAGCTGATATGGAACCAGCTGTGGGGAAGCTCAGGGGTTTGAGTTTAGTCATCTTGAGTTTGAAATGTTTATTAGGTGGCCAAGTGAAGATGCTGAGTAGGGAGTTAGACACCAAAGCTGAAACTCCATCTTGGGATGAAGGCATAAATTTGGGAGCTGTCTGCATGCGAATGGTATTTCAACCCTTGAGAATTGATGAAATCACACAAGTAGTAAAAGCAGAAAAAAAAGAAGATATAGAAAGAAAGGACTGAGGACTGAGCTCTGGGACTCTCCAGTGTTAGGAGGTTGAGAGGATGGGGAGAAGCGTGTAATGTTCAAGAAAGAAATAAAGAAATCACATCAAAGAGGAAGAAGGGATCAACTATATCAAATGTTACCGATAGGTCAAGTAAGATGAAGACGGGATCAGCTATATCAAATGTTACTGATAGGTCAAGTAAGATGAAGACTGAACATTGTCTATTGGTGTTAACAATGTGGAAATCTTTAACAACATTGACAAGAGAGTTCTGGTGAAGTAAGAAGGGAGTGGGTGAGTAAAAGCCACTTAGCCTCTGACTCACAGTTTCCTAATTTGGAAAAAAGTAAGGAAACATCTGGAATTAGCAGGACAAAGTAAAAATGCTTCTACCCTTTCCTTTTAAAAAATAAAAAGCTACCCAATACACAACACAGAGACAAAGAAACAGAAATAGAAACTTCATTTCTCATGAAAGTGTCAGTGAACTGAAAACCTAGACCAATATGTATGAAAATGGAAAAGGGATGAGGATTATAAATGACTTAGCAGAACTGAGGAAAGATTTTTTTTAAGTGCCTGCAGATGAGTAACAACTTAACATGTACCACACAACCTCAGGATGGTTCATCTATTAGAGAATCCAATGTCACGGAAGATGGGGGTGAGGCAGGGACCAGGAACAAGGTAGTTCTTTAAAAGAGGATACAGAGCTACTAAAGCTCATGTCCCCAGGTCTGCAGTCAGTGTCCTGCCTTTCTCCTCCAATGAAGGAAGAGGAGTTTTATTAACTGGAGACATTGAGTTGACAGGCTCTAAGCTGAGAGATATCAGGCACAGAGCAAGGTGGAGCCAGGCTGCAAATAAAAAGACTATGAGACTTGAGACCCCAGACCCCTTCTCTCACCCATGTCCAGGTCACCAGCAGCCAGGTCACACCCTCCCCATGCAGAAGACAGAGTATCTCCTAGGAGACAATTAACTGTCCCAGGAAAAATTCTAACAGATATTGACATTGTTGTGGAAGAAAACCCTATTGAAAATTACAGCATGAATGGCACTAGTGGACAAACACCGTTCAAGCACAATTTTAGTGCTTTATTCTTAAATGTGAACTGAAACCCAAGGATCATCTGACATTCAAAGAAAGTCTCTAACAGGAAAAGAAGCTCAAATAAATAGAAAAAAGAAAACAGAGTAATGCAGAGAGATACAGAAATGTTCAAAGAAACTATAATATACTTGGTGATATAAGAGAAGGTACTACATCAATAGAACAGAAACGAGATGGAAAAGAGCAAGAACAACATAGAACTAGAAAAAGATTTTACATATTTAAAATACAATGGCTAATTTTTTAAAGTCAATTAGAATGCTGGACATTAAAGTTGAGAAAATATTCCAGAAAGTAAAAGAGAAAAAGGAATGGACAATAGGAGAGAAAAGATAAGAAAATAAGGTTCTGTCCACGAGTCCAACATCTTTTCAACTGAAGGATATCTTGAGAGAGAACAGATAAAATGGAGGAGGGGGAGTTATCGCAAAGCAATACAAGAAAATTTCCAGATCGGAAGAACACAAGTCTCCAGATGGAAAGTGCCCACTCAGTACCCAATACAGTGAATAGAGATTGACGCAAAGAAACATTATCATGAGATTTCACAACTGAAAAGAGAAAGAAAAGCATCCTAATACATTTCAGAGATTTAATTGAATACACACATGAAGGATCCAGAAAAAAGATTGCTGGATTCTCAACAGCAACATGGGGAACCAAAACACCATGAAGCAGGCCTTCAAAATTCTAAGCAAAAAGATGATGGGCAAACTACAAACCAAGGGTGAAGAAGTAATGTCATTTTGACTTTCCTGTCTCTCAAACACAATTTCTCCACAAGCTGCTGGAAAATATGTTCCACCAACACATAAAGATAAAGCCACAAAGTGGAAGCCATGGGATCCAATTCATTAAAGGGAGGAGAAGAATTTTCCAGATAATGGGAAGGAAAACGCCAAGAGGACAGCCATGCAGCAGGCACAGAAAGTGACCAGCAGAGACTGCAGCAGGACGATGGAGGGCTCTAGAAGAAATGTTGCCAGGAAAACAAAAAGGAACTGAGTTTCTTATCAGCTTGACCATGTGGAAAACTGTACTGAGAGATATTTGGAGCTCGGCTGTAGCTCCAAATCAAACTAAATTAATAAAGCAATTGTTTAATGAAAGGTAACATGAAAATATATGGGAGAAAGGAAATACAATCATTATAGATGACTTTGCTCAGCCATGGATATTAAATACTTAGTCATAAAAATGAAAACACAGTGAATTATACTTACATTTGTGAGATAAACTTAACTTGCTTATGATGTATTATTTTATCATTTTAAATATCATACTATATCTGGTAAGCTAATATTTAATTTAGGACTTTTATGCCTATATTCATAAAAAAAATTAGCCTGTAATTTATTTTCTTATATTGCCTTTATTTGGCTTTGGAGGTCTTTTTACTCCTCTTATAGGGCCACAGGACTCTATAAATAATGAATATTTAATACACGCTAGCTATCTAATATTATTCCTTGATGAAAAAATAGGAGGTGATAAAATTAGGAAACAATAAAAAGAACAGAACCAGATAGAGAACTCTAAGTGTCCTGATTAGCACTGCATAGTATCAGAGAAATTATTCGATTCTGGAATGTAATTTGGCTAAATTTAATTACACCATCCTCTTTTAAAACATCAAGACACAGACAAGAATGTAAGTCTTTTGTTTCAGGTCTCATAGCTAATTATTGGAGGAACTAGAACTAGAATCCAATTATCCAGAATTCTGACTCCTAGCCCTAGTGCTCCTATAAAAATGTATATTAATAGATACTAACTATGTCACCTCTAATTTGGTTGGTGATAGGTACATTCCATTTCAAAAAATAAAAGTGAATTGAGCGTTTCTTTCTTACCTACAATAAACGCAGGACCATATTAAGTGCTATAAAGAATAAAAAAGAAGATAAAAGCCTTAACATATTGGTTACTTCTTTTAATTGCTCATTCTGAAGTGCAAGCCCCTCCCCTTGAATCTGGACATGCTCTGTGACAGCTTTAACCAAAACAATAAGACACAAGTGATGTTATATTAGTTTGGGGGCCCAGGCCTAAGAAGCTGGCAGCTTTCATTCCACTTTTTTTTAGCACTCACTCTCCAAGCCCTGAACTGCCATATGGAGACACCATATATACAGAGAAGTACCCAGCCAATCCTCAGTTGTTCCAGCCATCCCAGCCCAGGCACCAGAGATGTTAGGGAAGAAATTCAGATACTCCTACCTCAGCTTCTGTATGACTACAACTGCAGGAGGAGTCACAAGCAACACCCAGCTGAGTCCAACAACCCCAAAGCTGTGAGAAATAAAATGTTTAAGCCACTAAAAAAATGAAAACACAAAATATGAACTTAACCCAAAGTTGAGATATGAATATATTAATAAGATAGTGGGTGTTGAAGGATATATGAGAGGAAGCTAAAGGCTTCATCTCCAGGAGAGGTCAACAGATAATGTCTCAAAAGGCTGAACCAAGAGAGCAATACGTAAATATTATTGAGAAATACAGAGCTTAATACCAGAGTGCACAGCTACGTAAGTTGGAAGTAGTTCCTTCTGCAGTGCATGGAAAGAGTTCAAGGGACTGCTGCTTTTTGTTACAAGCCTTTGAGCATTGACTCTTTAAATACTGTGCATGTATTACTTTGACAAAGCTAAAGAGTAAAACAATAACCACACAAATGGGATAAAAATACCAGTGGTTTTGAGTGGTCAGTATTAAATATGGCTGTGTCTGTCAAAGTCTAGACACAGTCCTTAGGGTTTAGAAACACACAACCAATTTTAGTTTTTCCAGCCCAGATTCCTTGATCAGATGCCAACCCGTCTCTCACCAGATCCCTCCAGAAATATGCCCACACCAGAGCCCCACCCACCTCTTCCTAAACAAGCTGTAGGGAGCCTGACTTCTTCCTCAGTAACCACCAAAGTGGGCTGTGCCAGATAATCCATTGCAGGATACTAAGAAAATATTACTATTTCTATTTTACAGCATCCTTTTTCTTTTTTTAAAAAATGAATCCTTCACTGAAATTATATTATCCTTTTTGGAGTTTCTATTTGTTGTATGTACTTTTGTCTATTTTTAAACTTTCCACTGATATAATTTCAGACATAAAAAGTAAGGAAAATAGTACCAAAGATTTCTATATGCCCCTCACCCAGATTCCCCCAAATGTTAACATCTTCTGTAACCATTTAGAATTATCAAAACCTGGAGATTAACATTAACACAATAATATTATATAATCTGAGTCTTATTCATGTTTCTCCAGCTGCCCACTAATATCCTTTTCTGGCCAAGATCACACGTTGTAGCTACTCATCATGTGTCTTTCATCTCCTGTAAGCTGGATCAGCTCTTCAGGCTTTGTCTTTATAATTTTGACATTTTACAAGACTATCGACTACTTTGTAGAATGTTCTTCAGTTGGAGTTTTTCAGGCATTTCCTAGTGATTAAATTCAGATTAAGCACTTTTGGCAGGAGGACCACAGATATAATGTTGTATCCTTCCCAATACATCATGCTAGAGGGTGCAGAATGTCTAGTTTTCCCATTACTGAAGATGTTAACTTTGATCACTTGGTTTTATGGTGGTACCTACCAGGCTTCTCCACTGTAAAGTTACCTTTAGTAATTAATAAGTCTCTTTGGGGGAGATACATTGAAACTATGCAAATATCCTGTTTCTCATCAGGATGATGCGTAATTTTAGCGTTCATCAGTGATTCTTGCCTGAAACCAGCACTGTTGTGCTTGCCAAGGTGGTTTTCTATTTCCATCACACTTTCAACGTTTGCAGGGGAAGGGGGCAGATTGGCATTCTGCTGTAAAAAAGAACTCTCTCTTCTTCCCCATTTATTTGTTTATTTATATCAATATGAACTCATAGATTCTGATTTTGTTCTATGACTTATAATTCATTACTAGCATTATTTTGTTATTTATGTCCTTTTGTTTGACTGATTGGGAAGCATAATAAAAAATTTGGAAGAGCATGGCTCTTAGGGCTGCCAGTGTTTCCCTAGACTTTTCCCTGGGAAGCCATCCTAATGCCCTTAGTTAAATTTAAACACCCTCCTTTCTCACCTATTCTGCATGGTGCCTCCTTCTCTACTCAGCACTTATCTTTTCCTGCTTTATTGTAGACAATAGCTTATGAGTGAAGGACAGCTTGGGAACTAATGACCTGTTTCTCCACTGTTCTGTATCTGTCCTGTCAAATTCCTATGTTGAAAGAGATTCACGTGTGAAAGTTTCAAGGCAATGAAGGCCAAGTAGGGAAAAGAGACTTCACATTGCTGTGTCACAGAGGAGTGCCTTGTAGTCACACACACTGAGCAGCCATCTGTATGAAGTAAGTGACCTCAGGAAGCAGAATATGGTTCCTGTGGGTTCCCAAAGAAGTTCAAGAGTTAACATTTCATTCCTTCAATGTAACCTGTTATGTTCTGTCAAAGCCTCTTGATCTATCTTGCTGGTTACAAGCAAGTTTGCCAATTTTTTTCTTTTTTTTCCAACTTTTAAGTTCAGGAATACATGTGTAGGATGTACAGGTTTGTTACATAGGTAAACATGTGCCATGGTGGTTTGCTGCACAGATCATCGCATGACCCAGGTATTAAGGCCAGCATCCCTTAGCTATTCTTCCTGATACTCTCCCTCCTCCTACCCTCAACTCCTCAACAGGCCCCAGTGTGTGTGCCCTGCAGTGTGTCCATGTGTTCTCATCATTCGGCTCCCACTTATAAATAAGAACACATGGTATTTGGTTTTCTGTTTCTGCATTAGTTTGCTAGAGATAATGGCCTCCAGCTCCATCCATGTCCCTGCAAAGAACATGATCTCATTCCTTTTTGTGGCTGTATAGTATTCCATGGTATGTGAGGTTGTGAAGAAAAAGGAATACTTTTACACTATTGGTGGAAGTGTAAATTAGTTCAGCCATTGTGGAAGACAGCATGGCAATTTCTCAAAGACACAGAAGGAGAAATACCATTCAACCCAGCAATCCCATTACTGGGTATGTATCCAAAGGAATATAAATCATTCTATTATAAAGATACATGCACATGTATGTTCACTGCAGCACTATTCACAAAAGCAAAGATGTTGAATCAACCTAAATACCCACCAGTGATAGACTTGATAAAGAAAATGTGATACATACACACAATGGAATACTAAGTTTGCTGATTTCTAACTTGCTGAAGTGTTCTCTGTGAACAACAGCAGACTAGAGCCAGACTGCCTGCTATCAAATCCCAGCTCCATCACTTACTAGCTGGGTAACCTTGAACAATTTACCCACCTTTGTTGTGCCTCAGTTTCCTCATGTGCGAAATAAGAATAACAGTAATAACCCTATTCTATCATATTGCTGTGAGGAATAAAGTAGTTAACATGTAAAGTGTTTAGAACATTGCTAGGCACCTTACAGGTACCATATGTGTTAACTGTCATTTTTAATACCCCGGAAGGTAAAAGACCCTTAATATTAATGTAAGGGAGCATCTCAAAATGTCTCATGAAGATAACACAAAAGTTCAGACCATAAAGAGTTAGGGTGAACTAGGAGTCTGGAGTCTGTGCCTGATGAATGTGTAGTCCCTGAGAAGGACAATACATTACACATTTTCTATCACTGACTCCTTCCTACTGCCCTTTGCCTCACAACCAGGCAGGTGTTTCCCCTGAAGCACAAGGAAATGTGTTTGTGTGTGTAAGAGGTGGGTTTGGGAGGCAGGGAGTGAGTTGAAGGAGCCACAGAGTAAATATGTGACATTTTTCTCCATGTCAGTTTTGTAAAGGCACAATATTTGTAAAGATTTATAAAGAAAAATATTATTATTGTTTTAAATCAATTTCTTTCTTATGGTGATACGGTTTGGCTGTGTCCCCACCCAAATCTCATCTTGAATTGTAGCTCCCATAATCCCCACGTGTCTTGGGAGAGACCTGGTGGGAGGTGATTGAATCACAGGGACAGGTGTTTCTGTGCTGTTCTCATGATGGTGAATAAGTCTCATGAGATCTGATGGTTTTATAAAAGGCAGTTTCCCTGCACATGCTCTTTTGCCTGCCACCATGTAAGACGTGCCTTCGCTCCTCCTTTGCCTTCCACCGTAAGAGTGAGGCTTCTCCAGCCATGTGGAACTGTGAGTCCATTAAACCTCCTTTTCTTTATAAATTACCCAGTCTCAAGTATTTCTTCATAGAAGTATGAAAATAGACTAATACATATGGTATAGAACGTTTGCATACATTTTTATGATAAACCCAAAACTATCTAATACTACTTGTTTTTGTAGCCACTTTAGTGGGTCATGTAGTAGAAGCAATGTCTTACCATGATAAACCTTGATGAATCATTCCTTAGCAGAAGATTCTAATGGAGAAAATAAGGGAAAACAGCCAACATTGTATGGGGAATGGGGAAGAGCCTCAGAAACAGCAAGGAAAGTCCCAAAGAAAGAGATTAAGGGCCCCAGATACAACCAGGCAATGTGTGGAATAGTGAAATAGGTACAAGGAAATAAAATGGGGCATCCTAGGGAAGACCCATGGAGACAGGACAGCCTCTTCTGTAATGGCCCTTGCAGTGACAGTTGCCCAGCCACTACTGGGTCAGCCTCACATTTTAACATATAGAGTGACAGATGCTCTATTTTAAAATATTAACATTAATATTTAAAATATTAAACTCCTCCTTGCTGGGTAATTCACTGTTGAAAAACTAAGAAAAGCAGTCTATTCTAACATACCAAGTTTTAAACTTACCTTTTGGTTAGTTAACAGATATCTGACAATATAAATAAGTGCCACAGAGCTAAAATGCATTTGAGACTGCCAGTGAGCTGAGCTGCATGAGTTAAGTGGAGGTTTTAATATCACTAACATTAAGAAAGCATCTCCTTCCAGACATGTGCCATGGCACAACCAGGAAGGAAGGCCAGCTCTACACTATTAAAGGAGCAATGAAGATTGCTTCCTGTTATAGCATGAAACTGGATTTACCAGCAGAAAATCTCATTAGGGTAAATATTTTTTTACTCTTATCAATCCTCTGCTAAGATTCTTGCTTTATTCCTTCATCTACAAGACAGAATTCCTTTTAAAATAGTTAAAAGCCTGTCCCAAGAAGCTGATACACAGACAGCTGTATAAATAAAAATCTCTAGACAGGATAATAGAATAAGAAGTTATGTGTCAAGATTCCACATCCGTCTGTCTGACCAATAAGGATGACATTTACACAATTTAAAAGATCAGAAATTTAAGACTTGAGTCAGATATCTGCAATGCAATGACAGATGCTTCCAAGTATAAAAATAACTGTTCCACTAATGAATATAGAAATATTAGATGCCATGTAGAACTGGTGGGGTTTGGTTAAATTTATTTTTTAGCAACTCAATGAACATTAGGAAAACTATTCTTAGTGAGTATGTTGCCTAATACATCACATTCTGATAGGCCCAAAGGCTTGTTTCTTCAAATGATATAGATACATAGGGTCTTCGAAAAGTTTGTGGAAAAATGTGTATTATGAAAAAACTGTGCATGGACTGCATATTTATTTTGTGCCAAAATAAACTCACACTAACTTGGTATAGCATGTCTAAACAAGATCTAGTTTGAGGCACTAAGAAGGATAAGATGTCAGTTTGAAAAGAGCCCCTGTCAAAGCAACATGATTTCTGCTAAAATTGAAGCAAGTCAAACATCAGATTTATAGTGAAGCTTGGGTGAAAGAATGGTGAAATTATTGATGCTTTATGAAAAGTTCATGGTGACAGTGCCCCCAAAGAAACCAGCAGTTTAAAAACGGATAAATCATTTTAAGAATGGACAAGACAATGTTGAAGATGATGCCCACAGCAGCAAACCATCCACATCAATTTGCAAGAAGAAAAATTCATCTTGCTTATGCCTGGATATGGTTCAGCTGCGTCCCCACCCAAATCTCATATTGAATTGTAACTCCCACAATTCCCACGTGTTGTGGGAGGAACCTGGTGGGAGGTGACTTAATATGAGGCAGGTCTTTCCTGTGCGGTTCTCATGATGGTAAATGAGTCTCATGAGAGCTAATGGTTTTAAATACAGGAGTTTCCCTGCACAACCTCTCTTTTCTTTGCCTGTTGCCATCCATGTAAGACGTGACTTGCTCCTCCATGTCTTCCTCCCCAGCCATATGGAACTGTTAAATCCAGTAAACCTCTTTCTTTTGTAAATTGCCCAGTCTCAGTTATGTCTTTATCAGCAGCATGAAGATGGACTAATACATGACCTAATTAAAGAAGACCAATGATTAACAGTGGAAAGAATATCCAACACCGTAGATATCTCAGTTGGTTCAGTTTACACAATTCTGACTGAAATATTGAAGTTGAGCAAAGTTTTCTTTCCATGGGTACCAAAACCATTGCACACAATGCTGCTGCAGACAAGAGCAGAGCTTTCACTGGAAACTTTAAACAAGTGGAATCAAGATGCTGAAGCATTTCTTTGAAGAATTGTAACAGGGGATAAGCATGGCTTTTCCAGTATGATCCTGAAGACAAAGCAAAATCAAAGCAATGGCTACCAAGAGATGCAAGTGGTCCAGTCAAAGAAAAAGCAGACTGGTCAAGAGCAAAGGTCATGGCAACAGCTTTTTGGGATGCTCAAGGCATTTTGCTTGTTGACATTTTGGTGGACCAAAGAATGATAATGTTTGCTTATTATGAGAGTGTTTTTGAGAAAGTTAGTTAAGGCTTTAGAGGAAAAACATCTGGGAACGCTTTATCAGAGAGTCCTTCTCCATCATGACAATGTTCCTGCTCAAACAAAGGCAATTTTGCAAGAGTTTTGATGGGAAATCATGAGGGATCCATCTTGCAGTCCTGATTTGGCTCCTTCTGCCTTCTTTTTTTGTTTCTTAATCTTAAAAATAATCTTCAAAGGGGACCCATTTTTCTTTAGTTAATAATGTGAAAAGACTATTGATATAGTTAAATTTCTAGGACCCTCAGTTTTTTAGGGGTGAACTAAATGGCTGGTACCACTGCTTACAAAAGTGCCTTGAACTTGATGGGGCTTAAGTTGAGAAATAAAGTTTATACTTTGTATTGTCATCTTTTAATTTCATCTTTCCATGAAATTTTTGAGGTCCCTTCATATTGTTAACCCTCTATGTGCATCAAATCACATAATCAAAAGAGTTTGCATGAAATACAAATGTGGATGAAGAAAAAGGGATAAAGATATTTTGCTTCATTCTGTTTGAGCTTGGGGGCTAGTGGGTAGGGCTGGTTTTAGAGAGAAATTTAAAACTGGCTTCATCAAATTTTCATCCTCCTGAACCTGATTTTTTCAAACATAAAGTGGGAATGTAATAATACCACCTCATACGGCTGTGGCAAAACATAAATGCAGTAATGGAAAAATTCCCAGCCCAGAGCCAAGCACAAGGTAGGCACTCAGTAGAGTCCATGCCCTCTCTGTCCCTCTGTTGCCATGTGGCCTAGGAACCCAGCTCCCTGGTGTGACCCACAAGACCCAATCTAAGCAGAGTAGAAATTGTTGCTTGTCTACCCAGCAGCCACCCTGCTTTCTCAGGTGCCCAAATTTTCATATGGGGGTGACTCTTTTCCAAGATTGCCAGTTGACCCAGAGGAAGACTGCATTACTCTCTCCTTGCCACTCCTTGGTTGCAAGGTAGGCTCTGGGTTGTAAGCTAAATGATCCTTTTGTTTTTCCCCTTTGGCCAGAGTCATTGGTTTATGTGACAGGAACAGCCTAGAGTAAATCTCAGAAGTCTTTCTTGGAATGATGAAGCAGAGGGCCCAGCTGAATTAGGTGCAAGGAAGCACATGACCTCACACGTTACTGACAGCCACACCAGTGCCACAAGGGAAACCAGCCTGGGGATAGCAGAGTGGAGGGTTAGACAAAAGATTGGTCCTCAGTGATTTGTGGGAACAATCATTCCTGAAGCACCATGTGACTGCATTTCCAGTGACATGAGCAGATAAATCTTTTACAATTTAAGACTTCCAATTGAGTTTTCAATAACTTACTCCATTTAAAAAGAAAAAAAACCTAATTAATACATCAAGAAGTTAGAGACATCTTTATTTCTCAGTAAGAAATACTGCAACCCAAAGCTCAAGAGAATTGCAAAATAAAAAAACTAACAATTCTTAAAGATATTATCTTTAGACATTTTTATATATTATAGTTAAATGAAGGGTAACAACAACTTATATCTTTCCACATGTTGCTGATTAGGTTTATTAATTGTTTCTGATATATAAAAAAGTCTCGTTTAGCTATTCTAAGTTAGAATAAATTGGATCTATCAAATAAACCTACAGAGTAGGTTAATTTCCTTATTTATTTCTGTATACGTTTTGTAGATCATTCATTCTGGTACATTCACTGGAAAAATCAGGTTATTGAAAATCAGATGTTTGTGGAAGTATCATCATCAATGGCAGTGATGAGTAACTGGTAACACCTGCTTTGAAAATTTTCTAGGTCAAAACTATCTTGACCACGTTCTATGATAGAATTTGAGGGGCTTCACTGACTACATATCAATATACTAGCATAGACTGCAGCAGTTGAGTCTCATACAGGGATAAGATAGCCTTCTAACCAGGCAAATGTCCTGAAGTAGGCCTTTCCGTCTCTACTAGAGGCCGCTGTCATTGTCATCTGCTCCTTTGATTTCTAAAATATAATTACCCTCAATACAGAACACCAGTATGACAAGGGGAAAACATTAATAATGCATGAGATTCCATAGTCAGCTTCCATTCTCCTCCTCGGGGAACTGCTATTTACCTCCATAGAAACAAAAGGAAGGGAAAATGAGAGTCCAAAAAGCCTGCACAGGCAAGAAGAAACCATTTAGAATATTTTTTAGAATATTAAGTAAGTAGGAATAAAAAGATTTTAAAAGATGTGCAAGGAGTATATGGTATATGAATAAATTTATAAAACTTTACTGAAAGACATTATAGGAGATTGAATAAATGCAGATATATCCTAAGTCCATGGACAGGAAGACTTAGTACCTTTTTTTTTTTTTTTTTTTTTTTTTTGAGAGGAGTCTCGCTCTGTTGCCCAGGCTGGAAATCGCAATGATGTGGTCTTGGCTCACTGCAACCTCTGCCTGCGAGGTTCAAGGGATTCTCGTGCCTGAGCCTCCTGAGGATCTGGGATTACAGGCATGTGCCACCATGCCTGGCTAATTACTGTATTTTTAGTAGAGACGGGGTTTCACCATGTTGCCCAGGCTGGTCTTGAACTCCCGGCCTCAGGTGATCCACCCCCCTCAGCCTCCCAAAGTGCAGGGATTACAGGCGTGAGCCACTGCGCCCGGCCTGACTTAGTACCTTAAAGATGCTGTATTAGTCCATTTTCATGCTGCTGATAAAGACATATCCGAGACTGGGAAGAAAAAGATGTTTAATGGGACTTACAGTTCCACATGGCTGGGGAGGTCTCAGAATCATGGTGGGAGGTGAATGGCACTTCTTACATGGTGGCAGGAAGAGAAAACGAGGAAGAAGCAAAAGCAGAAACCCCTGATAAACCTACCATATCTTGTGAGACTTATTAACTATCATGAGAATAGCACGGGAAAGACCAGCCCCCATGATTCAATTACCTCCCTCTGGGTCCCTCCCGCAACATGTGGGAATTCTGGGAGATACAATTCAAGTGGAGATTTGGGTGGGGACACAGCCAAACCATATCAGATGCCAATTCTGCTAAATGTGCCCTATTCCAACCAAAATCCTTCCAAGCTTTTAAAATAATTTGATAAGCTAATTATAAAATATATAAGAAAGGGTAATGGGCCAAGAAGAGCCAAATGACTCCTGAAAATGGGTAAAGTGGAAGGGAAGGACATGCCCTATCACAGTACCAGCACTCATTATGAAACCTCAGTAATTAAGGAAGGTACTGGCTATGGGATAAATTGATGTAATATAATATTAGTCCCTATAATAGAGACTCCAGAAACAGACACTAGCATTTATAAAACATTGATATTTGACAAAAGTACTCTAGAACATCAGTGGGAAAAGAAGGGACTATTCAATAAATGGACATGGAAAAAGTGGCATTCTATTTTCTATAATATGAAAAAAAAATGAAACCAGATCCCTACCTTACAACCACACACACACACACACACACACACACACACACACACACACAAATTCAAGATGAATCAGAAACTTAGGTGACAAGAACAAAACTTTACAAATTTTAGAAGGACAAATAATTCTTTTTCAAATTTTAACATTTTCATTTGTGTCAGGGAAATATCCCACATCAGGGTAAGACCCATGTTCAAACTATAAAAGTTGCTTTTTTACAGACTGAGTTAGTTCAGTAACATTGCCAAAGGAACCCCCAGGATGCTAAGAGGATCAGTGTCCTACAACCTAGTAATGATAAAACTTTTAGCTTCACAAATGAAGATATAAGTCAGGTATCTAGGAAAGTTGCACAGTCCTGTAATTTCAGTTCACTTAGGTTTGTTTGTTTGTTTAAATTTGTTCATTGCCTTGCTCCAGATAAAATTTAAACTGATGGGTTTACTTTCATTTTGAGTGTTTTTAAATGAATTAGAATTCATTGCACTATTCACAAATCCTATAGAATTTGACATATGCAATAATAGCATTGTACTCTATACTCATTGTGGATGCCACCTCACTTTTATCAGGATAGAATAACCTCTTTAATTACTACCATTTAGCATTAACCAAACACAGCAAACTGATTACTTGGAATCACCAGGTTTTAGTAGAAAACGGTGGGGCTATATTTAGATTATGTTGAAAGAAAAGGTGCAATTTTGTGAACCATATTCTACATAATTATTTCTTGGAGCATGTCAGCAGGCAGTGGTAAGTCTAGGTGAGAAGCTGGAAAAACTGGGGGTGGTGATAAAAGAATTACAGGGAAATAATGAGGATAGAGTAGAAAGCTCTCTTATTGCTTTGGGCAAGTCACTTCGCCATTCTTATCTAAATGTAAGATGAACAACTGCTGTCTTGCTAGGATTAAAGAGTACATGTCTGGTGGAGCAAGAAATAATATTAAGAGGATATAGCATCCCATAGCCTCCCCTTGTAGGGAGAGTTGTACAAGGAGTGAGCAGAGTTCCCAGGACAGCCTGTGTCTGTCTGTTTGGGAGAAATCACAGCAAGGTCAAGCTCTCAATTCAGGGAACTGTTCTTACTTGCAAGTTCTACAAATGGGAATTTTAGGTTCTAAAGTTTTATTTTCTTAGAGATGAGGTGAAAGATAAAGGTGGAGGGAAAGATCACAGGGGCAATGCCACAAAGCTCAAACAAGACCAAATAATCTCTCAACCTCCATTTATTTATTCTCTTATTATTATTTTTAGTTGACACATAAAAATTGTACATATTTATGGAGCACAGTGTGATATTTTGCTACCTGTATACAATGTGTTGTGATCAAATCAAAGTCATTAACATATCCATCACCTCAAACATTTATCATTTCTTTGTGTTGGAAACATTCAAAATACTCTATTCTAGCTATTTGAAAATATAGAACAAACAATTGTTAACTATAGTCTCCCTACAAAGCTACAGAACACTAGAACTTATTCCTCCTATCTGGCAGTAATATTGTGTTTATTAACCAAACTCTCCGTATCCTCCTTTCCCTCCCACTCATCCCAGCCTCTAGTTACCACTATTCTTTTCTCTGCTTCTATGAGATCAACTGATTTAGCTTCCACATATGAGTGAGATAAATATGAGTATTTATCTTTCTGCACCTGGCTTATTTCACATAATATAATGTCCACCAGGCTTATCCATGTTGCCACAAATGACAGTATTTAATTCTTTTTTAGGGCTGAATAATATTCCATTGAGTATCTATAACACATTTTCTTTATCAATTCATCTGTTGATGAACACTTAGGTTGATTCCATATCTTGGCTAGTGTGAATTGTGCCGAAATAAACATGAGAGTGCAGGTATCTCTTCAACATATGATTTCCTTTCCTTTGGATATATAATCAGTAGTGAAACTGATGGATCATATGGTAGTTCTAATTCTAGTTTTTTGAGAAACTTCCATACTATTCTGCATAATAGCTGTACTAATATACATTCCTACCAACAGCATATGATTTTCCTTTTCTCCACATTCTTGCCAGCATTTTTTTTTGTCTTTTTGATGGTAGCCAGTCTAATGGGTAAGATGGTATCTTATGCCTTGTTTTTGTTTTTTTAGAGACAGGGGCTTCCTGTTGGCCCGTTGTATGTCTTCTTTAGAGGAATATTTATTCAGATCATTTGCCCATTTTTAAATTGGATTACTTGTTTTGTTTTTGTTTTTTTTGTTTTTTTTTTTTTGCTGCTGAGTTGTTTGAATTCCTTGTATATTCTGAAAATTAATTCCTTGTTAGATGAATAATTCACAAATATTTTCTCCCATTCTCTAGGTTGTCTCTTTACACTGTTGATTAGCTCCTTTGCTGTGCAGAAGCTTTTAGTTTAATATAATTCCATTTGTCTGTTTTTGTTTTTGTTGCTTGTGCTTTTGAGGTCTTTCCCATAAAATCTTTGTCCAGACCAATTTCCTGAAGCATTTCCCCTGTTTTCTTCTAGTAGTGTCATAGCTTCAGGTCAGGTCTTACATTTAGGTCTTTAATCCATTTTGGGTTGATTTTTGTACATGATGAGAAATAGGAATATAGTTTCATTTTTCTGCACATGGATATCCAGTTTTCCCAGAACTATTTATTGAAGAGAATTCCCTTTCCCCCAGTGAATGTTCCTGGAACCTTTGTCAAAAATCTGTTGGCTGTAAATATGTGAATTTATTTCTAGTCTATTCCATTGATCTATGTGTCTGTTTTTATGCCAGTATCACACTATTTTAGTTACTATATCTTTGTAGTATATTTTCAGGTCAAGTAGTATGATATCTCCAGCTTTGTTCTTTTTGCTCAAGATTGCTTTGGCTATTCTGGGTCTTTTGTGGTTCCATGTAAATTTTAGGATTGTTTTCTCTATTTCTGCAAAGAATGTAATTGGAATTTTGATAGGGATTACATTGAATGTATAGATTGCCTTGGGTAGTATAGTCGTTTTAACAGTATTAACTCTTCCAATTTGTGAACATGAGATGTCTTCCTATTTTTTGTGTGTTCTCTTCAATTTCTTTCATCAGTTTCATAATTTTAATTGTAGAGATTTTTTACCTTCTTAAATTTATTTATAGGTGTATTATGCCATTTTTGCATTGCTATAAAGAAATACCTGAGGCTAGGTAATTTATAAAGAAAAGAGGTTTAATTGGCTCATGGAGCTGCAGGTTGTACCGAAAGCATGGTGCTGGCATCTGCTTCTGGTGAGGGCCTCAGGGAGCTTATAATCATGGTGGAAGGCTAAGAGGGGGAGAGGGAGTGTATTACAAGGCTAGAGGGAGTAAGAGAGAGAGAAAAGGGAGATCCCAGACTCTTTTAAACAACCAGCTCTCATGTGAACTGAGTGAGTGAGAACTCTTATCACCAAGGAGATGATGCCAAACCATTCATGAGGGATCCACTTGATGATCCAATCACTTCCCACCTGGACCCACCTCCAACATTGTGAATCACATTTCTACATGAGATTTGGAGAGGACAAACATCCAAACCATATCACTTGGTATTTAATTTTTTGTGGCTATTGTAAATGATATTGCTTTCATGATTTATTTTTCAGCTAGTTTGTTGTTATCGTATAGAAATGGTACTGATTCTCGTATGTTGATTTTGTGTCCTGCAACCTTAATGAATTTATTGATCAGTTCTAAAAGGGCTTCTCTTTTTAACTCATTTATTTTTTCAAGGTGAAGGCTGGGCTAAAGATGACCAAACATTTTTCACCATGGTCTCCTGCATAGGTGGTCTAGTGCTTCACTTTGGAACTCAGGGGTACTTAAAAACAACAGTTGCTGTTCAGAGCCTTTGGACTTGAGCTAAAAGTGAGACTAAAAGTGTCCCATTTCAATAACCTATTTCACATTTTAGAATAAGGTTCTGAAATCATATTTGGGCAATATCAAAGGCTCACTTCAAACTGTCTAGAGTCAGGGAAAACCAGTGTGTGGCAGAGAGGAGAGGTTGAGGACCATGTGCTCTTTAGGGAGGGTTCTCTCAGGGTAGCTACAGGGTGGAGGAAAATGCATTGCCTTCAGAGACATAAAGCTCCATTCTTGGGTCGGAGTTTTGAAGAAGGTTCAATTTCTCCAGATAGAAGAGGTTTTATTGACTTGGCTCAGTGCATGAATTCCTTTCTAGTCTCTTGAATCTGTTCTGTTCTGATTCAGAATCAGTTTGGCCAGTGCCCTGATCCAGAAAGCATATTCCCTATAAACTGCCCTGTGAAGACCACTCTTTCTTTAAGCTTTGACAGATCAGATGCAGACACCAGCCCTTTTTTTGCCTCTCTTTTCAAAGAGTCATCAGATTTTAGTTTTTCTTCGAAAAAAAACAAAAAGAAAGCTCATATTTCCCAAGTCATTTATACTCATCATGAACTATAGCCATCTGTGTATTAAATGCAAAGGGATGGATGGATATAACCACACAAGGCATCACATGTTCACAAACACACAATGAGGTGAATTAAGTAAATGCTCTGTTAGTTTTCTCTCCCCAAACCATCTTCTCCATCAATGCATTATGCAAAGAACCTCTCACGATGACAGATCACAGAACTTCAAAGCTAGATGGGGTCTATAGACTATCTGCTGAGACCTGGCCCAAGTGATTTTATCTTTCTGAGTCTCAGGTTCTTCCTCAACAAAATGGGATTCAAATATTCCCACCTAAACAGTTACTGTCAAGATTAAGTATATGCTTAATTAATATCAATCTGCTCATTTGCATTGAAGAAACTGAGATCTCAGCAAGGACAAGAGATGTCAAAGGTTAGTGACTGTGATGGGACCAAAAAAAAACAATGTCTCCTGCATCCTAATACATGCTCTGTAAGGCAAATGGAACCAGGCTGTCCTCAGACATTCAGCAAACCTTTAAGATATGTGACTCATGATCCATACTAAGGATGACATCATTTCATTTATGATTATAAGTTTCCAGTCCTCTGAAGAATGATAGTCCTCTATCTCCAGGCATCAAGCTGAGAGGATTCTCTGCAGCTCAGAATATGAAGGACTGATCAAGATTCAAGATGATTCCTCTAAGCTTCAAAGCAGTACAGTTATAAACCACCACCACCACAAGCTTCTGAAGTTAAATAAATAAACAACTTAAGGTAGATAAATCACAAACAGCTGACCTGAAGTAAAAATTGTGCCTAGGTCTAGGCCTATTTTTTATTAGTGTTAACAGCAACTCCTCTGATGAAACCAAATTCTTGCATTATACCAGTGTTGTAGCCTCCATCTTGATCCTTGCCTCTTAAAAAAAAAAATCTGATATCAGCTGGGTTGAACCATAGGATACTGTCAATATTAAACTATTATGGGGCTCTAAAAATAGCAATTTTATTTGGTTAAATATATAATATGTTAGTGTCTAAAGTGGTGCCTTTGCTTGTTAGATAATCATTCTTCTTTTTTACATAAAAGTATAACATATTTACTGGAAATGTGAAAAATTAAGAACAAAATTGCATGTAATTCCACTAAATAATACAATTATTTTGCATGTTTTTTCTCAGTATTTTGCAAGCATATTTAAAATATTTATAATTGTTAATAATATTCAAGCTTTTAATTATGCCTAAAAACTTCACTCCTAACCTGTTTCCTCATCTAGAATAAGAAGGAACTGCACTGGATTACCTCTAAGGCTTCTTTTGCTTTTATCTTTTTTATCTTTTGCTTTTATCTCTGTGGCCAGATTAATTTGAGTACATTTTATCTGATCAAAACATTAATTTCTAATAAGCATATTTTTATCTTTACCCCTATGGCTTATTGTTCATGCAGTACAACTATTTGCTTACAACTTTCAAAGTTCTAGGGAACATTTTGCAGGAAAAAAAGTTTAATGTGAGCTACCACTTTTGGCATGTGATCCAATTTAGAAAATTAAAATATTGATCAACCAAAATTGTTTTCACTCAGAACAAATAGTTGTATTAATTTCTTTGACATAAAATGCATATTTTTTAAAACATTGATGGCCTACATTACTGAAACAACTGTCCCCAAAATGTTAGAATCTGGGCCTATTTGAGAAGAAACCTGGGCCATTTTCAGTTTGTGTTACTGTTTCAAATTCACAAGTTATTCTACACCCATTATCCCACGTCAAGCTTTGAAAGAATTTCACAACATCCATATCATTTCTCACTTTACAGAAGGAAATTGAGTACTCAGGGAAACAAAGTGGACCTGCAGCATTTATAGGGAGCCACCTGTGTGCTAGGGATACAGGGAGTATGTACGAGAGCTGCCTGTGGCGGGTGAGCGCTGGGGAGGCATCATTAGGTTAAAGAATAATGATTATTTCAACCTGGAAAGGAGCGCAGAGGGAGGACTTAACAAAGTCTTTCAATAGTTTAGTCAGTTTTTCTAAAAGTTTGTGATTGAGAGCTAATGAAACTAATACAAAGGCCCTGGCTCACTGAAGGAGGCTAGGACCTGGACCTCAGCATTTTTGCCAAATTTCCCAGGCGATTCTGATTCATGGTGGTGGAGTGGGGCGGAGGGGAAAGAGGGAGAGGAAGAGAGAGAGAGAGTAGATATCATACTAGCTATCTGTTTGCTTATGTACTAAGGCAAATAACTAAAGATTATAGCATGAAGCACTTGGGTTAGATAAAAAAGCAAAAGAGGAAATATAGGAAGACGTTTGTATCCATTGAAATGGCTTACTTGGGAATAGTATAAAGCAGTGTGTGTCAGCATTACTTGAAAGGCTGCTTAAAACACATATGCAGACTTTGTAATTTACTAAGTCTGGGGTGAGGCCCTGGGATTTGCATTTGTAACAAGTTTCCAGGTGCTGCTGCTGCTGCTGCTGCTGCTGCTGCTGGTCCAGGAGCTACACCCTGAGACCATTGGTGTAGACAAGCACGTTGGTTCTAAATCCTGGCTGCACACTAGAATCATCATCTGGGATGAGTTTTTAAATTATTATCGATGCTGGGGCCTCACCCCCAAGAGATTCTAATATAATAGAATTTCAGTGGAGCCTGGGCCTGGATAGTTTGTAAAGCCCCCACTCCAGGTGTTTCTAATATGTAGTCGGAGTTGAGAACCACTGGGATTAAGGCTTCTGGAAAACTAGGGAAGGAGCCCAGACCAGGAGAGTCACATTCAGTACTGGGTTATCAGGTTTAATCACATTTGTCTGAGTCTCCTTTCCCAGAGGCAGGTGATGCAGTGCACTAAACTATCTTTCTAACATCCTTTCCTCACTCAGAATTGTTATTCTGCCTAGGAGGCTTTTAAAAGGCATCTCCATGTTATGCACTTAACAGTATCTAGAAGACAGTTGATTTTTCCTTTCAGCAATGCTGCCCTCTAGTGTTCTTAATTATTCAAATCATGTAAAAACCCACCTTGGCCATCAGTATGGTTGTTTCCTATTAGTAAGCTAAACGAATTTTTCTCTGAAATAGAATTAAATTTTAATTCATGGCAACATGAATCTCCAAAACTGCAGCCTCTTGGTTCTCCTGCAATTTCTCCCTGCTTTTGATGTTGCAGCCTCCTTCCAGGACAAGAACTCACAGAGTTCCCTTTTCCCAATTCCACCAAGCTTTTCTCTTCAGAGTCAAAACTAAACAATGAGGAAAAAACTACCAGCAACAAAAAGACCTGAGGCATTGGAGTGCCTCGCAGAGGCTCTCCTCACCTTTTTCTCATTTCTGCTACACATCTCATGCCTCCTTTTACACTTGGTTCACAGTTTATTGAGACTAGAATTCATCAAACAGGTGCTGCCATGTCTTCCCATGATGGTTCTACAAACCTCCCTGGGTCCCATCATCTTGACAAAAGTGTCCTTCTTACCTCTAGGGGCTCTGTCCCTCCTCCCTCTCCCTTTATCAAGTCTCTCTCCCTCTTCCTTCCCAGCCCCGAGGCCATTTCATCAATAACTCCCTCTTCCTAGGTCACTCCAAATGGCACACAGGCTTACTCTTAATGTCCCGTGACCCTGAATATCCCTTCAGCTCCTGTCCTATTTCTCTTCCAAACTTATTGAATGCATTGTGTTTAAGGCCTCTCCTTCTTCCACTCATTCTTCCATTGAGTGGCTTCCAATGGCTCCAACCTTGCTTGATCCCATCACATCACTGACACTGAAGCTGCTTTTCTCATGGTCTGCAGTGGTCTCCCTACATATGGCCAAATCCAGTGGACACTGTTTGGGGCTGTTCTGACACAAATGTCCATGGCGTTCCACCCTGTGGGCATGGCTCCCTCTTGAAGTGCCCTCTGCTCTTGGTCTGACACATCCCTGTGTGCCGGCTTCCCTCCTGCCCCTTTGGCTGCCGGCTACCCAGCATCCTGCATGGGTCCTCTCTCTAACCCCTGGGCTGGCCATCAGAAACTCTTCTCTTTTCTGTCTATAGACTTTCCTTACAAGGCTCATCCATTTTCATGAATTTAAATATAATCAATAGACTGGTAACTAATAAATGTATATACACCTCTGGCCCAGATTGCTCACTGTCGTATTTATCCAACTATTAAATATCCACTTGACATCTCCCCTTTATTTTTTATTTTTTATTTTTTTTGAGACGGAGTCTTGCTCTGTCCCCCATGCTGGAGTGCAGTGGCGTGATCTCGGCTTACTGCGAGCTCCACCTCCCAGGTTCATGCCATTCTCTTGCCTCAGCCTCCCGAGTAGCTGGGACTACAGGCACCCGCCACCACGCCCGGCTAATTTTCTGTATTTTTAGTAGAGACGGGGTTTCACCGTGTTAGCCAGGATGGTCTCGATCTCCTGACCTCGTGATCCACCCGCCTCGGCCTCCCAAAGTGCTGGGATTACAGGTGTGAGCCACCGTGCCCCGCCCGTCATCTCCCTTTTAGTATCTCACATGCATCTCCATTTTTCACATGTCCAAAGAAGAACCCTCGATTTTTCTCCCAAACCTGTTCTTCCTTCAGTCTCCCTTATCTCTGTAAACAGCCAGATATCTGGGAAACAGCTTTAATTCCTCCCTTTCCCTGACCACACTCAGTCCATCTGTAAGTATTGTGGATTCTGCCTTCAACATCTATTTTGAATCCATCCACCACTCTCTCTGTTTGCCATCATCACCCTATTACAAATCACCCTCATCTCCTGCCTAGAATACAACAATACCTTCCTCAAGCTCTTTCTACTTCCTCCAGTCCTCCCTGTTACTAATGATTCTCCACAGCACAGAGACTGTTCTGAAATGCAAACTATATTCTACCATCCCCTTACCTGATAAAATGTTAATGCCTTGATTAAACCTTGAATAACATACAAATGACATGGTTTGCCCTCTGCCAACTTCATCTCATACCCCTGTCCTCCTTCCCTCCCATTGCTGGGACTCACTAAGCTCTGTCCTTCCTCAGGGCCTAGGCGCATACTACATCATCTGCCTCGAATGCTCTTCCACTGTTCTTCACAAGGATGGTTCCTTTTTTCTTTTTTATGCCTAAACATGATT
The DNA here is from genome assembly GCF_000001405.40 of Homo sapiens. Taxonomy (NCBI): domain Eukaryota; kingdom Metazoa; phylum Chordata; class Mammalia; order Primates; family Hominidae; genus Homo; species Homo sapiens. The sequence continues at coordinate 156,512,034 of NC_000003.12, forward strand.
GCTCTTCAGTGAGACCTTCCTTACTGCACTAAATATGTCTTCTCTTTCATTTCCTGTCCCAGTCCCCTGTGTTATTTTCTTTATAACACTTTACATTTTATAATGACTTACTTGTTTACCCCTCCATCTCTCACTCAACTTGAAACTCCCTGAGTCCAGGAAATTTGTGTCTGTTTTACTCACAGAAGAATCCAGCAACCAGCACAGTGACTGGCAAACATTAAGCTTTTAATACTTGTGTGTTGTATAATTAAATGCATGTGCAGGAAGAGTCACAACTTCCACTCCATCTTCACTGCTTTTGTCAAGGACTCCCACGTGCCCAAGCCACCTGTCAGCATTCTGTGCCTGTCTTACTTGATGGCAGAGACAGAGTTAAGGGAGAGGCCAGGTCCAGTTTATTCTCTGTTAACCTCTTCTGTGTTTATCAGCATGTTTGATTCACCACAGTATCTCCAGCACCCAGAACAGCAGACACCTAGTAGATACTGTTGATTGGCTGAACTCCCAGCTCTGAATGACACAGGATGTGAAGGGAAAGGGAGCTGGTGCAGTGATGGAGACATCTAAAGACAGAATCTATCTGGGGCAGAGATTCATATCATTGTTTTCAACTTCTGGAACTGTTTATCATAGGCACGCATCTCCATTTGTATAATGAAAGAGAAGAAAAGCGGTTCCTTACACTTTTTTAATCATATGTTTTATAAATGGAGAATGAACTTCATAGTTTTAGTTGCTAGGCAATAATTTGATATTCTAGAGTCTTTCTCCAAGAAAAAGAAAACTATTTTGCTTATAAGCCAGCTTTTACCTCTGTTGGACACACAATGGTGAATGAAAGCATTTCCATCTTCCAAAAAAGAAATCAAGGGCAATTAAAAATAGTTTACAGAAGGACGGGAGCAGTGGCTCACGCCTGTAATCCCAGTACTTTGGGAGGCCGAGGTGGGAGGATCACGAGGTCAGGAGATCGAGACCATCCTGGCTAACACGGTGAAACCCTGTCTCTACCAAAAATACAAAAAGTTAGCCGGGTGTGGTGGCGGGCACCTGTAGTCCCAGCTACTCGGGAGGCTGAGGCAGGAGAATGGCATGAACCCGGGAGGCGGAGCCTGCAGGGAGCCGAGATCTTGCCACTGCACTCCAGCCTGGGCCAAAGGGCAAGACTCCATCTCAAAAAAAAAACAACAACAACAAAAAAGTTTACACCAGCCAAACAAGCAAAGAAGCTAAGACCCTGACTCTGGCCATTTCATTCCAAATCCTGTTCCGTATCAATCTAGACAGTGCCTGCTCATGAGAAATAATAATAATAATAAAAAAATACATCTACTGCAACTCTACTTTGAGACAAGGATTTGGTTCTTCTGAAGGGCATTTAACTGACTGGTATTACTGAGAAATAAAAAATCCCAAGGCCTGTGACCCTTTGAAACTGTCGAGTGACCTGGCATCCTGTTAAACACTGACCTGCTTTGTAGAAGAAATCCAACCCTGTCTGTGAATTTTAACTAAGTTAAACTTGAGGGTCTCCATGCTCTCTTGTTCTGCAGCACATCTGGCTGGTGCCAAGAGGATTTGCTCAGCTCCATCCTCTGGGGAAGGGATTCATTTTCCTGTTTAGGAAATGTGATGTCGAGCTCCATGAGGCTGATGAGCACGCTGGGTGGGACCACAAACAGGCCCCAGTGAAATCAATTATGTGGGTGTCTTAGGACAAAATTTGGTTCAAAGTGATCAAGGACAGGGTGTGTCATTGCAAGCTGTGAGCCACGGTGACTTCGGCTGTTTGTTCAGCATTTAATATGTTTATCTTTCTGCTAAACACATTGTTGTTGAGTCACCTCTCTTAGAGACCCATTCTGTGTGAGGTCCAGCTCTGCAAGTCCAATATACAAAGACAAGCCTTTCACCTTCAATGACCTTACATTCTACAAAGTTGAAACAAATGCCTTCTCTTACTTCTCACTTTAGTCGGGAAGGTACTCAGGCTCTTAAAAAGGTAAATCATGTATTCTTTATTAGGCCAGGAATCATCAAGCAATAAAAGTAAAGGAAGAACTTAAAATGGTCATTATATTTTCAATATCATTTAGTGTTGTTGCTGCAAATGGAAAATGGAATGTCAGTTTGCCCAAAGGTACCATCAGCCTTCAAACCATCAATATTTCCTGTCAGACTATAATGTTGTCACCAATATTAGGCTAATTTTATTAATCAAACAAACAATTGCATTAAGCTTCTAAGCTTTGGCTAGAGGAGTAAAAATCGCATAACTTTGAAAAGTAGACAAATTCATGAAATGCTGTCTGTTTGACCTTCCACAGAAATTGTCCGAGCCATGACACATGTGATAAACCAAGGCATGGCGATGTACTGGGGCACCTCGAGATGGAGTGCTATGGAGATCATGGTAATTTAACTTCTATTTTTAAATGGCTATTGAGTACCTTATTATTGCTTTTCAGATGCCATGCATAAATTGCAAGATCTTTTGCAAACTTTTCTCACAATCACTATGGCACTGGAATTCTAGAATCAATTCCATCATTACAGAGATGGATATTGGAGCCGGAGCTCATCCGTTCAGAATACAACAGAGAATACAGTGTTCTTTGGTGGCAAGAGGGTAAAGTGAATTTCACAGCTAATGAGATATATTAACAGAGTATTCTAGTTTTCTTATAAAAAACTGTATTAACTATACTGTTTATACCAAGCTAATTACAGATACTTTTATATGTTAGTCTAAGTCTTATTTCTTTAGGAACTTAAAAATAGTTAAACTACATTTTCTTTATCGTAGTGTACAATTCACACCTTGACTAATTTGCTCTGGACTTAACTCAATCCAAACCCTCCCAAAGAATTAATAAGGGTTTCCTACCTTTCATATTGCTCTTAGTGAAATCGGTGGTGACAAATTTGCTTATTATTTGGCATCCTACATGTTTCTTGGTTTGTACTGATTTCACCAAAGTAAACATTTCTCATGCATACAAATTACAGCGAAGCCTTATTTCTCATCAGTATAAATTTGGTTGTAATCTCATTCCTCCCTAGGAAGCCTATTCTGTAGCAAGACAGTTCAATATGATCCCACCGGTCTGTGAACAAGCTGAGTACCATCTTTTCCAGAGAGAGAAAGTGGAGGTCCAGCTGCCAGAGCTCTACCACAAAATAGGTAATCTTCAAAATAAAAGCTACTGAGTATTTTTAACAAGAGAAAGATCACTGATTCGGGGAAAAAATAAAAACAGTGTTATTGAAATGCTTTCCTAAATGTCCCTAATTAACATAGACATTGTAAGAACCATGCATTCCAGAGATTGTAGCAGAATCAAAATGTAGCAGAATCTGCATTTAGTCTACAGGGTATCACTGATGAAAGCCAAGCAGAGTTGTAAATTGTGACTGGTATTTCAGCTGTACTCAGCAGGTGTTCAAAAAAAAAATGCATACTGAATAAAAGGAACAACCAATGAATAAGTTCATTTTTCATTGGTGCTTGCTCGAGTAAACAATGACTACCTTTCAAAAAAAATCATGGATATATACATCTGTATCCACTACCCTGGCCCTGGCACTGAGTTAGAAATGGGAAATTCAACAACTATTAAGTCGGGTACTATACATTTGTGCAGATAGAACTAATGCCTTCAGAGACAGGGGAAATATATCTATATATAATATACCCAAGAAATTTAGACATTAGGAAAAGATGAACAAGCCACATTTTCAGGCTTATTTATCAAAAGTTTCCAGAAATAACTTTCTTCCTAAGAAACAGAAGTTCATATGAGCAGGAAAATTCTGGGAAAAGGAGAAAAAGATAAAACTTCAATAACAACCGTAATAATTGTTATTATTGCTCTCACTTATTGAGTGTTTACTATGTACCAGGTGTGTGCTCCTGCTGTGTACCAGGCACTATGTTAGGTACTAAATGGACAAGGACAACAAAACTTCGTGGATGAGCCACATTTTTCAGGCTTTCTGATATGCACTCCCAAGAACTGACAGTCCATGTTTAATTGGCTGATTAAAGAATGAAACACAATTTGTAAGCTCCTAAATTGTAATGGAAAAAAATGCATGCTGATATTAACTCATTTATCTGGCCAGCTTTTCCCTATAACCTACCAAATTCTGTTTAAACACTACTGCCCCCACCGCCACCCACCTTTTGATCCCAATTTGCACAAGCAACTTTCTAAGTTTTTTCTTCTGTAGGTGTTGGCGCAATGACATGGTCTCCACTTGCCTGTGGAATCATCTCAGGAAAATACGGAAACGGGGTGCCTGAAAGTTCCAGGGCTTCACTGAAGGTATTTTTCTCAATGTCTAGAAAAAAGCCTGGGAGTAGGAAGGAGGGAAGAAGGTTGGTAAGAACAGCTCTGCAGCAGCCTAGGGCTTCCCAGCTCAGGCTGACTGTGTTGTCCAGGCCAGTGGCCTCTGGCAGGTTCCCCTAAGCCTTCTGGAGGTCTTGGCTCCTGGCCAGGTATCAGTCAGTCCTTCATAATCTGACTGCGTTGAATATTCTCTTCTTCTGGGGACTAGGAAAAAAGTGCCCAGTGACCTGATTGGACTTGCAGGGCTCAAATTCCTACATTGTTTTTTATTCTTATATTAAAGAAAACATTCCATCATTTGAAACTGATAAAATGCAAAATCTCTTTTCTATATAAGAGGATTCTTACATTATTTCCTTTTCTTGACAAACAAAGTGTAAGCCATAAAGGCTTAATCCATATGAGGCCAAAAGTTGTAGCTGAGTATGGTTGACACTTTTTATTGTGTGTTGGGGGCAGTGGGTTAGAAGGGAAGACTTCAGGAGACAGATACATAGCAAAGCTTCTATCACTTAAAGCAGCTTAAATTCTGCTCTGAAGCAAAAAGATATTCAAGATCATTGACACAAAATTACCTCCATTCAGGACATCTTGATGACTAATTTATTGGAGAGTACTCAAAAATCTCTCCTTATTAATAACAACATGCCTGTTTTTAAAAACTTGAGAGAATGTGTAATAACATTAGAATCACAAATTACTCTCTATTGTCAAGGGAGAGAGAATACAGGCATTTAAAAAATCAGATAAACCGGAGTCCTTCTAAGAGGAAGTATAAGCCTGACACAACTTCTTGCCTCCATCAGCACTAAATTATTGGGAAAACAGCTCAAGTCAAGTCTGAACCACCAATCCTTTAATCATTGTGGCTGTGGCCACTGTGAGCTTCCCTAATCAGAACATTTTCAAGGCTCTAGGCCTTTGACTTTCCTTTCTCTGTGTAACAGTTGAGCTTTTGCTTGTTTGTTCTCTAAAATAATACAACATGAATACGTCCTAAAGCCTGATGACATGGTCCTATTTCTAGTTTTGTATTATTACAAAAAACAATTTTCCTAGAATATTAAATAAGGTCTTGCTTCTGAAAATTAAAGATTGTTCTGAAACAAGTCTAAACAAGTCAGCAAAGACAGACTAAAAGCATCTTAGGAAAGAAGGTATAAAAAGAGGAAGGCAAGAAGGGAGTGAAGAAGGAAGGAAAGGAAGAAGGGAAGCACTGAGAATTACAATTTTACTAAGTACCTACTATGTGCCAAGCACTGAGCTAAGTGTTTTCATTCATCAACTTTTATTCTCACAAACAGAATGGATACAGGTGACTTTTAGTCAGTTGAGCTAAGCATGTTGTCATATGTTCTTTCAGAGGCTTGCTGAAAAATTCAAAGCATTTCTATATATGCAGAGTGTTTGTTCTCACAATAACCTGCTGAGAGGCAGACCATTTTCAGATGCAGGAACTAAAACACGAAGACCTTAAATAACAATCCAAGACCATAAACTCGTAACAGAAAAGGCTGATATTAGAACCCAGGTCTCCTGGCTCTCAAGTTAATTGCCTCCCTCAAAGACATCTTTATTTCTCTTTAAACCCAGGTTTTTAAAGGAGGAAGAAGTAGCTATGATGTATTTGGAGTGCATGATTGTCTAACCTCCATCACTGTTTGAGAAAAGCTTGCAAACAGCTGAAAAATCTTTCACAAATTCACTAGTGAAAGGAAAAAGAAAAAAAGAAAGAGTAATGAATGTTTGAAGGTGGCTAAGCCCAAAAGCAGCTTGGGAAATATTTCTATTGGTGACTTTTATAAAGTCAACTCTGTATCTACTGGAACATCCTTAACAATAAACATTAAGAGCTCTCAACAGATGAAAGGTGGCTGATCACAAAGTATGCTTCTTTAGAGCTCTGCAGACTCTCAAGGCTCTACATTATCAATCTGAGTGTTTTCGGAGTAATATATGTGCACTTATGAAAGCCACTTGAGTATCGTTACCAGAGCAAAAAAATAAAAAGTAAAGGAGGCAAGTATCAGAGCAACCTTTGGAGTGAATGAGGATGCCATGAAAGAGAAAGAGAAAGAAAAGAAAAGAAAAGAAAGAAGGAAGGAAGGAAGGTTAATTAAATTAAAAGATAGATATCTGGGCAAGTAGATAAATAAATTGGTAACGTTCATCCCACCCTAAAAGAGAATAAGTAAATAGTTTGTGTTTCACATTGGCTATTGTTATACTGATAAGATTAAGATGTTAATATTTTGCATCTGTTGTAGTACTGAACTGCAATTGAAGGATAAATTAACTCAGCATAAAAAATACCTATCTAGGGCTCTTTTAGAAAGTAACACTCTTTTTCTGGATTTTCTGGGCCCCCTCCTCTGGCCCCACTACTCTAACAATGATTTCTAAATTTGTGTTATCAGCTCTGACTTCACTGCTGAACTGCACAGCACTCCTTCTTTGTGTCTATTAGACATCTCCAAGTAGAAGTCCCATGGGCATCAGTCATGCCTAATGGAATCTATCCTCACCCCCAGAACCTGCCATTCCTTCTTGCTTAACAGTGCCTCCACCCATCCATCTGGTTGTCTCAGTCAGAAGCCAAAGCATTACCTCAGACTGCCTCCTTTCCTTCCTTATTCCTGTTCAACAAGGCACCAAATCCTCCAGACTCTATCTTGACTCTAAGATCCATCTTGTGCACAGCCCTTGTTTGGATCTTCACCATTTCTTACAAGATTTACTGTAGTAGCCTCCCATCTGGACTCTGATTTCCTCCCCTTTTCTCAACAACCCACCATTGTGACTACTTAATCTTTTTAAAATATTAATCTGACCATATCATAACCCTGCTTAAAATCCTCTAATGATTTCCCAATCATTGCTTATAGGACAAAGCCATAACTTTGTCATAAAGCATTCAAGGAAATTCCCTTGGGATCTAAGTTGAGCCTATTTTTTTTCATTTGTGTCTCCCATATCATACTACTTCATTTTCCATGCAAATGCACTGTACTCTCCTTTGCCTCCCAGAAATGTCCTTCTTTTCATTCTCCTGTGGAATCCCTTCTTATTGCTAAAGACAAAGCTTGGTTGTCTTCCTCTCTATGAAGACTGTCATAACTTTACAAAACTGAGCTATTTGTACCTTCTCTATTATTCCACGAACACTTCTTACAGGGTCTTCTAATTCTCTGGTTGCGAGTAACAAAATCTGATCAGAGAATGGGGACTCTATTGGTTCACAAAGACAATCCTTGAGAAGTACGGAGTGGCCTCAGCAATGACTGCATCCATGGACTTGTACATTGTCATGACTTTCCATCTTCTCTATTTCTCTCTACATGTGGGTGTCATTTTCTTCTACTATAAATGAGGCCAGGAGCAGGAAAACTGGTGGTTGCAGGCTTGCATTTCTAAAGGCATGTAACCTAAGATAAAAGCAATCTTTTCTTTACCAACTTCAGTCCAGAGATGACTGGACAAGCTTAGGTCATGTGCCACCCTGTGAGACCAATGACAGTGGCCAAAAGGGTAAGGTACTGTGATCAGCTCAGGTTGTGCACCATCTTGTCATGGCATTTTCCATTAGAAGGCAGTAAAGACATAGCTTGTAAGGAAATCATTGACAGGAGTGGAACCCCAACAAAAAAACACTTCCCATGTTACTAGGTAATGATTTGTGAATACATCTAGGACACAAACTGAAACCTGCTCATCTGACTCATCACAGAGCCTGATGAGTACGTAAGAGGTACATAAGTCTTTGTTAAATTAATTTGATGAGCCATAACAAAATCAATAAAGTCTGATCAAGAGACCAGGTGTATAGCTTCTAAATAGAAATAAATAGTGCAATAAAATTTATTGGCAGCTCCTCCCTGTTGATGGCAAAATGCTTTCTAGAAAAATTATAGGCCAGGTGTGGTGGCTCATATCTGTAATCCTAGCACTTTGGGAGGTGGAGGTGGGCAGATCGCTTGAGCCCAGGAGTTTGAGACCAGCCTGGGCAAAATGACGAAACCCCATCTCTACAAAAATACAAAAAATTAGCCAGGTATCATGCTCACCTGTAGTCCCAAATACTCAGGAGGCTGAGGTGGGAGGATCACCTGAGCCTGGGAGGTCAAGGCTGCAGTGAGCTGAGGTCATGCCACTTCCCTCCAGCCTGAGCAATACAATGAGACCCTGTCTCGAAAAAATATTACAAAATTATGTACCCCTCTGTCAAAGAAAAATAAGAAGCATGCACACCTCGATGAATCAAAGTTGGGAGAGAGGGGTGGTCCAAGTACATCAAGTGTTCATATTAAGAAACTAAGCATATTGTACATTATGGTAAAATTTCAGAAGGCAAGTTTTCGGCTCTAGCATTTTACCTAGAGATCTCAACCTCATTAGTGACTTTGTTTTTGTTTTGAGTCAAAGACTTTGAAGTTTAAGTAAAATAGTCAACGATCTTGGTTGTTAAATTATTCTAGACAGTGTTCAGAACTGAAATGTGACTGATTCTGTCCATGGCTCCAGTTTCAGCCTGAGTTCAATCCAAGATTAACTAACAACTAATTAGGGATCTGGGGCAAGTCTCACAGACTATTCTTACCCCAATATCAATACCTATGAAATAGGGACATATAAAATCATCATAGCATTGGGAGAGGGCAAAGAAATAGGCTTTAGGAAAATTTAGAGTTTTGTAACATACATAAAACTAATAGCCAACTAATCTGTAGAGCAAAGCTCATTCAATTGTCCCTTTGACAAATATTTAATGAGTATACCCAGACTTTGTGCTGGGTGCTGAGGACACAGGGATGAATGGGACAGTCTCAACCCTCAAGGAGTAGCTCCGGGACTTGTAATAGGGACAGACATATGAAGGGGTGAATTATGAAATAATATGGAAGCCACAAGCCCTGTGGAGTCCCACAGGACTGCTGGCAGAGTCACACTGCATTGGGGAGGAGGTGTCATGATCAATCTGAAAAACGGGAAGAGATTTATTTTGACTCCACGGAACTCTGGTTTCTCTGCCTCCTCCCTGACCACCATATTGGTTGAGCCCCTCCTCCTTGCCAGCCATAAGTGTCAGAACTGGAGATGCTGACATGAACAACAAGCCATCCCTGGCTTCTATCTGCTAGGTTTAGAAAAACCAACATGTAATCAAATCATTGCAGTGCAGTGGGGTGATAGAATAGGGTTGGATGAGGAGATTTCACCTTTTGATTCATAGATTACTGTCCAGTCAGCAAGCAGGGTTTATTACTGCCACAACCACACCCACCTCCAACCTTCCTACAAAACACACTTGTTTGCTTCCATATTTAATTAACATTTTAATTAAGCCTCATCTCCTATCTCTGCTAACATTTTCTCATTTGTAAAGCAGTTAAAGCTGTTTATTTCCAACACACTTTTGTTTCCTTTGGTATGAGGAAAGCAGTATAAAAACTATGCATCTACTTTTTAAAAACCCTAATCTGCTTGTATTTCCATAGGTTAAAGCAACAATGAGATTTATGGTGTTGAACATGGATTGGGACTCAATAAATAATTGCTTTTTTCTTTTTAATTTTTTTTTTACTTTTGGAAGTCTGTCTCTGAAAATGGTGTGTATGTGTGTGTCACACACATACACATATACACACACACATAAATAGAACTTGTAACCCAATCCTAAGAAAGAGAATGCACTGCATACAAGATTTCAAAAACGGAAAAGTTACAAAAGATTGATTGATAAACCAACCACTCTTTACATGCATGGTATATACTGAAACTCAGAAATTCTAATACTAATAAGAAGCAATTGTTCAAAAAGCAGTTGGCTATTAGTTTTCAATCTTTGTTAGTCGGTTTGAATAACATTCAGAGATATTGGTCCTCTGAAAGATGTTATGAAACTTTAGTGAGGATTGGTGATGTTTTTCCCACTGAGGACACCAAAAGTAAGTTCAGGGACTCTCTGACATAGACAGCACTCTGGCCCAGGAAGTCTGCCCCGGCCCCAAGGCAGTGTCCATTGTTCACAATGCCCACCTCATCACCACTGGCACCAAATGTCATCTCTGGAGAGATGCTCCAGGCCACTCTTCTTTTTGAAGAAGCTGAGGCTTCTCAGAGCTAAGGCTGGGAAAACTTTAGCCATCTCCTCAAGCAGGCTACCAGGTTAGGAGCCAGCCCATAAGCCTTTGAGATTTAGGAGACAAAACTGGGGCGGCTTGCCCTTCTCCTTTTCTCATCGGCAAAATAACTCAAAAAAATCACAATAAAACATAATGTGGTTACCCTTTTCTTTGGAAATATTGTCTTAGAATAATGAAAAAATGCTCAAAAAACAAAAGCCAGCAGCCTATTGAAATCATGTGGGTGCAGTGTCCATGGCCCACTGCCTGTTGCAGAGCATTCTGCGGTCTCTGGGAAGATAAAGATCTGCGATGGCTATTATGTATTATGTCACAATTACACGCAAGAGAGAAAGTCCACATTACCACACAGTGTGATGATTTTTAATTGTTTTCCCTAAAACAGACTAACACTCTTACAAATACTCTTTTCCCCTGGGTGTTGCTGCTTAAGTGCTCGCTTTATGTAGAAGAGTCTATTGTTCCCTTTCTCATAGTAAGAGCAGAGCCTTCTGGAAACTAAGGCATTGAGAAGTTCTAAAAGATTTTTATCTTTATATTTAGGAAATTAGGTTCATTTTGTAGTCTATAGATCAGGGTCAGTTTCTTCTCATTGGCTTTAAAGAATAGTTTCCTGTTTTGAGTTTCTTTACTTTTTTAAGTTTCAATAGTTATACAATAGGTAATAACATTTGCAAAGTCTTTATCTACTTTAAAATTTTAAAAACCAACTCAGTACCTATCAGTTATGCCATGTCTGCTTCTAGGAAGAAGCTGCAGAAGCTAACAACAAAGCCCCATTATAAAAAGAATAAGAGATTAGCAGTGAATTGAAAGCACGGGGGAGAAAAATAGTTAAACAAAAATGTAAAATAGTGGTTTTCTTTGAGCAGAAAGCTTGGCACCCAGCTTTCTTAATAAAAAGGAGACATAATAGATCTTGGTAAGTTGTAAATGTACTTTTTTTTTTGCTACATTCTAAAGTTGGGCTATCCCAATAAAAAACGTTACTTCTTCTATTGGACAGGCTAGGATTTAAGTGCTTGTATGTCACGGTCAGGGTTATAACAACTTCTGTGCAGGCTGATCAATTTGAATGGTGAATATTAGTCAAAATCAATCTGTTTTGAACCAATAAACAAGGAGCAAGATCGTGAGGAACATTTCTTTGCATGAAATCATCCCTGTCAGTGTGAAACATAAGGGTCAAAAAATTCAGAAAATCATTATGAGGTTCACATATTTTATTGAATTACCATTCTTTGACATCAGATCTTTACCAGACATTAACATTTCAATGTTATGCTTTTCCCCAGTGCTACCAGTGGTTGAAAGAAAGAATTGTAAGTGAAGAAGGGAGAAAACAGCAAAACAAGCTAAAAGACCTTTCCCCAATTGCGGAGCGTCTGGGATGCACACTACCTCAGCTAGCTGTTGGTAAGAAAATTACTAAGCTATGGGGTGGTAGAGGGACTTCTGCTGAGATCATAGTTTTCTATTGCTGACCACACCCTTACCATGATAAAATGTCTATTGCAGGGACAGATGATCTCTGAAGCATAAACTCCTGCTAAATATAAAGTGAGTTATTTGAGGTTCCCCAGAATTTTCTACATGATAGCAAATTTTTCTTACTTCTTTCTCCTTGCTCTTATAACATAGTTTAAATGAGAACATGTCAGTGATAACATACACTATCACAGATGTCAGGGGTGAACTGTGTAGTGACATCCATTTCTTCTGGCTCAAATTTCTGTCTGTTGAAAACTAAACCAGGGTTGGTGAGAAGATGAGATACAGGGCTGTGACAGGCCCAAGGCTACTGCCACATGAAAAGCTGATCCTAGAGAAATAGCTTCACCCTGAAAGTTCTTGAAGGCCATAAACGTTGTTCTTCTAATGCTGTGGAGTCCATGAAAGGTCATGATTGCTGGTAACAATTGAAAACCACACGCGGCTGGGCACGGTGGCTCATGCCTGTAATCCCAGCACTTTGGGAGGCCAAGGTGGGCGGATCATGAGGTCAGGAGATCGAGACCATCCTGGCTAACACAGTGAAACCCCGTCTCTACTAAAAACACCAAAAATTAGCCGGGCGTGGTGGTGGGTGCCTGTAGTCCCAGCTACTTGGGAGGCTGAGGCAGGAGAATGGCGTGAACCCGAGTGGCGGAGCTTGCAGTAAGCCCAGATTGCGTCACTGCACTCCAGCCTGCGTGACAGAGCAAGACTCCATCTCAAAAAAAAAAAAAAAAAAAAAAAAAAAAAAGAAAACCCCAAACCACATCCACTGTTTGAGAGAAAGATAATATGAACCACATTCAATCATGGGTGTCTCAGTCAACGACGGACAACATATATGTAGGTGATCCCATAAGATTATAATGGAGCTGAAAAATTGCTATTGCCTAGTGATGTTGTGGTTATCCTAAGGTCCGAGTGCAATGAATTACTTGTGTGTTTGTGGTGATGCTGGTATAATAAACAAGCCTACTGCACTGCCAGTAATATAAAAGTCTAGCACACACAATCATGTACAGTACATAATACTTGATAATGATAATAAATGACCATGTTACTGGTTTATGTATTTACTATACTATACTTTTCATCTTTACTTTAGAGTGTTACTCCTTCTTACTAGGAAAAAAAAAAAGTTAACTGTAAAACAGCCTTATGCAGGCCCTTCAGGAGGTATTCCCCAAAGAGGAATTATTATCACAGGAGATGACAGCTCCATGTGTTTTACTGCCCCTGAAGACTTCCCAGAGGAACAAGATGTGGAGGTGGAACATAGTGATGGTCCTGACCCTGTGTAGGCCAAGGCTAATGAGTGTGTCTGTGTCTTAGTTTTTAACAAAAAAAAAAAAGTTTAAAAAGCTAAAAAAACACTTTTTAAAAATAGAAAAAAAGCTTATAACAATATAAAGAAAATACTTTTGTACAGCTGTACAATGTGTTTGTGTTTTAAGCTATGTTATTACAAATAAGTTCAAAGGTTTTTTTGTTTGTTTGTTTTTTGTTTTGAGACGCAGTCTCGCTCTGTCGCCCAGGCTGGAGTGCAGTGGCGCGATCTCGGCTCACTGCAACCTCCGTCTCCCAGGTTCAAGCGATTCTCCTGCCTCAGCCTCCTGAGTAGCTGGGATTACAGGTGTGCACCACCAAGCCTGGCTAATTTTTGTATTTTTAGTAGCGAAGGGGTTTCACCATGTTGGTCAGGCTGGTCTCTAACTCCTGACCTCGTGATCCGCCTGCCTTGGCCGCCTAAAGTGCTGGGATTACAGGCATGAGCCACTGTGCCCAACCAAAAGCTTTTTTAAATTAAAAGTTTATAAAGTAAAAATGTTACAGTTAGCTAATGTTAATTTATTATTGAAGAAAGAAAAATCTTAAAAATAAATTTAGTGTAGCCTAAGTGCACAGTGTTTACAAAGTCTATGGTAGTGTACAAGAATGTCCCAGGCCTTCACATTCACTCACCACTCACTCACTGACTCACCCAAAGCACCTCCCAGTCCTGCAAGCTCCAGTCATGGTAAGTGCCCTACACAGGTATACCATTTTATACCATATTTTTACCATACCTTTTCTATGTTTAGATACACAACACCATGTGTTACAGCCGCCTATAGTATTCAGTACAGTAACATGCTGTACAGATTTGGAACCTAGGAGCAATAGGCTATCCCATATAGCCTAGATGTGCAGTAGGCTATACCAACTAGGTTTGCATAAGTACCCTATGATGTTCACACAATGAGGAAAACGCCTAACAATGCATTTCTCAGAACGTGTCCCTGTCGCTATGGGATGCATAACTGTATCTTATTTTAAATTTTCTAGTGACCACATTAAAACATTAAAGTGAAACATGTGAAATTAATTTTAATAATGGATTTTCTTTAACCCAATATAGCCAAAATATTATCATTCCAACATGTAATAAATATTAAAAATTGAGATATTTTACTTTGTTTTCTACAAATCTTCAAAATCCAGCATATATTTTACACCTAGAGCAAGCACATTCCAATTCAGGCTAGACACACGTTGCATGCTCAATAGCCACGTGCTGCCAAAGGCTACACACTGGGCAGAAAAGCCCTGAGACTTCTGGTTCCCTTACTAGGGGATATTTGTCAGGTTCTATAGTAAGCACCTCAGGCTCACTCTCACTGTCTTGTCTCCTTCATCACCATAACAATCCGCGGAGGTCTATACTATTACTAGTCATATCTTACCGATGCTAGTGGAGGATTTTCTATTACTATCTCCACTTATAAATGAAGAAATGAGATAAAAGAATTCATGTGGTAGCTATGAGAAAGGAATAAAATGGGTGCTGATTCTAGACAAAAAAAAAAAAATCCTAAAGATTAAGAAATAGCAGGAATTGGGACATATCAGAAACACTAACCCAATGAGATAAAAAGCTCAAGATAAGGTCTATGCAAATAAAATAATTTAATAGAATATTTGTTGGTAGCTTGACTCTTCAGAGGTTGGAAGGCAGAGAAATGTTAGTTGCAATTAGCAGTCATAGAAAGATAGAAATGGGAGGTGATTTTAGAGGGGGGAAAATGCCATGTACCGTAGTATATGTATGACTGGTGCTTTAATCCTTTCTTCAAAAAATAAAATAAAATCAAACAATGTATTTAATGTTATTACTTAGCAACTCTACAGCTTTAACAAGCACAGTAAAACATATTAGCTATTTGACCACAGGCAAGTTACTTAACCTGGTAACAATTTTCTCATCTGTAAAATGGGTATAATAATACATATCTTACAAACTAGTTGAGTAAAGGGAAATTATATATATAAAGCAAAAAGTAGGTGCTCAGTGAGTGCTAATAAAGATGATAATGTTCTTGCAGAGAGTAGACATGCAAAACTTGAAATTCTGTCTGCTCTTAGCCATGGCAAGCAATCAGAGTAATATGCAGAGAAACATATTCTGCACAATCATATATGGTTTTTAGATAGTAACATGAAGTATTAAACTTAGCCCTGAAAGACAGGAAAGAACACTCTCTTTCTACAGAGGAAATCTTTACAAGATTTAGACTCTTACTAGATATTAGATATACATGAAATGCCTTCTTTACAGGATCTGAGTTTAAATTAAAACATGCTTTTTTTCCCCTTTTCCTCCTGTCCTCTCAGATGTCTTTCTCACCTGTCACTTCTTTCTTTGTAAATAAATAATTTTGTTTATAGCCACAAAACTCTCAGAATCAAAAGGGAAATTATTTCCAGGCACGTTATCTTTGATCTGCTAGGAGAGTGTGGGAGAGGGATCCTCCGGCAGAAAGCAAACTACTTGAACCCAACTGTGTGCCTGCTCCCCAAGTCACACAGGTATACTGGAGCCAGCATTCATACTTTGTTCTTAGTGAACAGGCACTCTGGACATACTTGCTAGTGACACTTGGTTAGAGGTGCTAATTATCCAGAATCAGCTGCAGTTGCTACCATGGAAGTAACCAGCTCTGCCCAGTGGGTTCTCCTGTGCCCTACAGGCCCATTAGGGGAATCAGCTGTTGGTGACCTCGAGTAGTCAGGTAGTTTATGGGCAATAATTTACCTAGAACCTGCTTTGTCCTCAGAACTACCTTTAAGGCCAAAAATAGTTCTCAGTGCAAAGCAGCAAATAATGCAGTCAAAAAAAAAAAAAAGAGAGAGAAAGATTGGATTGGTACTTTTATACAGCACTATTTTGTATTTTGCCCATGTGGAAATTCAGTGATTACCATAAAAGGCCTGGACACGGTAACAGCTTAAGAGTATCAGTTGACAATATGGCTGTCCAAATGGGGGCAGAAGATGTGCTTGGGGACATCCATCAATCATCCATGCCTATGTTTATTCAACAAACATTTAATAAGTTCCTACTTTGTGCAAGACACTGGGCTGGTGGCTGAGCATCCAACTGCAAATAAGGCATACCTCACAGCCTGGTGGGCAAGTCAAGAAAATAAACAGATAATTTTAATACAGGTCATCATATTAAGAAGGGAACAGGGGATAAGGGAATTAGAGTAGGAGCTTGGAATTCAGGGAAGTACTTTAGGAGCAGGCAATACCTTTGGGGAATCTCAAATGACAGGCAAATATTAGTGAGGCAAAAAGAAAGGGGAAGGCAAAAGGACATTCCAGGCAAAAGGAACAGCTTGAGCAATGTGCCCCAGAATGAAGGGAGAGGAAGAGGAGAAAAGCAGCAAGATGCTTGGAGATGGAGAGGATTTAAAGACAGGTGAGTGCTCCTGAAGCACAAAGTTCAAGGTAGGGAGCCATGAAGCTGCAGAGGTAGGCTAGAAAATAAGGTTTGCCAAGGTAAGAATTAAGAACCTCATCTTACAGGACAATGAGTTATGTCAGGCACTAGCTAGGGAAGTGATATGATCAGATTTGTGTTTAGAGAGACTGCTGCTGGCTGGATGAGAGCTGTATGGGGGAAATATAAGGGGACAATTCAAGCAAGAGGTAGGAAAACCAGTTATCCAGGAGAGAGATGGTGAGGGCCTGAGTGAGGGCAGCAGTGACTGAGGAGGAGAAGACAGCTGAACCGGAGAAGACAGCTGAACCAAAGCAGTCATTGTCAAACTGAGCCCTGTATCCACACAATGGAATACTCTTTAGCAACAAAAAGAAATGGTATACGGGTACATAGTGCAACACGGAAAAACCTAGAAAACATATGCTAAGTGAAAACCAGACACAAACGACCACCTATTGTATGATTCCATTTAGATGAAATGTCCAGAAAAGACAAATCTGGAGACAAAAAGTAGATCAGTGGCTGCCTGGTACTTGAGGTAGGGATCTTATTAGGGTGATGGAAATGTTATAAAACTGCATTAAAAATGGTGAAGGTTGCACCTTAAAAATGATGGTTGGTAAATTTATAAAAATTATTTAATGTACACCTAAAATGGGTAAAATTTTTGATGTATAAATTTTACCTCAATAAAGTTGGTTAAAAAAAAAAAAAGAGCATGGTCCCAGATAGCAGCATCAGCATAAGCATTACCTAGGAGTGTGTTAAAAATGCACAGACTGCACCCCAGACCTGAATCAGAAACTCAGCGGGTGAGCCATAACAATGGGTGTTTCACAGGCCCTCTGGATGATTCTGATGCATACCAAAGTTTGAAAACCACTTGATTAGAGGAATATTTAGGAGGAATAATCAACTGGACTTAGCAGTTAAAAGGGAAAAGGGGGTCAGAACAGGACAGTTCTTAAAGAGTACTCCCAGGTTTCCAGATTGGGGAGCCACATTGCTGGTGATGCCCCCAAATGTGATTGGGAATGCAAGAAGGCCAGGCATTATAGCAAGAAGTTTGCGGTGCTGGTGGGGCATCTAGCAGGAAGGCCCAGCAGACACTGCATCTATGAGTCCAGCAACACTGAGTTCCAGGCAGCTAAGGACTCAGAAGTCCACTGTAATCACCAGCAGGCTCCTGGGGACCTTAGCTTCTGGACACAGCAAGAAGGTGACTGGGATGTGAAGAAGATCAGTAAGGGAATCTGGACTGACCTTTTAGAAGTTTAAGAGGGGAAGAAGGTTGGGGCAGTATCTAAGCAGGTAAAAAGGGTCAGAGGAAGCCTATTCTAGAATGGGAGAAATTTTAGCATGTTTTGTTGACAGAAAGACACAGTAAGAAATTTTGAAATGGGGTGATGGGGGCGGTGGGATCATGTATGAATCAAGTCCAAGAAAAGGCAAAAAGGAGATATCTCCAAGGCAGAGTTTGGTCTTGGACAGAAACCGCACACATCCTCTTCTGAAACTGGAGGATATGGATGTGGATGCTTATGCAGCAGGAGAGTGGGGAATTAAGGAATATTCCAATGGAGGGACTTGATTTTCTATAGACATTAGGACAAGGTCATCTACTAAGAGTGAGGGGGCAGGGGTTGATGGGATGGTTTAAGAGTACAGGTTTAAGGTCATTTTCGGGAAAAGAAAGATGACCAAGGGCAAGAGTGAGGCTGGCCAGGCTGGCTAAAGCCAGCTGGGAGGGAAGACGTGAACGCATAGGGGCACCAGACCATGAACTGTGAGATTCTCTCTAGCACGCTCAGCTACCCTGAAGTAGAAGCCAAAAACGCAGATGCAGCACTGATGGGGATTTGCTAAGGAAGCAGAAGAAGTGAGGGGTGTGAGGGTTCATAAGAGAGTAATTTAGATCATCAACACAGGATGAATCTTGGGTTAGGAAGAAAGGGAGGTCCAGAGAGGGCTGCCAGGTAGGTGGGAACCAAGGAACCAGAAACCTAGAGTCTACAAGAGTTCCAAGCAACAGATGTGGAAAATGAGACCATGAATACAGTGGAAAGACAGGAGGTTGTGGGCCAAGGTAGAAACAGGAATCCAGCCATCTGCTGGTGAGCAGTGTTAGGTGTTTCCAGGAACAATGTGTTTCTAGGGTGGGTAGCTTGAATGCCCTGGTTGAGGTGACAGGGCCTTATGTGGAAAGCAAAAAGGCCTTAAGCCCCGAGCCAACCCAAATGCATTGAGTGTTAATTAAGAGACATATAGTAGGCTAGCAATTGGAAAACCAGCGGAGAAGCAAGAAAGACAGCAGTGCATCTGTGTTTTCTGCTTCTACTTGAGGGCAGCTGAGCGTGCTGGAGAGAATCTTACAATCCATTGTCCAGCGCCTCTATGCATTTGCATTTCCCCTCCCAGCTGGGCTTTGACAGATTCTGTCAAATCTTCTACACAACAGGGGGTGCTGCTCAGGTTTTTAATCCTAGGAAGCACTGTACATCCTCCACAAAAAGAAGTTAATAAATTTTGGCTGCAACAAACAGCTGTAGCAGGTGTTTATAAGCTAATCAACGATTGGAAGTGCTTTGATAAACTGACCCAGTGTCCTCTCCTCCCAGCGTGGTGCCTGAGAAATGAAGGTGTGAGTTCTGTGCTCCTGGGATCATCCACTCCTGAACAACTCATTGAAAACCTTGGTGCCATTCAGGCAAGTACTGCAGCCCCTTCCAACATCAGGGAATTTAATGGTGCCTTTGAGGCTATCTCCAGGCAGTGTCCCATCTCTCCCCCTCTCTGTCCTGGGTGGGGCAAGAGTAGGGGGAACAAAGGCAACAGAACACTTTCCCAGTACATGGATCCAGGGTTGTCCTCTGCCTATGAACAGGCAGTATTCCCAAAGCTCATTTCTTGGGATGGTTTGTTTCTGTGGAAGAGTGCATTGCAGTGTTATACGTGGCAACTGACTTCCCAGGCCTCGCCATAAAAGCCGGCCTGATAACTTGCTTGGAAATTTAAGTCATAGGACAATATACATACATCATTTACTTGTTTGTTCTTTCCACAAATATTGCCCACCTGCTGTGTGCTGAGCCCCTTCTTGCTGTTCCCTGAACATCTTGTATTCCCCCTCCCATGATCTTTTATGATAATGTAGTATAACTGCCTGTCTCTCCTGTTGGACTGCAAGCCCTCTGAGGTCAGACCTGTGTCTTTGCTTTTCCACGGTTTTCCAGTTCCTAGGGTACTTACTACATGTCCCTTAGTTAACACTCAAGATCTATTGAATAAATATTTGCCATGTTTTAAGAGAAATGGGCTCAAAATTCTATTTTGGACTTCCAGGATCACATCTCCCTAGAAGCAAATTTAGGAGGCCCATCCCCATTCCCTATCCCATGAGATGGCCACTGGTCCAGGGCACTAGATGGGGCCTGCAGCCATATTCTGGGGAGCCTGTAGTGGCAGTGGGTGGGTTGAAAGGATGTTCCTGGGAGCTCTAACTAGAGGGGTGGAGTTTAGTATCTATTGTGACCACCTCCTTTCCCCAAAGGCCACAACTAGTCCTGAGCCTATCCTACTCTCAACCCTGCTAAAAGCCCTAGGAACGATCCTGCCCACAATTCCTGCCATAGCCACTACCTGGTAAGGTTATCTATTTTTCTCTTGCTCATGGAGGAAAAGAACTGTCTCACAGCTTCTTCCCTATCTACCTGTCCCTGCAACAAGCACACAGCCCTGTTACCATTCCCAAAAGGAAACAGGTGGAGGTAGCAACAAACATGATTTAAAATCTTTTTTAAAAATAGCCCAGAATACACTGTGGAATAAATGGTATAGATCCCTGCCCATTCCCCCAACCTTTCTTAGGACTGTGCAGCCGTGTAATCACCTCTGCCTCTCTGCTTCTAACAACTCCCATATCCAGCCCCATAACTCCTACTGGATTCTGTGAGGTTCCCTGTAGCTACGTGAGGAATTCTCCCTCTTATGTTCATTTATGCTCTGGGAAAAGATAAGGGTACACAGTGATGAGGGGACAGAACAGTTTGTACAAAAAAGAACTGAAATTCAATCCAATGATTTCAGTTTCACTAATATTTATGGAGCACTTATTCTATGCCTGGCATCGTGCTAGGCAGTGGGAGGACTGAGATGAGTAAGAACAGGACCTGGCCTTCAAAGAGCTCATGTGCTGGCTGAGAAACAGTGAATTAAAATATCTATCCCTTAATTCATTCAACAGATCTTTGAGAGCCTATTGTATACCAGGTACTGGAGATAACACAGGAAAGAAGAAAAACACTGTCTAACCTTCAAGGGATGTTTTACGTGCCAGTAGGAGAGACAGATAAATAGCAAAATGATTTCAGGTTATGAAAAGGGCTATTAAGTAAATAAATGTTTATTTTACTGAGACTGAGAAATGGGTGAGCCTACATTAAATGTTTTTGCAAAAAGCCCCTCTGGAATATGTTTATTCCGAGGGCTTCATGTGCCTTCATTTTTTACATTCTTTGACAACCATTCACAAGTCTTCACACAGCATGTGAAGAGTCCAGGAAAGTGCATTCCAGGGACAGGGAAGAGCAGTGGAAAGGCCCTGAGATGGGAAAGACCTTGACTTTTCCCAGGAACTGCCAGCTAAGGCCAATGTGGTCAACACGTAGTTGAGCACAGGGACAGCAGATGCACTGACGTGGAGAGACAGGCAGGGCCAGGTCTCGCAGGACACCATGGGGTTAGAGTTCATGCTACATGTAACAAGTCCTTGTGGAGGGTTTTAAGAGGAGGGACATGCTCCTATTTGAATGTCTGAAGGTCACTCTGGCTGCCATGCATAAAGTAGAATGAAGGGCAAGGGCAGTCATCCAGGCAGGAGGCGATGGTGGCTTGAATGAGGGTAGTGGCCATGGAGGGGGAGAGAAATGGATGGATTCTGCAGGTTTGGGAAAGAGAGACACCATGGCTTGGCAGAAGAGGGAGGAATTGAGGATTTTTATCATGCTAATACAGGGAGATCACTGCCATTCCTGGGGGCAGTCATAGTGCCTAGGGATGGCATATGAGGCAAGTCTAGGGCTGAGTTTTAAAAGCTGTGGAAATAGGCAAGGCAGCTGACAGGGAAGGGGACACATTTCAGAGGAAAACTCTTGAGTAATTTTTCTTCCCAAAACATTTCCTCCCTAGCAAGGCTTTGGCTGGCAGCAGGATGAGGCTTTGCCTATCCTAAAGGGGACATTATCCATGCAGCAAGACTGCTACCATTGCGGGCTTACCAATCCTCCCCTGTTCTACTTCACCTCCCCCATACCCAGCACTAAAGTCCACCCAAGACGAGTTGTGATTGGGCCCCACAACATGGTGAAAAGCAGACTGGGTGACTAGGGGTGCCCAGCAGTGGTGGCACTGGCTGCAAAAGGATGGAAAATACGGAGCACCAGCAGTTGTAAGAAAATATTTCTAGTAGGCTGGGAAGGCAGCTGCTTCAAGGGATGCCACGTGCCTAAGATGTGCAGGAACGAAGGGGCGTATATAAATCAGAGCCTGACAGATGGGAGAGACAGGAGGAGAAACCACAGCTGCAGGCAGCCCACCTTCACCTGCACAGGTTCCATCCTCCCCACTCCCACCTAAAAGGTGGGAGAACCGCCTCTCCCCCTCCTCCCCACATGCCTTAAAACCCTTCTGAGGCTTCCCATCACCCATCAGAGAAGGCCAGGCTCCACAGCAGTCGGGCCTCATCACTCCCCACCACACCTTCCTGGAATCTGAATCTTGAGCCGCTCTCAACCACTCAGAGCTTCGGCGATAACAGTGGCCCTCTGCCTACAAACTGACCACTATCCCAGCCTAGCAAAATCCTACTCCATCCCCAAGTTCCAGATCAATAGGAACCCAATCCTGGGAGGACTTTACTAATGCCCAGCCAGCCCCAGCAACATTAGCCAGACCTCCCCCAACCCACCACCTATCCCAGGCAGTGTAACATCAAGTTTGCAAAACTAGTAGCCTGTGGGGTGTTTGTAAAATCTGTAGTAGTTTACAATGTTTCAAAGTGGGGCTTCTCTTGAAAATTCTGGTCTTGTGATACTATGTCTTGTTTTATTCGAGTACTTTTATGGTTTCATTTTTTTAATGTTTAAATCTCTTTCCTATAGAGATTTGCTTTGGTGTAATGAATGAAGGATTCTTCTCCTCACGTGGCTAACCCGCTGTATTTTAGACAAAAAAAAAAATCCAACAAATCCAGTTTCTAGGTTTTTGGTCTCATTGTTACAATCTCATTTTAAATAACACATTAGCTGTTTGGACACTGAAATTCCAGAGCTAGTGGGAAACCAAATTCTTCCTTCAGCTTCAGACAGTAAAACATTAACCAGAATGAAGTTTCCCAGGCTGGCAGCTCTATTTTGCCAAACCCTAAGGCTTCTGAGGATAGCACTTGACTGGAGACAAGGTCACCTTGGCCAGCAGGATTGCAACAAAGGAAGAATGAGGTTGAAACCTCAGAATTGGTCGTCAGAATTGTATTTCACCACAGTCTCCACACAGGGTCAGACTTTTCCAGTGAGAAAGTCTGCCTTTGTCCCTTGTCTTATGGTGTAATGTGTACCCTTGGCCCACTTCTCACAGTAAATGCTAGCCTTGGATGAGCTCATCCTTTCCCGGGGCTTCAGTCAGCATGTCGGTGCAAATGACTCACAAACCCTCAACTCCAGTCCTCCGGCAGCTACTAAGCTCCACAGCTGCACTTGCAGCTGCTCAGTCACTCCTAGGTGGATATTCCACAGGCACTTTACACTCAACACATCCTATTCTCTCCCAACTTCTTATTCCCCAAACTACTTCTCCTTTGGTTTCTAATCTCAATAATCAATACCAATATACTTCTAGTTACTCAGTCTTGAAACCACCATCTTCCCCCAAAATGTCTCTCAGGTCCACTTTTCTGCTCCACTGCCCTAGTTAAGGCCCTATTGCCTGGCTTGGATTGTAATACATATCTAATATCTGTGTCCCCTTTCCACCTCCTCCAGCTCATCCTTCAAACTACCTCCAGGTGTCTGATAGGGTTACTCCTAGATCAGAAGTCCTGACAGGTTCCCCACTGCCTAAAGTGGGGACTCCATAAAATGGCATTCAAGGCTTTCCACACTCTTATCCCATTCTTACCATCCGTATCCTGTTCTTAGCATCCCCACACCTACACCAATCACTGTATACTATCACTCCAGTTCACTTTTCCATGCTATTCCATCTACCTGGGATGCCTGTTAAACCCCAGCCATCCTTCACCAGGGATAAGACCACCAGTCAGAATAAATCTCTCCTTAGTCTCTAGACCTGTGCTGTGTACTACTATGGTTCTAGCCACATGTGGCTATTGTATGCGGGAAAGATGGTGAGTCCAAACAGAGATGTGCTTTAAGTGTAACATGTTCACAAGATGTGACTTAGTACCAAAAACAACTGTCAAGTATCTTTTCTATATTGATTACATGTTGAAATAATGTTTTGGATATAATGAAGTAAAAACATGTATTAATTTCACTGTTCTTTTTAAGGTATCTAATAGAAAATTTTAAATTACAAATGTGGCTTGCATTATATTTCTGTTGGATAGAGCTGCTCTGTATTTCTATGAGCCTTCACTTATGCCTTTATGCCTTCATTTATGCAGTCAATCAACAAGGCCCCTGACCTCAAGGAGCTTACAATGTGATGGTGTTGGGGGCGGGGGGCTTAGATTTCAGCTGTGGTTTATGAAGATATATGATTCTAGATTACTTTGCTAAATATAGAGCACAAAAAACCGAATGATCAACACTGCTAACAATATCCTTTGTACTTCTCCTCCTGCTCTCAGGTTCTCCCAAAGATGACATCACATGTGGTAAATGAGATTGATAACATACTGCGCAACAAGCCCTACAGCAAGAAGGACTATAGATCATAAGGCAATGCATGAACCACAGAAGCTGCATGGTTAAAATAGCGGCCTGTGCCCAGTACAGAAAGGTGTTACTAACCAGTCTTTTGAATCACTTAGCAGCTTGCTGCTCAACCTCTAGTGTCCCTCCCTGGATTCTTTGAGGTGTCTGCTGTCGCTACCACTGTGCACATCTGAAAACTCACAACCAAGAAAATCCATTCTATTTTCTTATCTTGGACTGGAGTCACCTATTCTTGCATTGCTGTATACACCTCATGCTTATGCAATGGGAAGAATATGGGGGCCAGGGGGTGTGGTACTACCTTCAGGCATTTGGTAACTCAAAGAAGGCTGTACAGATATATTTTTTCAAAAGAACAAAATCCACAGATGCAATGTGAGTTGCGTAAGAAACAGAGTAGATAGACTAAATTCAGTGAAGGAAAGGAATTGAGAGATTTTTCTTAGTAAATAGATTATTGTTAAGTAAATAGTTATTAAAAATATATCTCACTGCAAAAAAAAAAAAGCAGTATCTTCACTCAAAAGTCTTGCTTGGAAGAATAAGCAGAAATAATTTTATATATTTTTTTTCTATTTTCACATTCATACTAACAAGTTTTGTTCCATTTGTTATTCAATAAAACAAAAATTTCTAGGTATTTGCTTTATTACCTTTCAAATATTTACTGTTGCTTGGCCCCAAGAATGGCCTTGTACAACTTATCCAGAATGTCTATTAGGATTCTAATGTTATGTCCACTTACAAGTAGAGACAGTAAAAGGATGAATACCCAATCTTTAGTGACAATGCAGCTGATTTATGAAAGAGAGGGCTACACTGCTATGGAAACTTAGCTTCAAAGAAAATGCAATGTATCTGCAATTAGGTGTTCATTTTTTACTACATTTTATTAAAACCTGCTTTATACTTTCAACTGCTTGTAGGCACAACTTCTGCAAGTTTAAATATTTGAGCTTTACAAATAAACATACACATGCTCAGTTTTTTAAGTAAACCTGTAAAATACCCAGGAAGGCAAATGTTCATTGTTTAATTAGCACTGGGATTTTATAATATAATGTTTGGTATTTTTGAGGCATTGTTAACATGAAAGTCAACCACTGGCTTTGTGAAAAATGCTATGTCACTATTCAGAATATGCTGGGTAAATTGACTTGCCTAGTGAAAAGCAAAATGTTAAAGAAAGAACTTCTGGTTCTATAATCATATTATATGCACTAAACTATATGCATGAAAGTTCTTTGCATGGATTAATGGGGCTTACCCTTGTTGCACTCGAAATCTGAGGTGTATCTAGCCCTGCCACTATTGGCTACTTACCCTCATTAATATCCCACTTGAGAAAAATTGTGAGACTATACTGTGTCAATATCTGTAAAAAGAGAGAAAACATGTTTTGTTTTTTTTTGAAGGGGGTGGTGTGGGAGTGGCCCTTTAACTCTATTTGGCTATCTGAGGATGTACAAAATTCTCATTTAATTTTCTGGTCAGCAAGTTCCCCACACAGAAATCACTCTGAGGTTTACAGAAGAACTGTAATATTATTTTAAAATGCGATTTTTCTGTCATTAGTTCTAGATATGTACTTCATGGTTAAATTCTAAATCTGAAAATGCTAGTGGGAGATATCAAGAAATTTTCTTTTTGATTACTAGTACCTGTATTCTAACAGAGAGTTTGAATTTTTTGCCCGTGTTATCAGAATGATGGAAATTGATCATTTTCAGTTGTTCATTGTGTATTCAATCCAGCGAACTGCTGTATGTATAGAGGAGCTGAGGTGCTGTCTAATGGGAAATGTGATTTGATTGATTTATTTGCTTAGAGTAATAAAAGCATTTTGTGCATTCAATCTTACAATAGATTTTATCTGATCTTTCACTGTAAGGCTTATGTGTATTTTCCATATATGTAAAACATACACATGTAAAATATATGTGGCCATAAATTAGGCAATAATCATCTAAATAAAAATTATATTGGCAGCTAAGCTGCACTGAATACTCAACAGAAATAGTAGTGATCAAAAGTCTGAGATTTAAATTGCAATCCAAACATATTCTATCATCAATCAATCAATGGAGATTAACTACTGAAGATACCATTTCTCACTGGGTTTTAGAACACTCCGCACTAAGGTTAAGGCTTCACAAATTCACTTTTAAAAACTTACTTGCAAATCAAAACCAAATATAAATATTATGGCTTAGCTGTGGGAACAGCCAGTTTTTTATATGCGAATCTGTCATGGTAAATATACTAATGTATTTCACAGTTAGTTAGTTAGTTAGTTATGTCCTTAAGAAAAAATTCCACGCACTCTTATTATTTTCTTTTCTCTTCCAAAAAGAATTCCCTGGCAGAGAATCTATCATTCCAAAAGGTAACCTGGGTACCAGCCATCCCTATATGGAAATCTCAGGCAAACTAGAAACCCTGTGTCTGGCTTCCCACTTTAAAAGAACTGTCACTTCATCTTCATGACAAGAGTGCCAAAGTCATGAGGCAGATGTCAGAGCCTGAAGGAAACTTAGCCATCTGCAAAGCCATCCCTCTTTGACAAACGAGCAAAGCAGGCCTGGACAGATGATGAAAAAACTTGCCCAAACTCACACACTGCTAGTTGATGGCAGAACCAGGCCTAGAACCCAAGTATTTTGTGTTCTAGTTCAGTGCTCCATTAGGTAGATTTTTTTTTCTTTTTAAGCTTTAAAGAAGAAGTTTTATGCAGAAATTGTTTGTGAGAATGTTGAAGTTAAAAAACATAGTTATTAATCCAAACTCAGAAATCAAACAGGGATAAGTCAGCGAAAAGATGATATATTGAAAATTCATGAAGGCCAACGAGAAGTTAGCCTCTATCGCCCTGAAAATTTAAACCAACCCCCCAAAAGACCCTCCTAATCTATTAATTCCTCTGCTTGGGAGTCCCAAGGAAGTGAAAGAGAATCCCTTAGAGCTCTGATACATCTATAAATTGGTTTTCTCCATAAATGTACACATACATGTATCCTTCCATCCTGTCTCCAGAAGCAGCAGTGACTGGCATGCACACTGAAAACAAAGAAATAGGGCAGGCAGGAAGGCACAGCAGGTACATACTGGCAGAGGCCTGATGTCTGCCCTTTACTGTAACTGCTCAATGCCTTTCATTGCCTCACATACATTTGATTGGTAACTACAAAGATGTGCATTTACATGTGTGAGATATTAAAATGATGGTTACATGTATACATATGTACCAAACCTGCATGGTCAGCACATGTATCCCAGAACTTAAAGTAAAATAAAAAATAAAACAATTTGAAAAAAAAGATGGTTAATGTAAAATAATATAATAAAGATTACGTACTTCATCATAGGATTCTTATAAAGAAGTGTAGGGAAAATACAAATTTTAAGAAGCAAAGTTTAATCATACTTATTAAGCAAGACTTTTCACAAGAATTGAGTATAAATTCAATCTCCATATTTCAGTTAACTTCAAACCTTGTTTCAAATTATCCTTTCCAAGTTTCAATAATATGGCAAATAGGACAACCAGTAAACTTTTATTGCTTAAGAATATCAATCTAGGCCGGGCGCGGTGGCTCACGCCTGTAATTCCAGCACTTTGGGAGGCCGAGGCAGGTGGATCACGAGGTCAGGAGATCGAGACCATCCTGGCTAACAGGGTGAAACCCCGTCTCTACTAAAAATACAAAAAAATTAGCCGGGTGTGGTGGCGGGCGCCTGTAGTCCCAGCTACTCGGCAGGCTGAGGCAGGAGAATGGCGTGAACCTGGGAGGCGGAGCTCGCAGTGAGCCAAGATAGAGCCACTGTACTCCAGCCTGGGTGACAGAGCGAGACGCTGTCTCAAAAAAAAAAAAAAAAAAAAAAGAATATCAATCCAAGATTTTTATTAAGTTAAAATGAAGGAACTAAAAATAGGTAAATGAAAATGTTATAACACTTTAGTGCTATTTATGAGTATGAACAAAGGAATTTAATCACTTTGAATCCCAATTACAGATGAATCTTTTATTTCATGGGTGCTGGGTATGTGGTCTTTTTAAGACAAAAATTCTACAGCATGGTTTTACTAAGTCAGATTGAGTAGGTCGCATCTCTGTGTGCCACACAGAACTTTTAGACAAGAGTAGAGGGGAAAAGGTTCTGCAATTCCTCACAGTAAAGTACTCACACAGTAAATCCTTAACGAAAACTACTGAACTGTGAGTATATGCTTTATAATCTTATGCACAGAAATGTATCTATTAGTACAGAAAGTTGGAAAACATCAAGATTAAAAACAGTGCTGTAGGAAAAATTCACAACAGTAAACAAATTTTGCTCACTCATTTTCCTACAAATCTTCAGTTTATTAATTCAAGAGAAACTATATTAGGAATATTCGGCTGATACCCCTATTTCACCACCTCATCTAAGCTACACTGTATTATACCAAGAATGGTGGCAATTTTTTCCCCATCTATACAGGCACTGCCATCTAGTGGCAAGTTTTCACCAGCAATTTTAAAAGATAGTGGCCCAACTCTGGTAACAAATAGTGGACACTGATGGTTTGTCAAATAAGCAAATGCATTTATTTGATACACAAATTCCATGCCACCAGTCAAACTATGGTCTGGCTTTTTTTTTTAACCAACAGTAAAGAAAACTTTTTGGGTTTTTTTGTTTCTTTTTTGAGATGGAGTCTCACCCTTGCCACCCAGGCAGTAGTAGCACGATCTCGACTCACCGCAACCTCTGCCTCCTGGGTTCAGGCAGTTCTCCTGCTTCAGCCTCCCAAGTAGCTGAGATTACAGGCGCCCACCATCACGCCTGGCTAATTTTGGTATTTTTAGTAGAGACGGGGTTTCACCATGTTGGCCAGGAGTTCAAGAAAAGTTTTTTAAAAATAATAAACCTCTAAAGTGTTACCCTAACTGTACCTTACAGTGATATGTGACTTCTCTAGTCACTCCACATTATCCAGTGATGGCACCTAGATAATAATGCACCAAAGAAAAGTAAAGAATTGCAGACTTCTAGAAGCAATGATGAAATATAATTCTCAGTTGCAGAAAATGATGATCTGGGTCATTATGCAAATGCATTCCTGCCTGTTTTTCTTCCAAGTTCTTGCATGGAGCCCAACACATCCGATAGCATGGAAGTGGAAGTTAAACTCCCGATGAATAATTTTTATAAAATTATAAAGAAAACAACTAATAACATGTATGAAATTCACATTAAATTTAGAAGTGGATAGTAAAGATTAGGACTATATTTCCTTTGGGGTGCTGCTTGTAGGAAATTACTGAATGACAACTGCTATCACCTGTGATTTCATATCCTTTTAGCTGATATTGCTAAAGAGCTTCCCAAACTTTTTCAAGTCATGGCATACACAAGAAATGATATCTGTACATACACGGGTAAAAAAATGCAAGAGATTGCTCTCAGCTGGATCCCCAAGGGCTAAAGAGATAAATATCTTGCTCACAATCAATGGGAACCTGTGAACTAAAGAGTCAAATGTATGAAAGTCCTCATGGAAAAATGCTGACAAGCACTAAAATCACTGTAAATTCCTTGGAGAGTTCTCAGAATTGCAGAAGTTCAGAAAAATTACTTTGGTCTTTTACATGTCAATATTCAGGAAAGAGGTTCTTTCTCTTACTTAACATTCCTCCAGGGTGTGAGACCCTGGTCAAGGAAAACAGTGATTCCTGTGTCTTAGTAAGTCAAACCAACATGGCAGGGTCAAGTTGACCTCCCTGGCCACTCAGGGCCAAAGCCATACAGTGGAACAGTGTGTTCTTTAACCTCGTAGGACAACTCTCATATGCCTGGGCACTATTTTTAGGTTACTACCTTGGCTGCCCTTCTTTAAGAAAAAAAAAAGAAAAAAAAAGAACTTTTCCACAAGTTTCTCTTCCTCTAGTTGGAAAATTAGAGAAATCATGTTTTTAATTTTGTGTTATTTCAGATCACAAATTCAAACACTTGTAAACATTAAGCTTCTGTTCAATCCCCTGGGAAGAGGATTCATTCTGATATTTACGGTTCAAAAGAAGTTGTAATATTGTGCTTGGAACACAGAGAACCAGTTATTAACTTCCTACTACTATTATATAATAAATAATAACAGCTCGGCCCAGGTTACTGTGACCTCTGACAGATCAAGGAAACAAGTTATTTTCTCCTCTTGTGATTACAGCACATTGCAAGACATTTTTTTCCTTTTAATAAACGTCCTAGTACTCTGAGTTTCCCTTTCAATTCATTTAATTTCAACAATCTGTCAAAAAACAGCCAATAAACAAATACTGAATTACATTCTGCTGGGTTTTTTAAAGGCTCTAGACTATAAAAACATCTTGTGTCTCCCACCCTGACCACCCTGCTACTTTTCCATATACCACAGGCCACCCATAGACACAAAGCCAGGGGGTGAAGCTGACATGGTCTATTTGGAGCCAGTAGACAGGAGGGCGATGAGTCCTGATGAAGCACTTATGGACAATATGTAGTTCCTGTAAGAAATTTAATGTTATGGAAAAATGAGTAACTCCAAATTGGTTTTTTGAGAAAATAAAGAGCCCATCTCTTTGGAATGTACTGCTTCCTTCCTGACACTTGGTGTAATCATAATGATGTGCAGCCCCATTGTCTGCAAACACAATTTGCAAGACAGAAGACCAAAAAAAAATGGAAAACATTCACAGGAAATGTGTTCCAATTTAAAAAAAACACTTTAGACAGAAACCTAGAACACATGATCACAAAGAATAATCTGAATTCCATTTAACCTTCACGAAGAGCTGATCAAAGAACATGGAGAGAAAAGAGATTTGTTTTCCTTTTCTTCCCCTAAGAGCAATGGAAAAATAAGTCTTCCCTGCAAATCAGTGTTTTGCTGCAGTTGGCTTGCAACAGCAAGGAGGTTCTAAAAGTTCGAAGCTACTCCTAGCCTCAGAACTCTACAATTTTCAGCAAATCACTCCAGCATTCCCAGAAGGTACACGTTGGAGGGTATCTGATATTTTATTACATCATAATCACCAATTGTTAAAATCTTGGCTGCACATTCCTGGATAACATCTTTAATAAATTAATAAGAGAAGACTGATTCTTGCCCAAAAGCTCAACTTAACAGCAGCTTGAAACACTATTAAGATACACTGGAATGAACCTATTTAACTGCATTGGCCATCCACCCAACCCCCAGAGCCCAAAAATAACAGGTACAGGGGCTTATTATTTCAGAAGCTATCAAAAATGACAGGTTTGCTTTGGCTCTTTGGAGCTTTTTTTTAAGGAGGCAAGGACACAGATTCCCATAGACTACTTTGTAATACTTTATCATACAGTCATAATTCATAAACTTAAAAGAATCTTAAACCAATAGCTGTTATTTTAAATGTCCAGAAAGTTATCTAAAGTCAGCACTATTTAATGGACTGACTCCCAGAGCAGTTTTTCTTTCCACTAAAATATCCAGACAAGTCAAAACCAAAATGAACTACTGTTTCTTGACTTCTAAAAAAGATAATCAACCTTGAAAAGGATACACTGTGGGGTTGAAGTTCTTCAATATGAAGAAGGAAGCAACAATGACCACGACCAGGAACAGAGTGTTGTTATAGAAGATGGAAAATGTTGTAGCTTCATAATCAGCAACTTCATTCTTCTTCCACAAGATTCTACAGACACAGAAACAAGTCAAACAAGCTTATAAATATGATTTAAAAAAACTTTTAAGTACCATATGGCTCTAGTTCATCATAAAACAAGTTTTTCCTTGAGTGT
Organism: Homo sapiens; assembly: GCF_000001405.40. Lineage (NCBI taxonomy): Eukaryota > Metazoa > Chordata > Mammalia > Primates > Hominidae > Homo > Homo sapiens. The sequence continues at coordinate 156,544,546 of NC_000003.12, forward strand.
TCTAGGGTAAGAATGTGTTTGTAATATTAGATTTAGTCAGAATTGTCCCCTTTCTTCCACTGAAAAAAAATATGTCACTCTATGATAGTGAAGAAAACATCATGCTGGTTATGTTACCATTTTTCCCAGGCAACCAGGGTTATGGAAGAAAGGACTCATTAATGGCAACCCGCACGGTTTCATCAGCAGCTAAGTCAAATATCTTTCTCTTGGCCCTTACCTAAAACTCAAACTCCATGATTAGCAGCCTGTGGAGTTTCCTTGGCTATACCTTGGGCTTGAGGCTTTCTACAGCCTACGGATTTCAGACTTCAATATCACACCTTCAGAAGACAATCCCAATGACAAAAATTACCTGTGGTCTCACAGAAGTAGGCTATTGTTAGCCATCTTTATTAATTCAAACAAAAAAAGAGCGCTTAATCATTAGGAGGACTTTTTAATGCCTGTAAAATCCTTCTACTTTTTATTCTATTTTACTTGTTCTGATAGTTTATCTTATTAATTTACTGGTATTTCATCCATCTTTTCTTTTACCCCTTCACACATGCAAAAGGAAGTTATAGGATGCCTGTGAATAAGGGAGCCTTCATTCTTGTTGGTTAATTAACTTTGTAAAGCAGTTTTTAAAAGGGTAGGTTGTGACCCATTAGTGGGATGTGAACTCAATCAAGTGGATCGAATGCCCATAGAAATTAATTGAGTTGAGACCAGCATTTTAAAAAAATGAAATAGGAAAGAATAGAAAAACATCAGCAGCACATCGCACAGAGTAGGATAATTATCGTTTTATGAAACATGTGCATGTGTCCACGTGTGAGTTTATCTGGTCAAAAGGTAAAATACATATTTTTTACTGTAGGTCATTATCAAAAAGGTTGAAGGCCACTTTGTAGACACTTTGTCTCCCAAAAAGATAAACCTACTCTGGAGTCAGATGACACATCCCCTCAACCCTAAGGACAGCACTTTAAGTAAGTCATTGGTAACTGACACATTATATTCATTAAGTATACTAATCCAAAGAAAACAAGTTTTGCCGGAAAGGAGCTAAATGAAGGCTAATTAACATCTTATGCTCATCTTAAGAAATCTGTAGTCTCTAACAGATGCCATATTTCCTCAATTCTACAGACACCATCGACTTAATAACTCTTCCATTTACTGTAAGTTTGGAGGAAGGGAAGGACATTAAGTGCAGCCATCAACTATAAAACACCTTCTAATTTCATAGAAGTTTAAATGTAAATTTTTAAAACACAAGAGTTGGAGTTCCAGGAAACATGTCATTCTAACACTGATCAATGATACCAGCCTAGTAAGATGCATAGTCTCAACATGGTTTAACACTAGAATGAACACTCAGGACAACTGCCTCCATTTTTAAGACTCCGGCATGAGACCCAGTGAAGTCAGGTTGCTTACGTAGGTTATTAGGCTGACTTTACTCTAGATGATAAAATTATCTCACTTGCATCACAGTGCTTCTCCTTAACTTCTTTTCTGTCAAGCCCTAAATAAGAAGTGATATGGTTTGGCTCTGTGTCCCCACCCAAATCTCATCTTGAATTGTAATCCCCACATGTTGAGGGAGGGACCTGGTGGGAGGTGACTGGATCATGGGTGTGGTTTCCCCCATGCCACTCTCGTGACAGTGAGGGAGTTGTCACAAAATCTGATGGTTTAAAAATGGCACTTTCCCCTGTGCTCACTCACTCTCCTGCCACCTTGTGTAGAAGGCACTTGCTTCTTTACCTTCCACCATGATTGTAAGTTTTTTGAGGCATCCCCAGTCATGCAGAACTGTGAGTCAATTAAACTTTTCTTTATAAATTACCCAGTCTCTGGTAGTATCTTTATAGCACTGTGAAAATCGACTAATACAAGAACCATTTTCAAAAAGCTTTTAATGAAAGAAGTGGCCCAATCCTTTAGATTTCCCTAGATCCCAATATGACCACGTGTTAGTTACATCAGTGTATAAAGTCAGGACTGCCTGACAGCCTTTAGAACTTTTACTGAGTCCACCCATATCCTGTTTTTGTTTCTGTTTTAAATTTAGGACCCCCAAATGCCCTCATTGCCAACGGTTCTGCCTAGTAGAAGACATTTTCTTCCTAGTAGGGAACGTGGTTTGGGAGAGCACTTCTCAATATCTTAAGGATGTTTTCAGGAAGAGCTTCCTACAAGAGAAATGTTGAGACCAAGCAACTGTTAAATGATAGATCACCTGTAAATCAAGAAGAAACCACACTCCCACTCTGGAATGAATGTTAATGAATCTCACATTCTCCTCTGCTTATTTCCATCCTTGGATAAATGAACATTTTAAAGTACTTTTAAGCGGCATGGAGTATATATTCCAAATGAATGTAGACAGAGCTTTGAGAGATACACATCTAAGCAAAGAAATGCTGATAAGCCTTCTTCTTACATCAAATCTCCTGGAATTCTTTCAGAGAGAAACAAGCTAGATCTTAATGAGAGGCTCTGGTCCCAGTTATCAAGGTCAATCAATACAGTACAAACTGTATCCCGTATGGCTTTTATGGTGGAAATAAAAACAGCCAAATTTCTACCAATGAAAAGAAGAGAAATTTTATAATGTTCTGACACTCTGCACTTATATATATCCATGAAACCTCCACCTCACCCCACTTTGAAATACCTAATCCAGCAAATGGCAAAGGTTTCATTCCCAATTTCAACTGAGTCACTAGTAGTGACTACCTGAACACTAAACTGAGAAAGATTCCGAGACATAACCCAGGATCAAGAACAAGTGCCAGACCAAATCTGCCCAAGACTGCAGTGGGCAGAGGAAACCCATTTACTATCCCTGACATAATTAATCACTGAAAACCTTTAAAAGCTGTAACAAACATTTTGAAATTTAGGTAACTATGCATACCCTAGTTTAAGAAACACCACTGTAATGAAAAATACAACAAAAAGTTTTTTCTAAAACAGTTACCTAGATTTTCTAACCTTGATCCCTATGCAAAAAACAAGCAATTGGAAAGCTATGCAGCCCGACCTCATTAAAGCTGCTCCATGCAGAAAGGCCTCCATTGTCATAATACTGTGCCTTCAGTTTTATAAAGGAGCCATAGAAGATAATCATTTTAATAATGTTTTGGTACCTTTCCAAAACCACTATAGAAGACATTGTTCATTAAGTTACTCAGTGTCCCTTAAATAAGGATCCACTTGATAAAGTATTTCCAAGATCCAGTGCCAGGAAAGTTTCTTTTCAGAAGGACTTGCATGCTGCTTCTCGTCAGACAATGAAAGCTATGTGACCTCAGATGCTTCCCCTGACACCTGGAAACCCACAACTAAGTTCAGTGCTCAGTTGCTGTAACTAACTCTAAGGTACTTGCTCATCCACCTTTTCCTCCTTTTAAATGGTTTCTGGTCCTTTAAAAGTGTGTTACTTGTTTTATATGCATTTTAAGAAAACCGTATTAAATACAGAAAATATATTATATGCACTTTAACAATGGAAGTTCACACAAAGTTCTGGAGCAAAGTGGGGTAAAAAATATGTTCCAACAAAGCATCTTCTTGATACTGAAACAAAAGATCCATGAAAACCAGCAGATCCACAACTATTAAACTATGTGGCAATTCTTCAGCACAAGTTTACTCAGGGACTTCTGCTACTCAGATGTTAAGATTGTCCAATAAGCCTTCTAAGAGCAGCCGGCAGAAAAAATTGGGACTAGGGGTTAACAAACGTGGCACAGAATTGGGCAACAGGAGAAAAACCCAGTTATTTTCTTTTTCCCAACCAATACAGATAACTAATTATGGGATATCCCTCGGGAAGCTCAGGAACAGAAATACCACCACATAGACATGCTAACACATAAACCCTTCAGACCCAGAGGGGTTAGGCGATATGTTCAAGGTTGTGCACCTATTAACAGACAAAGCCTGCTCTGTACAAAGCTCTGTTGCCTCCTCAATTCCAGCAGACAGTTACAAGTACAAGCTCTCAAGTTAAACTGCCTGTGTTCTTATCATGGATCTACCATGTACTAATTCAGGACCCTGGGCAAGTTACTCAAGCTTTCTGTACCTTTGTTGCCTCAGGTATAAAAAGGAGATAAAAATAGTACCTACTTCACAGGACTCTTTAGAGGAATAAATCAACTATTGTACAGCACAGATAAAAGTATCTGGTTGTAATAAAAACTCTAAAAGTCAGCTATTACTATTTCCATTACTACTACTACTACAATTCCAAAATTTACCTCAGACAATTCCAAAATCCAAATTCTTTAAGCAAAAATCAAAAAATTCTCTTCAAAGTACCCCCTTTTATGATGGCCATACTTTAAACAGGAGTCAAACCTTTCATCTTTCTCCTTCCGAGACATCTTTCTATTATCAGCTTCAGAAAGTTTTCGAGTCACTTCTTTGGAAACAGCATCCTCCCTCTTCTGTGCTACTCTGGAAGAAAAAGAAAAAAAGAAAAAGTTTCCATATGCTACAGAGGTGAACATCACACTCTCTCAGAAACACACCGTACTCATATTTCGTACTGGCAACAGAATGATATTTCACATTTCAAGAAAAGAAGCTGAGCAGAAAGTTCCAAGTTTATTACACTGCACTAGCCAAAAGAGAAGTTCGAGAAATGTCCAAGATGTGGTTTATTAGTGACGTGTTTTGATTTCCCCTTAAAAAGAAGAATTTTCCACAGTTTAGGAATTAATGTGGTTAATAAAGTCAAATGCTATTAACACAATTTAGTTAAGAATCATTTTAACTACATTTTGTTTTAACCTATCATCTAACTGTTCAACTAATAAATTTCATAAGGCATTAGTAAATGATGTATTATTTCAATTCCAAGTACATAACAGGAGCGAAAACTAGGCTTAAACGAAGTGGAAATAACAGCTGTAATATCTTAAAGTAATTATTTTAACTTTACTCCAAAGGACAATTTAAGCTGGGTGTGATGGACAGAAAGCCCCAGGTCATTCAAGGCAGGAGTTTTCAATCTTGATCTTCAACTACAAGGGTGTCTGGGATACAAGTTAAGCACAAATTGCAACTGATTTTACCTATTTTTTTACCTGTCTCCATCTTTAGCTCTCTCACTCAAGAACTGAGTTAGAATTGACATTGTTATTAATAAAAAGAAAACGTTTAGTCAGTTTCAAATAATGTATTTTTTAAAAGGTTTACAAAGTTACTTTTTAAACCTTGTTACCCCACACAAATTGGTAACTGGAAAGAGGAAAAAATAGTTCTAAAAAAAAACAAAACAAAACACACACAATTAAGAGGAAATCAATTCTGAAACCTAAAGTAAAAGGCTGCTAAGGGGGCAGAGAGCTGTCTTTTTAAGAGACACTTTAGGACACTAAAATGAACTTTTTACTCCGAAGATCCAACTTCATTTGATTCATTTCATTATATAAAAACTATCTTTTTTCATATGCTTCTTGCACTTCGGATACACTCAGCTCCAAAGGCAGAGATTCTTCTCTCTGAACCTCTTTAGCAGACCAGGCACTAAATATGTTTCTTCATGAGAACAGATTGTGAGAACAGGAAAAATAAGAAAAATTAAAAATAAATAAATGTGTTTCTTGAACTTAACATCAGACAACTTTTTTTTCCACAAAAGACCAACTGAAAAGAAATGGACACAGTTTACTGCAGAAACCTTTCTTAGCTTAATATAAAAAATATATACACACACCCCAACTATCAAGTTGTTAGCACACAGGAATAAACTACTGCATTTTCAAAAGAGTTGGTTGTCACTATGTGTCTTTAGGACGAACAGTCAACCGATTGTCCACATGATAAATCCTCATGAAGACATTACACCAGATAACTAAGCAATTTCTCTTCTAGGTCTAGAATTTTATCCTCACCTACCAGGGGCATAACAACCACACTGCAGGTTTACTGCAACTCAAGAGGAGGAAGCCCTCCCCTCTGTCTTAGAGCTCTCAGAAAATAAACCTCACTCAGTGCTGAACACTCTAAAACAAAATAGAGGTCACGCTAGTGACCTAGCACTTAGTCAACTAAGATAACCCATAAAATCAATTGTATTTTTCTTCCTTTACTCTTTCACATCAGTATGTCAGAACACTTCCAAAATTAAAAATAAAAAAAGACACTACCTGATTTCTTAAAATAAAAACATCTTTGCAAACATGGTTTAAATTATGCCACGTTAAAAAACAAAAACAACTTCTAAGGGCTCTCTTAGCCCCAACCTCTTCAACCCTGCACATAAACATTTATTATGTGCCAGACTCTATGCTTAACATGTATGATCATAATGAATCCTCACCACCCTCTGAAATTCCACTAGCATCCCCAGTTTATAGCTGAGGAATCTGAAGTCTACATAGGTAAAATTATGCCCACGGCCACACATTTAAGAGTGGCAGAGCTGGCACTGGAACCCAGACTGTCAACGCTGAAGCCATCTTCCTTCTACTGCCAACAGCTACCCACACTCAGCATCTTGCTGGATCTTTGAACCTTAACCATCTTGCAAATCTGTAGGCATTTCAAAGTCAGTAGCATATTTAATATAAAGCCAAAACTATGACTTAAAAAAAAAACCTCCATTCTGAGTCTATTAAGTCAGTAAGTCATTGAAATTTTACTGAACTAAATGTACCATTAACTGTTTTAAGGAGTATAAAATATGGCGGGTGTCTTCAAGAAGCCTAAAGTAGAAAGGAAAAGGTAAAAAGAACATGACTTTGATTCTAAAGAGATGAATGAAAAATGTTATGAAGAATAAGTAAAGAATGACGAGTCTCAAAGGGACTGAGTTCCAAGAGTATTACAAAGGATGGGTCATACCAGATGCCCACTTGTGAGGGCTTCCCGATACACAGATGGCCATGCCTCACAGGAAACAGTCCCATACAGTGGAGGCCCACATGAGCTGAATCCTGGAATAGCAGCTGGTTGAGGGGCTGCCAAGCAGAAAGATAACAAAGATAACCCAATTTATCTGCTGGTCCATCAGAACAGCAGCCACGAAAACCTGAGCTCGTTTGTGTCCAGAACAGTAGGGAGGAAACTGCTAAGGCCACTTCAGTCACTGAGGCCATTTTGGGACATTTCTTAAAATAAACCCCTGTTAACTGAGATCATCTCAACATGTTTCTATTCCTCATTCCCCGAAAGAGTCTAACACAGGGACAATAAAGCAAAGAAATGATCAAAATCAGGAAGGATTTCTCTGGAAAAGATTCCTAGGTCTAGAAATAAAACACAGGTAAGAATGGAAAGGAAGTAAGTTAATCCTAAATAGGGTAGGGCACAAGACATATTCAAAGGATGATGTGAGGGCTGAGTCAGAAGGGTTAAAGCCTAATTCTGAAAGATGAGGCCAGACTCATAGGAAGGAAGCAGATGACTTGCATTCCAGGGGTCTAGAAGAATTTGGCTTTAATACATTTAAAAAAAACAGGCCATGGCTGGACACGGCAGCTCACGCCTATAATCCTAGAACTTTGGGAGACCGAGGCAGACGGATCACTTGAGCCCAGAAGTTCAAGACCAGCCTGGGCAACATGGCAAAACTCCATCTCTACAAAATATACAAAAATTAGCCAGGCGTGGTAGTAGTGCGTGCCTGTAGTCCCAGCTATTTGGGAGGCTGATGTGGGAGGATCACTTGAGCCCAGGAGGCAGAGGTTGCAGTAAGCCAAGATTGGGCCACTGCGCTCTAACTTGGGCAACAGAGTGAGAGTCTGTCTCAAAAAAAAAAAAAAAAGCCATGATGAGTTGTTATGAGAATGACATGATAAAAATGATGTCACATAAGGAGAAATACATACTCTTCATTGGATAAAACAAGGAAAATACCTGCACCTCATATGGATGCTATAAGGATTACATAGGGCAATGTGCTTCATACAGTGCATGGCAGGGCGGGCCCTAAACTTGTTTTAAAAGACCAGATGGAGGTTGTTACAGCAATACAAGTAAAAACAGCATCCAAACTAGAGTGAGAACTATGGATGAAAAGATAATGCACATACAAAGTATGTTCGTACTAAGTCTCAGTGAAATTCCAATTGCCTTTTAAGAAATTACTTTCAAAGCAATACAGCACCTAGATGACCCCATCAAGGAAGGAGGGAAATAATCCTGCTATCCCTACCCAAGTATCACAGTGTACATGAAAGCAACATCAAAGGGCGTCAATTAAACAATTTATACCACTTCCAATGAGACAATGAGGACCATGACGCTGAGAAATAATAAATGTTACCATCTTTCCTAAGTCTACGTGATCCTGCATTTTAACCTCTATGAAACTAGAATATTTAATTGCTTATAATTAAGGTATAAGTTTATTGTGGTGAGGCTTGAGTTTTCTTCTCTAAAAGCTGTATTTTACAGTATGTGTGATCTTAGACTATGTTAATCCTTTACATTTTATACACTTGTATGAAAACAAACGTAATTAGCATTGAAAATGACAGAGAGTTAAAAAAAAAAAAAAGCAATAAAATAAAAAGACCAGCCTGGTCAACATGGCCTGTCTCTACAAAAAAATTAGCTGGGCATGGTAGCCTGCACCTGTAGGCCCAGCTACTTGGGAGGCTGAGGTGGGAGGATCCCTTGAGCCTGGGAAGGTTGAGGCTGCAGTGAACCATAATCATGCCACTGCACTGCAGACTGGGCAAGAACTAGACCTTGTCTCAAAAAATAATAATGACAAAAAGATCATTTCTTTAACTTCCAAAAATAGTACGTGAAGAGCCCAGAACAATTCTCTCCATAAGGAATTACATTTAGCTTCTGAAATGTTAACTTACTTGGTGGGTTTGTTTCTCTGATGAACCTCATATTAAGGCCTGTGTTTAAGTGTTCTAATTCCACCCTCAAAATCTGCTTCTGTAGCCGTGTCAGAATGATCATTGTCTCTACTTCAGTTAGTTAATAATTCTTCCTAGCATCAATGTTCCTTTCCCCCAAAATGTTTATTAATATATATATCTCAAATTAATGCTTATTAAAACCAACACACACAAATGATCTTTAAGAAGACATATAAAAATATAACATGTAGTACGTACTTTCACTTGAAAAACATACTTACTTGTGCTTGAGAACAAATTTCACATTCTTGTATGCAAAGGCTACCAAATATGTGCTTACTAGGGTCATCACACTATACAAAACAGCAGACTGAATAAGATCCATATGCCATATTCGCCAGTATAACCCTGAATTAAAATAAAAGGGGGAAGGGTACAAAAAGAAGCAAAACATTACAACCCCGCAACAAAAGCCTGCGAAATTAATTATAGCTAAGCCTGGTAAAATACCAGGTTATTAGTTATGCAATCCAATAGTATCTGAGGATCTTCAGAAGCGAGATAACCAGTAACAGTATAGTCTCAAGCTTTCCAGTTCAGAACATTTGAAAAACATCACCTTCCTATTACTAGTCCAGATGAGATTTCAACTTCTAAAATGAGAACAAACTCTGGCTCAACGTAATCACAAGTCAGACTTCAAATTTCATTCATCAGGGTACTAGCATGCGAAACACAGGCCATTCCAAAATGCCACGTGCAGCCCCAAACCATAGTTTCCTTGCTGACGTGGCTGTTATCAGAACTCCAAGCAGTGCTATGTCCAATTAGTGAGCCATCATATGGCTTCACATCACGTTAATGGCACGCTGGGTTGTATAAGGACAAAAGAGAAAAATACATTTAGTTTTAAATGCCCAACAACAGTGCAGCAAAAGACAGGAGTTCTGGAAACTTGAGCTCTACTAAAAACGACCTTGTCCAAGTCTGCAGTTTCCCAACCAAGTGAGAATTCTAGAATTGGTCCAGTAGGATTATTAAAAAGTATAAATAAGGTAGATCCCTAACCCCTGGCACTTCAACCTCTCTCTTTTTGCAAAAACCAGGAAAATTATGCAATGGTGTGAAGTAGCTCACGTAAAGATGCACTTATAATTCAGTGGGTCACTTCATGGGTTTCTCACCTAACTAATTTATGCAAAATAAGTAATAAGTTTAAAATTTCGTAACGGCAAGCAACAGTTGTATAGAAAAGGGCAGAGGCAGTATGCTTGAGTTTGTCTGTTTAAATAGAGATTCGGGGCCGCCACCCCAGAACTAGTTAACCACCTTCTCCTGGGGTGGAGCTCGGGAACGTGCGTACTTTTAACAAGTGACCTCCCCGAGTGCTGCACAGGACAATCCCAAGCGACAACACTGTGCCCAAAGAAGAGGCTCCGTGCCTCCCCGAGCTCAGGGGAGCTGGAGAGATTGCCGACCCCCGGCCGGCACCCACGCCTTCCCTGCTCGCCGGGTCCTGCCACGTCCCCGCCCAGCCCGACTAGCCGGCGGCCTGCCTAACCCGCCTCGCTCCCAGCACTCACAGATGGGGATGGCAGACACGATGAACGCGTTTCCGAAGAAGAGCGCGGAGGACTTGGCCGAGAGATTGCGGCTGAAATCCTGCAGGAGCAGGTCCTCCTCAGACTGCTGTTTGGAGCTGCCTTTAGGAGCCATGGCGGAGCTGCAGGCGAGAACAGGGAACGTAGAGCCGGCCGCCAAGGCGGGCAAAGGCCCTTGACTCCGCCCCTGCGGCCGCCGTATCCGCTAACGACCCGTCAGCGCGGCGCGCGGAGGCGGGACCCGGTTTGGCGAAGAGCAAGCGTCCCCAGGATTGGCCAGCTTGGCGCCACTAGATAGGCTTCCGGGCGTGATTGGGCGAGCGGGCCAGACTTCCGGATTCCTGACAAGCCACGTGACCCACCCACCTGGAGGAGAGAGAAGGGATTTGTAGTTTAGTCGGTGCTTTAAAAAAAATTAACAAAACTTTATTGATATTCCACTTCAGAGCTGCTGACAGACTCACGAGTTCTCAGTTCTTCAGAATTCCAAAATTAAAAGCTCTTCTGGCCCCACGCCATTAGTGCCCTCTGTGCGTACCCAGGACTGAGTACGTTGAAGAAGAAAGAAGAGAAAGGTATAGCTAACTCATGTAAAATCCCTTCTCCTTTACACATCCTTTATTTCATTAAATACCTTGAAGAATCTTATGACGTGCGCATCATTACCGCCATTGCAGCTGAAGAGCCTGAGGGTCGTAGACCTGCGGTGTGGGTCTCCAAGGCGTGGGCTCTTTTCACTAAACAATAGGCCACCTCTGTAGGAAGAAGAAAATGGGACTCTTGCTTTTAAGAAACTCATGATCTCATTGATGAAGGCAATATTTAATATATGTCTGATACAAGTTACTACTATTTTATTTTATTTCAACTAGACCTATAGAGTTTTGTGGCTTCCAAAGCCATGCTAAATAAAACATAATACTAAGAACAGGTTGGCTAGGCAAGACTCCCTCTCTGAAGCTCAGAAGGATTAAGTATGTCTATTAAAACAGCTAGATTCCATTTTTAACTCAACACATTATCATTTTTTCTTCAAAAAAAAATTCAACCACATCACTCCCAGCAAATGCTACTTTTGATTACTGAGAACACTCTAGTGCATTAGGCACAATTTCCTCAACCTCCAGCCTCCTTATTAACCGTTTGGTAGATATCTTTCTTCCTCACAGTATCCAAATTGTAATCTACCTCCACAGCTTCCTATTACTAGTCCTAATTGGGCTTTTGTCTTCAATCTTTTCCAGTCTATTCTCTATACAGGTACCAGAGTGAGTTTTCCTGAAATATAAATCCTTCCATTATCTACCGCAAGTGTTCCTTAATGCCAGAAGTTTTCATTAATTCACCACAAAATGAAAAAGAAAAAAAGACCATCTAGTGAATTTTTCAGAAAATCAAAAGTATTCATTTAAAAATATCTGGGTTTATGTCTTTTTTGATGTTAAAAATGCTCTTTATTTTATTACATGGTAGTGATAGAAGAAGAAATTATTATTTTCTCTTACACATACTCCTCCCCCAGTTTTTCCTATCTCACTAAGTTGCATTCTTTTAAACTCATTTGTTGTTCTGGTTAAAATAGTGGGTTTCAACACTAATTATTTTTTTCCTTCTCCATCTATGACCAATTCATAAATAAAACTTTTTGGATCTGTCTCTATAACTAGATTTTCTTCTGCCTATTTATAAACAAACTAAGGATATAAAAAGAAGATAAAAGATAAAAATCAGAGGCTGGGTGCGGTGGCTTATGCCTGTAATCCCAGCACTTTGGGAGACCAAGGTGGGTGGATCACAAGGTCAAGAGACCGAGACCATCCTGGCCAACATGGTGAAACCTCGCTTTTACTAAAAATACAAAAATTAGCCAGGCATGGTGGCGCACGCCTGTAGTCCCCAGCTACTCAGGAGGCTGAGGCAGGAGAATCACTTAAACCCGGGAGGCAGAGGTTGCAGTGAGTCAAGATCGCGCCACTACACTCCAACTCCAGCCTGGCAACAGAGCAAGACTCCATCAAAAAAAAAAAAAAAAAAAAATCAGAAAACTAAAAGATCCAAAGAGACAACAATCATCTTTCTTTTAAAAGAAGAAAAGAAGAAATGATAAGGATGAGATTTAAAAAAATTATGCCTGAGAAAAATATTTTAACAATTAAAATAGGAAAGATAAAAGTTTGAAATGTTTAGTGGATATAAATGTTACAATTGATATAATCAAAAAAAGCTAGCAGAAAAAAATTAATACATTTTGTAAAGCTAAAGGTAACTATAAACAGAAGATAATCTAAAATATGAATTTCAAATTATTTTGTGGGGGTAAATTAGAGAAATATGATAGGGAATGATACTTATGATAGAATATTTTTGGTAATGGCAACAATTACAATTATGAAGGTGGCACACTTGGAGTACTGAAGCAGTGTTTTCTTGCACCAGAGCTACCTAGTTCCCTTTAAAAAGCAAGCAGCAAGACCTAAGGATCACTTGTATGTGGCATATATAGCCGTGGCACACATAGCCGTGGCACACTGGACAACCAGGGTACACAATGTGCTAAAAAACAGAAGGAGAGGTGGGTAGTAAATTCTACCCAAGCAAAGATCTACAATATATTTTGCCCATTTCAACATAGCTTAACTCTGAAGGAACCAAATGGACTTGATTCCATAGCAGTCTGAGTCTATTCTATGAATTTCAGGCTTTCTTGTATATTTTCTATTATATCACTTGATTCTTTTCAGATTGGAGGAAAAACCCCAAGCAATAATATTTTTTGCTGTCAGGTATATGGATAAGAGATTACTGATGACTTTGTGAAAGAAAATCTGGTATGCTAAAAATTAACATATTTTTCTGTGTCAGACACTGCAAGTTGCCTAGCCAATATAGAAAGCCACTGCTAGCTTTTCACTGGGACCTTTAAAGAATAACAAATGGATCATCCAGGGCTACTGTGGGGAGGAAAAAAGAAAAGCTCCTCTGTTTTAAAGCCTACTTGAAATGCAAATCTCATGATGGGAATAATTTTAAAAGAGGTGGAACACTTATATTAGTCCCTAAGTATAATGTTTTAAAGTATCACCTGAAAAATTATTTACTCAGCCAAACTACATATTTCACCCACTGATATTTGACTAATTCATTAGTTCATGTACTCATTCAGCAAATATTTATTGAGAAGCTACTACATGAAAAGTACTGTGCAAAACCTGTGAAAGTATCCAAATAATAATCATGATTATTTTGATTATAATAACTAACATGAATTGAGTCCTTGTTGTATGTCTACCTCTGTGCTTTGTCCTTCACACGTATTGTCTGATTCATCCCTACAGCAACCCTAGGAGGTATATGTTTCTGTTATCCCCTTTGTCAGATGAAGAAATTGAGACTCAGATTAGTGAAATAACTCATTTAGATTCCACAACCAGTAAATGGTGGAGTCAAGTTATGAACCCAAGCAATATGATTCCAGGATGTATGCTCTTAACTACAAATGAATTCTGGTCTCCTCCATGCAGTGGAATCTCTGATTCTGCATGACTGCTCACAAAAGCCCTACACTGAGCAAGCAGCCAAAAGTAGTTTCTTATCTACCAATTATCAGGCACAGTCCTGTCACACTGCAGCTCTCCCTAGTGTATTTTTGGACAGAGAGGATAATAGGCAAACCTTGGTGAGCAGGCCTTGGCTCTCCATACCTGATTCTCTGTCTCAGGGAGTTTGAAAATGAAACCCCAGAAAAAAACAAAACAAAACAAAACAAAACAAAACAGTTAATAGATGTATACAGAACAAGGGAAGCAAACTGAGAAGAGGTGGAAAGCACAAATCATAACTCCCCAGCAGCTGTAAATTAGAAAAGGGATAATTAGAGAGATGCTCCAAGTGCCTTAGGGCTTCCCTATTTCTCTCTGTAGACCTGATAGAAACCCCCATTACCTACAATAAAGCTAAAATACTTGTTCAAAAAATAAAAGTTAAACAGATCTGGAGTCTTGTAAATAAATAATATAAACAACTTCTGCATATAAATGAACATCTAGATGAATAACTGTACTCAATTTGTTAATTTATGTATCACTCCACCCAAAAGGTTTAAGGCAAAGGTAACAAGATCAAAATGTCTATAAGATTCAAGTAAATAACTTCAGGGAGTGAATTGTGCCAGGCATAGGACATGAGGTAGTGGTAGGCTCAATACAACTGGAAAGCTCACCTTTCCAAAAGCACTCAAACTGAAATAGATTAAACAGAAAGAAAACTAGAATCAACAGCAAATATTCTGTAGGCCAAACTCAACAGATTTGGGGTTTAATCTGCCCCATAAATTCCCAGGTTTAAGGAGACAGACTCAAATGCAAATAATATAAAAAAAGTGAAGTGTAATTTAAAAAAATAAAATCTTACCATTTCAGAAGAAACTGTGTTTTTTGGAGAGAATGCTGGAAGTTGGCCCTTATAGTTGGTTAGGCCTCCTCCCCCAACCACCCATTCCCCTACACACATATGCTACTGTTGACAGGAGACATTTGCCAGCTGCGATTTTTTTTTAATAAAGATAAGGTTTCAAGAATTCTAAATGTGTACTTTACTATGGAATTGATTTTTAAACTGAATGAGGCATTAAAACACTTGGGGAACAAGCATTTGTCTTTGAGCTTGAAGCTTATACTTTTCAAGATAGATATTGTTTTCCTTTTTAGGAAACACTGATGTGACCAATGTAAATTGGGGATTGCTTCTGAAGCAGTCAGAAAAACCTGTTCCCTTTGTGCCTAAGGATATTCATAAAGTCACTTACTTCTTTAAGAAAATGATACACATCTACAGAAAATATATTATTTTAATAACCACTGATAGAGGCCATAATACTTTAAATCTCAAAACTCCCCCCAGAATCTTCTAAATGTGAGACTTATCACACATGCATCATTCATGCAGCACTTCAGGGCACAATAAAAATTAAGATTTACACTGGAAATCAATTTTCTTTCGTTACACATTTAACCCAGGCACTATGGCAACGGAATGTGAGACAAAGTAGGTCACGAATTTCAACTGGAATGGCTTAGGTGATACAGAAGCCAGGTGTAATTTGTTGCTCATCTTTTAGGACTCTTTCTTTTAAAATTCTTCTGTTTCACAGCCCCTAGTCAATGTTGTCTAACAACTTACTAGATGAAATCATGAGACCAAATGCTAGGGTGAGATTTATTCAATCTCATTGTTTATTTCACTTGGTTTACTAATTGACTAGTAAGATCCATTTCCATACTCACAAATAAATAAAGAAAGCAATTCCAGGAAAAAGGAACAATGCATGTGATATGGTTTGGCTGTGTCCCCACCCAAATCTCAACTTGAATTGTATCTCCCAGAATTCTCACGTGTTGTGAGAGGGACCCAAGGGAGGTAATTAAATCATGGGGGCCAGTCTTTCCCATGCTATTGTCATGATAGTGAATAAGTATCACAAGATCTGATGAGTTTATCAGGGGTTTCCGCTTTTGCTTCCTTCTGATTTTTCTCTTGCTGCCACTGTGTAAGAAGTGTCTTTTGCCAGGCACGGTGGTTCAAGCCTGTAATCCCAGTACTTTGGGAGGCCGAGGCAGGTGGATCATCTGAGGTCATGAATTTGAGACCAGCCTGGCCAACATGGTGAAACCCCATCTCTACTAAAAATACAAAAAATTAGTTGGGCATGGTGGTGGATGCCTGTAATCCCAGCTACTCGGGAGGCTGAGGCAGAAGAATCTCTTGAACTCAGGAGGTGGAGGTTGCAGTGAGCTGAGACCACGCCATTGCACTCCAGCCTGGGCAACAAGAGCGAAACTCCGTCTCAAAAAAAAAAAAGTGTCTTTCACTTCCCGCCATGATTCTGAGGCCTCCCTAGCCATGTGGAACTGTAAGTCAAATTAAACCTTTTTGTTCCCAGTTTCAGGTATATCTTTATCAGCAGTGTGAAAATGAACTAATACAGTAAATTGGCAATCAGTACCAGTTGCTGAAAAGATACCCGGAAATGTGGAAGCAACTTTGGAACTGGGTAACAGGCAGAGGTTGGAACCGTTTGGAGGGCTCAGAAAAAGACAGGAAAATGTGGGAAAGTTTGGAACCTCCTAGAGTCTTGTTGAATGAATGGCTTTGACCAAAATGCTGATACAAACAATAAGGTCCAGGCTGAAGTGGTCTCAGATAGAGATGAGGAACTTGTTGGGAACTGAAGCAAAGGCCACTCATTATGTTTCAGCAAAGAGATTGGTGACATTTTGCCCCTGCCCTAGAGATTTGTGGAACTTTGAACTTGAGAGAGATGATTTAGGGTATTTGGCAGAAGAAATTTCTAAGCATCAAAGCATTCAAAATGTGACTTGAGTGCTGTTAAAAGCATTCTGTTTTAAAAGGGAAACAGAGCATAAAATTTCAGAAAATTTGCAGCTTGACTGTGCAGTAGAAAAGTAAAACCCATTTTTTTGAGGAGAAATTCAAGCCGGCTGCAGAAATTTGCATAAGTAGCAAGGAGTCTAATGTTAATCCCTAAGACCCTGGGGAAAATGTCTCCAGGCCATGTCAGAGACCTTCAGGGCAGCCCCTCCCATCATAGGCTCTGAGGCCAAGGAGGAAAAAGAGGTTTCATGGGACAGGCCCAGGATCCCCATGCTGTGGGCAGCCTAGGAACTTGGTGCCCTGTGTCCCAGCTGCTCCAGCCACAGCTGAAAGGGACTAATGTACACCTCGGGCTGTGGCTTCAAAGGGTGGAGCCCCAGGCCTTGGCAGCTTTCATGTGGTGTTGAGACTGTGCATGGGTGCACAGAAGTCAAGAATTGAGGTCTGGGAACCTCCACCTAGATTTCAGAAGATGTATATAAATGTCTGGATGCCCAGGCAAAAATTTGCACAGAGGCGGGGCCCTCATGGAGAACCTCTTCTAGTGCAGTGCAGAAGGGAAATGTGGGGTCAGAGCCCCCACACAGAGTCCTACTGGGGCACTGCCTGGTGGAGCTATGAAGAGAGAGCCATCATCCTCCAGACCCCAGAATGATAGATCCACCAAAAGCTTGCACCATGCGCCTGGAAAAGCTGCAGACACTCAATGCTAGCCCATGAAAGTAACCGGGAGGGAGTCTGTACCCTGCAAAACCACATAGGCAGAGCTGTCCAAGACCATGGGCACCCACCTCTTGCATCAGCGTGACCTGGATGTGAGACCTGGAGTCAAAGGAGATCATTTTTGCGCTTTAAAATTTGACTGCCCTGCTTGATTTTGGACTTGCGTGGGCCCTGTAACTCCTTTGTTTTGCCCAATTTCTCCTATTTGGAATGGCTATATTTACTCAATACCTGTACGCTCCTTGTATCTAGGAAGTAACTAGCTTGCTTTTGATTTTACATGCTTATAGGCAGAAGGGACTTACCTTGTCTCAGATGAGACTTTGGACTGATAATGCTGAAATGAGTTAAGACTTTGGGGGACTGTTGGACGCGCATGATTGGTTTTGAAATATGAGGACATGAGATTTGGAGAGGCCAGGGATGGGATGATATCGTTTGGCTGTGTCCAAATGTAAACTTGAATCATATCTCCCAGGATTCCCACGTGTTGTGGGAGGGACCCAGGGGGAGGTAATTGAATCATGGGCACGGGTCTTTCCCAGGCTAGTCTCATGATAGTGATAAGTCTCACAAAATCTGATGGGTTTATCAGACGTTTCTGCGTTTGCTTCCTCCTGGTTTTTCTCTTGCCACTGCCATGTAAGAAGTGCCTTTCATCTCCTGCCCTGATTCTGAAGCCTCCCCAGCCATGTGGAATTGTAAGTCCAATTAAACCTCTTTTTGTTCCCAGTTTCGGGTATGTCTTTATCAGCAGCGTGAAAACGAACTAATATAGCATGCAAGTTCACAGTCATAAAAGGGCCCAGTATTACAATTTTCAAATCATTCTATGAAGTATTTAGGGGAATGATCAAAACCAGACACAATAAGGGAATAAAAAAAGAGGAGTATGTGCTTCTGTCACCATGGGATCAATGGAATCATCAACATCTCATAGAAACCTAGCCGGACACCTATGCCAGCTGTCTAGTCTGTGTTTTTATTTAAGAAATAAAATGAAATTCCATTCTAATCCCTTTACAGCATTTCCTAATTCCACCTTCCTCTGCCTCTGTCTCAAGAACCCAAATTTTTTATTCCAACTCCAACCACCTCCCTCTAGGACCTTTCTGTACTAAAATCCTTTTCTCCATGCATACAGCTTATAGATCTTTAGAATCAGAAAGACCTGTCTGTTTAATCTGTCACAACAATAGCTGTGTGCTCAGGCAAATTGCTTACCTTCTCTGAGCTTCGCTTCTCTCACAAGGTTCAAAAGGTTGCTGTAAGCATTACATGAAACAAATAATGTGAAGCCCTAGCACCGTGACTGGTACAGGGTAAATTGTCTTCTTTTTTTCTCCTGATGTGTTGCCTCCTGCTGAACTGTTAAGCCTACACAACTTTCTCATTTTCTCCACAAACACATTTCCTACACATGCACAGATGCATGCACACACTTCCCCTCAGCTCTATTGCATACCTAAAGTTTCCACCTGCTTTTGGCTAACAAAGAAAAAAAGAGTTTGTTCAGACTCACTTCCCAATCATTCCTTATCATATTGCAACCTGAATTCCACTCCTGCCCTCTCTTCTGAATCTGCTCCAGAAATGATCTACTAAATCACCAAATCCAACCTTCTTTCCTTCATTTTTAACCACTTTACCTGCCTTCAGCATTTAGCACCATTGAATATTTCATCCTCTCAAAAGTTTCTGTTCTCTCATCTCCAATGAAACTGGAGGAACCCCTGGTTCTTTTCCTACCTCTCTGACAGCTCCTTCTCTGGCCCCTGCTTTGACTCCACTGCGCCTCTCTGATTCTTGGGGTGGGTCTGCCCACTTATACAAATATGAAATGGTCAGGGGTAAAACTCTGGTGGCTCCAGTCAATAAGTAGTACCACACTGGAAATAATTTTGGCAAAATGGGGATAACTTATTCAGATAGCCTTAAACACTATGTTGCTTCCTAACTAACCAAAACTGAGATAATCTTTAAACTGCTTCACACCCTAGCCACACAGAACAAAGTTAAAGGAAGCAGGAAAATGTATACAGAGCTTTACAACAAGCACATTAGGCAATATGTTTCCTTGTCTTCTTTTACTACAATAAATGTGTACAGTAGCTCATAGAAGCAGAAATATCTAAAACCACACACTGCTGAATATCATATATTTAAAGTCTGAGCTCCAATCAATTGCATATAAGTTCAGCTTTTTCTATAATTACTTTTAAAATCCGTGATCCAAAGAAGGCTTCATTTTATTGTACATCACCTAGGAATGTTACAAAGAGGAGCACCAAGAAATGATGCAGAATCAGATAATTAACAAAGAAAAGGAACTGAGACTTTTGCCTTAGCCACCCTTTGCAAGGGTTTCACCAACTCTCAACTAAGAAGGTATTGGAGTTATTAATAATACAAAAATCATAGTGCATATTATCACAGTTTGTCATATACATAGTGATTAACAGCATAAGCACTTGAGTAAGAATGCCTTAATTCAAATTCCCTTTCTATGACTTACTGATTGCATGAAGTTGGGAAAGTTATTTTATTTTTCTAAGACCAAATTTTGCTAATATATAAATTAGGAGAATAATTATACCTATTTCACAGGGATTTTGTAAAGATGTGTGCATATTCTTATGTACACAAAGTACTTATTACAGTTCAAGACACATGGTTTGCATTCAAATCATCATATAAATATTTTTTCTTTTGCTACATTCCCAGATTTAGCTTCTCCCTTTCTGAGAAATTATTTAATTTGTCATGATTAATTATTTTAATTTGTATTATTAATTATCTATAGATGTGTGTGTCTGTGTGTGTGTGTGTGTGTGTGTGTGTGTGTGTGTAGATAAACTGGGAGATAAAGCAAGGGAAACTTGTTTCAAGAAGACAGTCATTCCTGGTAAAATTTTAAAAGGTCTCAGTCTCTGCACAGCACAAAAGGTAATCCCTTCCCTAAAGGGGATCCCTGAGATCCCTGAAGACAGAGGGTATTTCAGCTCCTGACCCAAGGAGCAGATGAAAGGTGTCCAAATCCTATATCAAAAGGGTAGCAGGGAGGAACAATTACCTTCTCAAACTCATTCCCCACCAGTGTAACATTTTACTGTTTTATTATTGTGATAATTAACTTTATGTGTCACCTTGACTGGGCTAAGGGATAGCCACATAACTAGTAAAACATTATTTCTGGAAGGGTCTGTGAGATCAGCATTTGAATCAGTGGACTGAGTAAAGAAGATTGTCCTTGCCAATGCAGGTGGGCAGCATCCATTCTACTGAAGACCTGAATAGAACAAAAAGGCAAAGAAAGGGCGAATTTCCTCTCTCTTCTGGAACTGGAACATCCATCTTCTCTTGACCTCAGATATTGACGCACCTGTTTCTCAAGCCTTCAGACTCATACCAGGACTTACACCACTGACTTCCCTGGTTCTCAGATCTTTAGGCTTGGACTGGAACTACACCAGCAGTTTTCCTGGGCCTCCAGCTTGCAGAGAGTAGATCGTGGGACTTCTCAGCCTCCATAATTGCATAAGTTAATTCTATAATTAATTAACTAGTTAATTTGTGCATGAGTGTGTATCCTATTAGTTGTTTATTTAGAGAACTCTAATACAATTATTATTATTAAGGAAGAATTCTGATTCTGAAAATTGTAAAACACAAACACATGTAAAGGAAAAAGACCAGGCATAGTGGCTCACACCTGTAATCCCAGCACTTTGGGAAGTCAAGGCAGGTGAATTGCTTGAGCCCAGGAGTTCAAGACCAACCTGGGCAACATGACAAAATCCCATCTCTATGAAAAATACAACAACAACAAAAATTAGCCAGGCATGGTGGCATGCACCTGTAGTCCCAGCTACATGGGAAGCTGAGGTGGGAGGATTGATTGAGACTGGGTGGTTGAGGCTGCAGTGAGCCTCAACCAGGGCACCACTGCATGCCAGCCTGTACAACAGAGCAAGGCCTTGTCTCAAAAAGAAAATAAAAATAAATAAAAAAGAAAACAAAAATTAGCTATGACCTCACAACCCAGAGATAACCTTTATTAATATTTTGAAGCAATTTCTCTAGTCATTTCCTATACATTTATTTCCACATCTGTAATCAGTGCTATATATAGTTTTGACTACCTTTCCAATTATTCCATTATGAGTATTTTTCAATGTCACCAAAAATGTCTTCAAAGTATTCTTTACAATGACTACAAAATTTCCCTTTAGATGAATATACCACAAGTCACGTATTTATTTTAATAACTCATTATTTTCTAATCACAAAATAATTGT
The DNA here is from genome assembly GCF_000001405.40 of Homo sapiens. Classification (NCBI taxonomy): domain Eukaryota; kingdom Metazoa; phylum Chordata; class Mammalia; order Primates; family Hominidae; genus Homo; species Homo sapiens. Next base: position 156,566,386 of record NC_000003.12, read on the forward strand.
GTCCATTTGTAAAATTAGAAAACGTAATACATAAATCACCCATAATCTTATTGCTCAGATATAGCCACTATTAATATTTTTATATATTTCCTTTTAGTATTTTTCTATGATTAGCTATTATGTACTTAAAATAATTGAGGTCATACATTACAAGTATTTTCCAATGTCATTAAAATGCTTTCAAAATATAATTTTTAGTGCCTGTAAAAAATTATACATGTCTGATATCACTTCCTTACTGGTAAGAATGAAACACATTTTTAGCCAACAAGGACAGAAAATGTCCAGAAATAGAAGGAAAAGGCCTGTATAAGGCCATGCCTCCTAAGTCAAGAGGTTCTTTAGAAAAAGAATCAGACTTGCTTGGCATACAAAAGCCGGTGGTTCCTTCTAAAACTCAGGTCACCAAATCCAAGGGAGGGTACCTGTTTGAGTCACAGCTCTTTCACTTACAAGTAACAGAAGCCCTTCCTAAGCAAGCTTAAGAAAAAAATCAACAACAGAAAAAAATTAATAGAGATAAGAAAGATAGAAAAGGAGGCAAGAGAAGAAATTTATTAGCCGAGGTAAATAATAAGTTCCATCACTGCTGAATCCAGAGGCTCAAATGACATCTTTATGACTTTCTTATTCATTATCTCTCATCTCTGTCTATGTTGGCTTCATTCTCTCTCAATATGGACAATGTGAGTGATATGGTTTGGTTATGTTCTCACCCAAATCTCAACTTGAATTGTATCTCCCAGAATTCCCACCTGTTGTGGGAGGGAGCCCGGAATAGGTAATTGAATCATGGGCTCCAGTCTTTCCCATGCTTTTCTAATGATAGTGAACAAGTCTCACAAGATCTGATAGATTTATTAAGGGTTTCCACTTTAGCTTCTTCCTCATTTTCTCTTGCCGCCACCATGTAAGAAGTGCCTTTCACCTCCCACCATGATTCTGAGGCCTCCCTAGCCATGAGGAACTGTAAGTCCAATTAACATTTTTTTTCTTCCCAGTCTCGGGTATGTCTTTATCAGCAATGTGATAATGGACTAATACAGTAAATTGGTATCAGTAGAGTGGGGCGTTGCTGAAAAGATACCCAAAAATGTGGAATCAACTTTGGAACTGGGTAACAGGCGGAGGTTGGAACAGATTAGAGGGCTCAGAAGAAGACAGGAAAATGTGGGAAAGTTTGGAACTCCATAGAGACTTGTTGAATGGCTTTGACCAAAATGCTGATAATGATATGATCAATAAGGTCCAGGCTAAAGTGGTCTCAGATGGAGATGAGAAACTTGTTGGGAACTGGCACAAAGGCGACTCTTGTTATATTTTAGCAAAGAGATTGGGGGCATTTTGCCCCCGTCCTAGAGACTTGTAGAACTTTGAACTTGAGAGAGATGATTTAGGGTATCTGGCAGAAGAAATTACTAAGAGCAAAGCATTCAAAATCTGACTTGGGTACCATTAAAGGCATTCAGTTTTAAAAGGGAAAGAGAGCATAAAATGTCAGAAAATTTGCAGCCTGACTATGTGATAAAAACGGAAAATCCGTTTTCTGGGGAGAAATTCAAGCCGGCTGCAGAAATGTACATAAATAGCAAGGAGCCTAATGTTTTTCCCCAACACTATGGGGAAAATGTCTCCAGGCCATGTCAGAGATCTTCAGGGCAGCCCCTCTCATTACAGGTCCTGAGGCCCAGGAGGAAAAAGTGGGTTTGTGAGCCTGGCCCAGAGTCCCGTGCTGTGTGCAGCCTAGGGACTTGGTGCCCTGTGTCCCAGCCACTCCAGCCGGGGCTGAAAGGGGTCAGCATATAGCTTGGGCTGTGGCTTCAGAGGGTGGAAGCCCCAAGGCTTGGCAGCTTCCACATGGTGTTGAGCCTGTGCGTGGGTGCACAGAAGTCAAGAATTGAGGTCTGGGAACCTCTGCTTAGATTTCAGAAGATGTTTGGAAACGCCCGATGCCCAGGCAAAAGTTTGCTGCAGGGGCAGGGCCCTCATGCAGAACTTCTGCTAGGGCAGTGCAGAAGGGAAATGTGGGGCACAGCCCCCACACAGAGGCCCTAGCGGGGAGCTGCCTAATGGAGCTGTGAGAAGAGAGCCACCATCCTCCAGACCCCAGAATGATAGATCCACCAACAGCTTGCACCATGCACCTGGAAAAGCTGCAGACACTCAATGTCAGCCCATGAAAGCAGCCGGGAGGGAGGCTATAGCCTGCAAAACCACAGAGGCGGAGCTACCCAAATCCATGGGCACCCACCTCTTGCATCAGCGTGACCTGGAGGTGAGACCTGGGTCAAAGGAGATCATTTTGGAGCTTTAAAATTTGACTGCTCCGCTGGATTTTGGACTTGCATGGGCCCTGTAAACTCCTTTGTTTTGCCCAATTTCTCCCATTTGGAATGGCTGTATTTACCCAATACCTGTACTCTCATTGTATCTAGGAAGTAACTAGCTTGCTTTTGATTTTACAGGCTCATAGGCCGAAGGGACTTGCCTTGTCTCAGATGAGACTTTGGACTGTAGACTTTTGGGTTAATACTAAAATGACTTAAGACTTTCGGGGACTATCAGGAAGGCATGATTGGTTTTGAAATGTGAGGACATGAGATTTGGAGAGGCCAGGGATGGAAAGATATGGTTTGGCTGTGTCCCCACCCAAGTCTCATCTTGAATTGTATCTCCCAGAATTCCCATGTGTTGTGGGAGGGACCCGGGGGAGGTAATTGAATCATGGGGGCTGGTCTTTCTCGTGTTATTCTTGTGATGGTTAATAAGTCTCATGAGATCTGATGGGTTTATCAGGGCTTTCCACTTTTGCTTCTTCCTCATTTTCTCTTACCACTGCCATGTGAGAAGTGCCTTTTGCCTCTCGCCCCGATTCTGAGGCCTTCCCAGCCGTGTCGAACTGTTAAGTCCAATCAAACCTCTTTTTTTTCCTAGTCTCGGGTATGTCTTTATCAGCAGCGTGAAAACAGAACTAATACAGTGGGTATTTTCCTGAAAGACAGCTTATCTTATGACTCTCCAGGTTATAACATCTTTATAGTTATTGATCCCTGAAAAAGAGTATTTTTTTTTTCTAATGGCTCCTAAAGAAAATTGCCTGTGAGGATTCTGGTTGCTTAAGGTGAACCAATCAGTGTTCTCAGGGGCAAAGAATGCCAGATTGACAAAGCTGGTTCCTGGGGACCACACCTGGTGGGGTGTAGGAGAGTCAGTGCTACTAAACTGCAGAGTAGGAGAAGGGGAGTTCTCCAAATAAGGAATAAATGCTGGCAGAGTCACATCAAAGCAGGTAAGAGATCGATGATTACACCATCATAGGCAGCAGGATCATGAGGGGGGAAAGGGAAGCAGGCAAGGAGTGATTCCAACATTCACACACATTCGGGAGCCAGGGGCAGGAATAAGGACCTCAGTGGGGTTGGACCCTGCAAATACACCTGAATTTATTTAACCATGCCCCTACTGTTAACCATATAGATTGCTTTCCAGCTTCCTTCTACATCAGTTACTGTTATGGTTTCGCTCTGTGTCCCCACCAAAATCTCATCTCGAATTATAATCCCCTTGTCTTGAGAGAGGGAAGTGATTGGAGCATGGGGGCAGTCTCCCCATGCTGTTCTCATGATAGTGAGTGAATTCTCATGAGATCTGATGGTTTAAAAGTGGCAGTTTTTTCCTGTACGCTCACTTCTCCCTCCTGCCACTTTATGAAGTAGGTGCCTGCTTCCCCTTCTGTCTTGATTATAAGTTTCCTGAGGCCTCCCCAGCCATGTGGAACTATGAGTCAATTAAACCTCTTTCCTTTATAAATTACCCAGTCTCGGGTAGTATCTTTATAGCAGTGTGAAAACAGACTAAGACTGTTACTCTGCTAAGAATTACTTTCTTTTTCATTTATTTTGAAGTCATATTTCTTTCTTTATGATTGTAAAATAAACATATGTTCACAATAAAATGCAGATATGTTCATAATAAAATGCAGAAAGATAAATATCTATATTTTTGCCATCCAGGAGCAACCAAATGTCTGCATGTGTATAAACACACATATACATGTGTATATATACATATACAAAATTAATATCATACTTCAAAATTTTTTGTGTATGATTTTATTTAAAACTAAACCAGAAAGATTTTCTGTCATTGAATAGTCTTTCATATCAGAATTCTAATAGCTACATATTTCATCATATAACTTTTATCAAAAATGTTTAACCATTTCTTGATTTGGGGACATTTAAGCTATATCCATTTCTCCACTATTATATCTATATTAGGTATAAATACATGTCTGCATCTCTAATTATTTCTTTTGCATAGATTTCTGGGAGTGGTGAAACTGGGCTGAAGTATGTGAACAACCTTATGAGTACAAACACGGACTAGCCTGGAGCCAGCCATAGCAAGGTGTAAGGTAAGGGGAAATGACTACATTCTACAAAGGCTCAGACAACGGGCATGGGGATGGTGAGAAGCCAAGAAGAACTAAGTTGAACATGAAGGCTATAGCACTTGCCTCATGAGGCAAAAAAATGAGATTTCTTTAGGTTGCTATTCAACTAGATTAAATCTTGTTAATAGATGAATTTTAGGGTTTCTTGTTTTAGTTTAGACAGCTGTCCCTAGTGGATTGACCCATAGCAAAACAAGCCCTCCTTCACCCCTCACCCTCGTTTCACTTCTAATTCAAGTTGAGTCTCATCTGCCCCCAGCTACTCAAGCTGTCCTCAAGGAGAATTACCCCCACCCAGGAATGCATATAGAACAAAGTGAAGAATTTTATTTACCAGGAATATTTCATGGTCTTTTTTCACACCACAGTCAGAGAAAGGGAGCACTTCTCAGAGCACTCCACAAACTGTTTCGTGGGAAGTAAGGAGAAACAGGGGTGGGGGCAAATAAAGAGCTCTCCAGTGTCCTAGGGCAACCTGGCAGAACTGGCAAGTAGGGGCAGGAGCCCAGTTAGCTACAGCTGGGAAAGTAGCACTGGGGTGAAGCAGGAGGTGATGAGGGACCACTGTGTGGACCAAAGGAAGTAGGAGAGATTTTTAGGGGCTGTCATGAATGAGCTTTGAAGAAAAAAACCATGGCTGAAGAGGATTTATGGGATGCTTTCTGGAAGGTGCTATATCTGGTCTGGTTCTTTATGAACACCAAGGGTAAAGATACGCATTAATCTTCAAGGCTTCCAGAGGCAACTTCATGCTTCTTTTGAATATGACTCTGTACAGAGACTGGCCCACATGAAACCTGGAATAACCTTTTAAAAGTGAGCAAAATATGAACCCACCATATTCTCCTTGGAAAGAGGAACCTACTCTGTTTTGCACAGGATATGTAAAATTTATTCACTACACTTTCTTCCTCTGTAATACTCCACTTAAACTCTTAATAAATTTCTATTTTGTGGTTGGATTGACTTGTCATGTAATTGTGGAATAGGTATTCTTTTGGTCTTTGCTCTATAAGTTTCTTTCCTCACCTTACCACATCTGTTAACTAGTAATAGCCCATTATTATGGCAAAAACCTTGCTTTACTTGTCCTTGTATACTCTACAGATTTGATCCAGAACTTTATACATAGTGTTGCAATATTTGTACTTGCTTGGTTATAGTGAAGGCAGAAAACAATAACAGTGACTGGAAGGAGAAATTTTTCAATTATTAAAGAAAAGAAATCTGCTTTGTCTTCTTTTATTCATCAAATCCATAAACATGTATTGAGGATTTAATACAGATGAAACTCTTATTTCTTCAGTCTATTGTACAATCTGTTATCCTATTCACCTCAAGAATAAGACTTTTCATTTGTTGATCATTTTAAAATTGGTTCTAAGCAAAGGACTTCCTGGAACGAAGAAGAAAGCAGAGTTTTGGAAGAAGAAAGTAGTTTTTCTTCCAAAGTCATGGCCTCTATTGTCCTGGGGAGTTCTAAAGGGCAAAGCACCCTTTTTGTATTGAGATGTTTATGGTTCCTTAATCAAGAAGTGCTGTGGCTGGATAATTAAGGTAGGTACTTGACTTAGTTTATCCTACCTGAGGATGAGAGAAAAGAACTGCAGAGGTCCAAAGGTTTGAGAAGGGAGGAGGCCTTAGGATACTAGCCTCAAAATGAAACAAGGTGTCTCAGAGGCAAGAGATGTCAGAATACCCTCCTCAAAGAAACCGTGGTCCTGAAGAAAACTGAGCAGGGACTTCAAGAATTAAATATATGTGTGTGCTCTACTACACTAGAGTAAGAAGACAAATGGAGTATGTATTAGTCCACTTCCATACTGCTATGAAGAAATACCTGAGACTGGGTAATTTATAAAGAAAAAGAGGTTAAATGGACTCCCAGTTCCACATGGCTGGGGAGGCCTCACAATCATGATGGAAGGTGAAGGAGAAGCAAAGCCATGTCTTACATGGTGGCAGGGAGGAGAGCATGTGCAGGGGAACTGCCCTTCATAAAACCATCAGATCTCATAAGACTTACTATCAGGAGAACAGCATGGGAAAACCCACCCCCATGATTCGGTTACCTTCCACTGGTCCCTCCCACAACACGTGGGGATTATGGGAGCTAGAGTTCAAGATGAGATTTGGGTGGGGACACAGCCAAACCATATCAGAGTAGAAGGAAGATAACAGAGTGGTGCTGTGCTCTTCAAATAATTATTGGTGTCTCCTTTCACCACGTTGACTTCCCACCAAAAACCTGGCACACAAACCAGACATCATCCTGTTTTCTGCTAGTCTCACAGGCCATATGAAAGCAGGCACTTTGTCACTAATAAGGGAATTAGGATTACTGGGGGAGAGACAGGGGGATATTGTAGAGTGATCAATCCTTCATGTTTGCCTGGGACCCTCTAGGCTTTAACATAGAAAGTCTAGTGTCCCAGGAAACTCTCAGTTCCTTTGAAAACCATACAGTTAACTCCTCTCACCTACCTGGAGTGGTCTTACAGAAAATTCAATTATGCATGGATTCATATACATACTTTTTTTTTACAACTTCAAAATGTCTAGATTGCATCTGCACAAATATCAGTTATTCAGTTATAAAACCAGAAAGGCAGTGAGTATTGGACAAGACCAAATATGGAAAGTGTGGGAAATCAGCTTGTGAATGAATTTGGAAACATCTCATTGCAAACACAGAAGGGGGCTATCTTGCCATGTTTTGAGGCAGCAAATATAGAAATATAGAGCATTTACTTTTTACTCCTTTAAAATATGTTGAATGCAGTTGATATTCTCTTTATTATGGATATAAGTTTTAGTATCAATAAAGGTTTTTGTTTGTTCGTTTTAGATATAATAAATGTAACTATTTACAAGGGATTTCCTTGGTTAGTTTGCAACCAGCCACCAGCCAGTGCTTCTCATAGTCTTCACTTTTTCAGGTGTGAATTATACTAACATGACATGAAGAATGCAAACCCTGTACTTAAAGAAGTGTTGTTTTTTCTTAATGTTCTGCTGAGAACCATCAGCTTCACATACTGCTGACACTACATGTTCAGGGCCTCTAACCTAAACCAGGCACTCGACATTGCCAAGTCCTCTCCACACTCTCCTCCAAATGCTAACCTTACCACTGCCTCCCCATCTTTTCTATAATAATTCACAGAGAACACAGGATGCACTAAAATGTCACCTCCTTGCCCTCCTACCAGAAGACCCTCAACTCTAGCACCACCCACACCTGTTTCACCCTTGCTCTGGTCATAGTAAAATAATGCTTTTCCTGTCCAAGGCTTATCCCCTACCTGTGCTGACTATACTGGCCCCCATCTCGGGAGCCCCAAACCATAAACTATCATCATCTCTGCATCCATATACTTTCAGCTGCTTTTTCTCTATGGCTCCCATCTTCAGCATTTGGACATAAGCAACTCACTTCCACCTGAAAACAAATTATTTTTCTATCCCAGTTGTTTTCAGCTCTGTCTGCTCATTAGAATCACCTGGGTGTTTAATACATTTATGGTACCCAGACTTTACCTCATAACAATCAAGTCAGAATTGCCAGGGGTTGGGGCCAAGCATGGAAATTTTTTCAAGCTCCTCACATGATTCTAATGTGCAGCCAGAGTTAAGAAACACTGATCTAACCTAATCTATCCCTCCACCTACCCTCATTTGTCCTCATTCATCATTAAACTTGACTTGCTGCCTCCTTTTTCTGACCGCTCATTCATGCCTCTACCACTATAATTTGGCTCAGTGCACTCCACTCCCCAATGCCTCCCAATGCCTCAAGGTCACTGAAGAACTTATCATTGCTAAATTCCTCTTTTCAGTCATTACCTTATTTGACTGGGCAGCATTGACCTTGCTAACCATTCCTTCCTTCTTGAAGCATTCTGCTTTTCTCTGCTAGCTTTCCTCTTATCCTCCTTGCCTTCTTTTATTCTTAGGGTCTTAGAATTCATCCTTATCCTTCTCTCTCTACACATTCTTGTTGGGCAATCTCATTCACTCTCTGGGCTTTCACTGCCATCCATATGTTAATGACTCCCAAAAAGCCTAAACAGCTTTCCTGGACATCCCTCTATCCAACTGCCTTCAAATAGCTTTATTTGGATATCTCAGTAGCACCTTCCATGCTATGACTGAAACACATTATTTCTTCATTGTTTCCTATTTCAATTTGTATCCAGTTGCCCAAATAATGTTGGCATTACCCTTGACTTGCTCTCTCAAACCCCCATCCAGTCAGCCATGTATCTTCATTTAGAAATGCTGACTAAATCTAGAAACCCTTAGACCTAAATGTGCTCTACAAATCTAAGCATTTTAATTCTATAAACTAGTCAGAAATAAATAACCCTAATAAAAACTCTTGGTGTATCTGTTGCAAGATTTATTATGTATTTATAAATACTATGGGCATATTAAATATTTGAAAATGTGTTATGATTTATTGTATACTGCTTACAAATTCTACTTGCTTTCCCTTTCTAAAAAGAATCATGCAGCTGTTCATTGAAAGAGACACATATTTTAGTTTTCTTGCACTGTTTCAGCTAAGAAGATGTGGTCCATATGTGATGGGAACCCTGGAGAAAAGATCAATTTTGGGGATGATACTATACTCCTGGTTAAAATTCTGTGACCATCAGATGTTTGTTCTCAAAGGGAACAATGCAAAAAAAAAGTTATAAAAGCTGTTTTTCTTACCCTTTTACTAAACCACAGTTACTAAAATATAAAATAAGTTCCAGTTACCAGTTCTAAGAGAGGCTGCTTTTCCATAGGACTCCTATGTGGCTTTTAGGAATTCTTGGGGTTAATAATTTGTCTTAACATCAAACCCTGCTTCATTTCTTTTTGTCCATCTGCACATTTTGCATGCGTAGAAGCTGTTAGTGCGCATATGTATCCCATCCTTTGCACATGGAATGAATATGCTTTCAAAAAGCAGGCTTATAAGAGTTCTAAAGGAGGCAGTGAGTACTTGGAGGGGGTCCAGCCTCATGCTGCAGATGGTGCCACTGCAGTGGGGAGGGAGGTGTAGTTCACAGCTCCAGATCAGCTGGTCTTTGCTCCATGGACCCTTTCTGCTCTTGAATGGATGGAAACAATTCTGTGCATTTACTACGTATAAGATGTTTTCACATGGCACTAAGTAGTAAATTCATGAAGGAAAACACAAGGCTATTTTTAATGAATGCAGAATAATGTCTGCTCCCCTTTATTTGAAACTTGGAGGAAAAAATTTAGTGTAAAGGCTAAAACCAGTGTCAGTGTTTGATAATAATGAAGAAGAAGAATAGTGATCATCAAACTTTCTAACTTGCTGTGAAAGGGGAAACAAGTAACAATGGGCCAGTTATGATCTTGGGAGTGTCTCAATTTTTTTCACGTAGCTCCACAGAAAGCCAGTTGTCTGTGAATGTAATGGTTTATATGGGTTTAAGTCATGCTACTGCCTGAGAAGGCTGCTAGATGGGAAGGAAGAGGGAGGGAGGATTTGATGTAAGAAAGAACATTTCAAATATTAGGATGGGATAGTTAGGGAGCATTTGGAATGTCTAATCTTGAATTCAGTCTTTTTTTACGCCTAAGTTTGTAGCTGTAAGTTAAAGTTGTAATAAATGTTGGGATTGAGAGCAAAGTAACCTTTGCTGGCTCCTTACTGGTTTTGACACTGAGCTCCAGCCACAAAGCAACTGTATTTGGGAATAGTGGCTGACAGCTCAGGTCAGGCCTGGAAACCAGAGGAAAGGGACAGAATTACTTTGGAAGATTCTTTTTACTTTTATCTTGCACTCCTCAGTGCCTAGCACATCTCTTCATACATAGTTGGCACTCAAAAATGTTTGTTGAGCTGATGATTTGCTACCAACTGGACAAACACAATAAAGGGAGGGGACAGAAGACATGGAGATACTTAATTGAGCTTGTGCAGATGAGCAAGAATTGCCCAAAATAGTTAAGAGTGACCCCAAGGGAGGGAAAGAGGAAGGAGAAGTGGCTGATGTGCCCTGTCTCAGATCTTTTGATGGGATGACAACACAAATGCTTTGATTCTCAGATAAGGCAAAGCAATGAGAATCAAATGTGATCTAAACCATTTACAAGGAAAGGCACAGTTTGCTTTGGAAGGATAATTTGGGGATGTCATATTTACACATACATTCATACTGGGAATGGACATCCTACTCAGTAGGGGTCACCCTTGATCCCTCACTAAGGTTTAGCCAGCTAGGAAGCAATGGAGTGGCTGCACCCTCCGAGTTACTTCTTCAACATAGGGTATTTCTCAATGGATTTTTTGAAGTACTACATTAATTTGGCAGTTGTTAAAACTGTGATGAAGTGGCTTTAGAGGAAGTACATTGAAAGCAAGACATAGTCTGTGCATCTTAAGACTGAAGCATCAGCTGTCAGACAGTCAGAGTGGCGGAAAGGGTCACCAAAGGTTAACACATTGTTTTATATGCTTATTCTTTGATAATCATTTTTAAGAATTATCTGTTATTCAGAAATGAAGGCTGATGAAATCTTTTATATTAAATTTATTTATAAGCCATCGAGTACCAACTCTGAGGGGCTGTTGAAGGGTGATTTGTATACAGAGGTTCGCAGCAACTAATAGAATAAATGAGGTTCTCCTGGGGAGGGTACAGAGAGAAAAGCATAGGGCTTGGGACAGACCAGGTGAGCTTATACCTTTTAGGGAAGCACAGAGTGATAAGCCTCAAAGAAGAGAGAAGGAACAGCCAGACAGAATCACAGGAGAACCAGCAGAAGCCGCTGGGGGATACAGAAATCATGGGAATTTCCAAAAAGAGGGAGTGAATTTTAATAAATTATAATAATGACATTTATAGATTTATTCCATTATAGTATTTTATTTTGCTAATTAACTTCTTAGTTCTGCACTTACCTAGATATTTTTGGGCTTAATGATCCACAAACATATGAAACCTACCCAGATGCTTCATGAGCATATACATTTTAAATAAGTCTACCATGACATGACTCCTGAATCAAATATTGAATCACATGGTCTGACAGTGAGGCAAAATATTTGACATTGGGTGGTGCTGGAAACTGTGAGTAAAGGCCAGCCATGGGTGTTTCCTCCCAGCCTTTGCTTTGACACTGAGGAATCATAATCATGATATCTTCATGGGGAAGCCTCTCCATCTCTCAGTAATTTTTACTTCCTATATAAAGACTACTTCCCAGGCCTTTATTCCTTTTTTAAAAAATAAAGATCTTTAGGATGATTTCTACTCTAAAATAGTACTCATTAGTACTTATTAGAGAAAATCCTCATTACAGAAAATATAAGAAATTGGAGAAAATTACTCATTATACCAAGATCCAGCCTCTGTTAATATTTTTAAGTGCTTTTCTTTACTGTTTTTTCTGTATAGACTTAAATTTTTCCTTTTTGCAGTTCTGCTTCTTATAAATATTCTATAGGTCAATTTTTTTCCTACTTGACATTGTATAATACAGCTTCCCACTTTATTATAATGTCCTCATAAAGATTGTTTTTAATGTTTGCATTACATAATTTAATGAGGTCCCTATGGTTAAACATTTGTATTAATTTCTGATCTTTACTATCGTAAGGAACTCTGCCTTTCGTGTATTTATTCTTAAAGCTTTTACAATTTGTCACAATATTTAATAGATTAAGAAATATGAACGTTTTTGAGGCTATTGATTTAATTTGCTAAATTACTTTCTAAGTCGATTCCCTGTGGTCTGCGATGAGCACAGGCTTTGGAGTCACATCAGGTTGAATCACAGCTCCCTGGGCTGGAGAGAGACACTTAGAGGCCTTCAGCAACTATAAGTGTGTGGGGCTACCCACACACTCATTTAGGAAACTCAAATAAATACAACACCTAGCTGAAAATCGGTTGTGAGGATGGCTCATAATGAATGTTTCCCTGTGGTATCTACTTTAATGTTTTTATTTTTTAACATGAAATTGCAAATTCTATTTAAAATTTTTTTCTCAAAAATATTTTTTGAGGGGGGCCTCTACTTGACCAGCGCTATTGGCACATGTTTGGTTCATTTATGGAATCGTCTTTCCACAAAGGGTCCTTTGTACCAGTGAGACCTCAGCAAGTCAGTGGATCTCTTTAATCCTTATCCTTAAACTGCAGATAATAATAATACTCATTTCACTGGAATAAGGGTTAAATCCATTTGCTTGCTTTGCATACTGCTTGCCATGTAGTAAGCACTGGATAAATGATAGCTGCTGTTATTATTTTTAAAGAGCTACGGGAGTTTACATTCTCAAATGCCAGCAAAGTACGGCAGTACTCACCATCAAAAAAATCTTTTGTCATGTAGTAGTTTTTAAAAAACAGATTCTCAATCTTGCTTAATTTACCTTTCTTTGCTTACTAATGAGGCTGAAACTTTTCCATATGTTAATTAATTGGTTATATTCCCATTTAGAATTGCCGAAACTTCTTTTCCAAGTGTTAGTTAATTGTTTATATTCCCATTTAGAATTGTGTGTTCTATGGGTTCAAACCTCAGTTCTTCAATTTACTTGCACTATTTAGGCCTTTGGCAGTGAGCAATGGAACACCCAGTTTCCACAGGACTAAATATTAAGGAAATGTACTATCTCCCAAAAGAGGAAGTCCCTAAATAGAGCTGCATGGGGGAAGGGATGAGTATGATTAGGGCTCAGACCTTTTTCCCTGAGATGGTGTGGCTCTGCCCCACCCACTTGATCATGAGATCATGCACTTGCAAACATTCAGTTAAAAAAAAAAAACGTGCTATAAGTTGGACATTTCTAGTTGATCCAGGTAGAAACGGAGGGTCAGAGATGTGTAGAGGCATGCCTAGTCACTTATCTAATGAGGCACCTTATGTTTTTGCCTATGAGACAGCTATTTCTTCCCAGCCCCACCTCAGCCAGGTTCATAATCAAACTCTGATTTCCTTCAGATAGCCACTCCTCCATCCTCCATCACCCTGTGTTCAGGTGAAGACTTCCATGTATCACACTTACACACAACAGCATCCAGAAACAAAAAAAGGCACTGTCTGTTTATAAGGGCAAAAAATTATTTTCCAAAGCCCCTGAGATGATTTCTCCCTCTCTTGTGAGCCAGAATTTGCCACATATCCACTCCTAATCACTGGAATCACACCTTCCATTCCACATTGAGACGATTCAGAACCCACTTCCTGGTCTGGGGAGGAGGCCAGACTCCCTTGAACACAGGGAAAAAGTACCTGCAGGGAATCAGGGTTCAATTATGAACCTGGCTGCGGTGGGGCTAGGAAGAAACAGTTATTTCGTAGGAAAAAACAAAAGATGCTCCATTAGGTGAATTACTATGCACACCCCTATATAACTCTGACCCTGAGTTTCTACCTGGGTTGACTGGACACATCCACCTTGAAGTGTTTTTTTAACTGAATGTTTGCAAAGTATCCAGCACAGACCTGGCCTGGGGTAGATGTTTAGAAATTATGTTTTTGCTGATTTCAATTCATATGCATGAGCATTTTACATAATAAGCTGTTTTTCATATTGATGCAAAAGTTATTCTAAGTTTATTGAGAATGTTTTAATTAAAAGACTAAAACACTTATAGAAATTTATAATGTTTGTGTGGTCAAGTGCACTATTTTTTTCTTTTTTACATTTCTTCCAACACTTTCAAGTTCAGAAACTACCCCCGATCCCTTTTTACTTCCTCTCACTTACAACTACTACAAAGGCATATATTTTTTCATCTTGGTATTTTAAATTTGATTTGTTATGTTCTTTTTACTCCATATTGGATTTGGTACGATGTTAACTATAAAATGAGGATCTATTCTGATTTATTTCCTAAACATGTATTCAATTGTTTCAGTATCATTTACTAAATAATGATTTAACTCGTAGATTTTGATGCCTACTTTATGACAGATTATATTCTCACAACATCTCTCCTCATGAAAACCAGAGGAGTAGGGAAAAAGCACCCCACCCACACCCTTCTACACACACTGCAACCAAATCTATCAATTTAATAATTGACAGTTGTATAAAATTTAGTCTTTTCACCTGGTCAACTATTCTTCATTTTCTCAAATCTTCCTTTAGCGCATTCAGTAGATTTTCTGTAGTTTTGAACCAAGCTTGGGTATTACCTGGACTGTGAACAACCTAACCGGGAGAAACATCCAACATCCTGCAGAAACCCCATGACCAGCCACTGCGTGCCACTTCGCCACTTTGACAGTAGCACCAGAATTTAAGAACTCCTTCAAACTACAGAAAATCAACTGAATGAACGAAAAGAAGTCCTCACAATGCTGAGTCAGATTATTATAGTTATAGTAATTCTTTCCAACACTTGTAATTTGTAGCTCTTAGAACAGCATGCTGGAGTTTCCATGTGGCTGCCCCATGATTTTGTCCATGACAACTTCCTTATTTTTTTTTTAGCAATAAATATAGTACAAATTTGCACACCTTTTTTCATGTTCAGTTACCCTATCATTAGTACACTATGCAGCAGAGACTGTATTTTTACAGCTATTTCTGTTCCCACCATTCTTCAACTCCAGCCGAACAGGATTATTTGTTAATCCTTAAACATGCTGTGTACTTTCTCCCCTCCATTCCTTTTTCTATGCCATTCGCTGAAGCTCACAAACACTATGCCACATCCTCTCTCCTCATCTTCTGTCCAAATCCAAACCAACAATGTTTGACATACAGGAAATAACCTAATAGTTAGATAAAGATATTTAAATTCAATAGAATATTATACAATAACCAAAAATGAACAAGAGGGAAAAGAGGAGGAGAAATGTTTACTAAAATATGCATAAACAAATTCTATGAGTAACTTGATTATAAATAGGTATGTTGGTCAGGCTTTGATCAGCATGACATAAGGGCTACAGGAACTAGGGTAGCCATGTCAGGGCCTAGATTCTGAGACTTGTCCTTGCTAAAACTAACTCTCTGTCTCTCATATCTCCTCTTCCATTTCTCATTGTTACTTTTTTCTACTTTACATAAGTCTCTTCCATCACAGACAGACTTTCTCCTTAGAGATTAAGGGAGGATTATGGCAGATAATGGCTACCAGAATTCACAAATCTGTGAGCCAGTCCTAAATTTTAAAAATCCCCCAGGGAGACTCTGACAGGTCAGAATTGACACACAGCCCCACCTTAGACCAATCACCATACTCATAGGAATGGCTACCAGGAGTGGTCAGACCTAGAACAAGAGCCCTTTCCTGTCATCAGAGATGAGGGTACCATGATTGACAGGCTCATCAGAATCACCTGTTGGAGTGGAGAAGCAGTAGTTTCCCAAAGGAAATGTGTGTGTATTGGAGTGGAAAGAGGGGAGCAGAAGATTAGAGCAGAAGCAGCCAAGGTGCTGAGCAGACAAGAAAAACAACAGTTGCATTCTACAAATTGGCATGCATGGCCATCTGTGAATTACCCCTGCCACTGCTACAGCCTCCTTTTTCATCACTCTGTACCTCTCATCCTGTGTTAGGGATATTCTGAACTAATTAGAGTTCTGTAACTTCTGGGCTCCACCTTTGCACATGTTGTTCCTTCTTTCTCTAAGCCTTCCTAGTCTTTCTGCCTCTACCTCGCTAATTCCAACTCATACTTCAGCTCATATTGCAGCTATCACCTGCTCTAAGAAGCCTATGAGGATTCTATACTTGCCCCCACTCAGAGTTTTAGAATCCCACACGTGCTTATAGTGCTTGAAGCTTACCTCTAGCACAGCTCATACCATGTCATATTGTGATACACTCCAGCTAGTTTAAGCAGAACAGGACTATTACAAGATCCAAGTTAGCTTACAGAATTTCTGGGAAGCTGGGGAGCCAAGCTTGGGTATTACTCGGACTGTGAGCAGTCAGGAGAAACATCCACAATGATGCAGAAACCCCATGGCCAGCCACTGCCTGCCACTTAGCCACTTCAATACTCCACCAGAATTTGAGAACTCCTGCAATCACTGTCCCTAGAGAACTGAGCACCTCTACTGCCCTTCCGGCCACCAGAAGAACCTGTGGCCACCAGCTCATAGTAGTTGCTTTCATCTTCCAAATCTCTGCTTGGCAGAAGCTCGGTCATGTGAAGAATCTAGATGCAAGGGAAACTGAGAAATGTAGTCTTTTTCATGACAAACAGAAGGTTGAGTCATTTTGAATGAGCCAATTTCCCAGTCTTCCACCAAACCTCCACAACAACAAATTTGTTGTTAAGGGCAAACCAATTTATGGTTGTCCTACTGTCTTGGTAAGTAGTTTCATTGTCTGTATAAGATCTTGTTTCCTAGAAATACTTTTAATTTAATATCCATTTTTATCTAGTACTAGTATTGCTAGGCCAGCTTTTTGTTGTTGTTGTTGTTGTCACTAATTTTCTGGTATGTCTTTTTTCATGCCTTTATTTGTAATTTTTCTGTGTTATTTTGTTTGAGGTACATAACTTATAAACAGATATATACCTGCATTTTTGAAAAGCCTATCTAAAAGTCTTATCCTTTAGTAGGTGAGTTTAAATCTGACAATTTATCTCTGACATTTTATATTCCCCATTTATGAAGTTATTTTTTCCTCCTTTTTTGCCTTCTTTTGGATTATCCTAATTCCTTTTCTTTTTCTTCAACAGGTTTGGAAATTACACATTCTAGTTCTAATCATTTAGTGGTTTTAACAGACTTAGGTTTATATATTTTAATAAAGTCAATAGTTAATCCATATATCTAGCTTCTTCCTGCACAAGACAGAGCAATGTGACTTCCCTCCTGACTCATCATTTTCCCCAAATGCTCATGTAATTATTATCTAGATTTTGGTTTAAAATGTTTTTCTCTGTGTTTGAAAAGAATCACACAGAAGACACCCTTCTGTGTGACCATGCCATCATCTTGATCTGGATATTACAATAGCCTCTTTATCTCTTCCTTTCTCTGAATTCTTCCTGGCTTTATAGCCTTTCACCCCCATTCTTGAGTCCCCATTCTGCATATCATTTCTTCCACAACTTACAAAGACCCCTAGTTCCCTCACTCCTTGCCTTGCCACTGCACCACCCTGCAAACCTTCAGTTTGGGAGAGGTGCCCATATGTATCAAGAACAAGAAAGCACTGAAGATTCTCAAGCCTTCTAACCTACTCCTGCCTTCTCTGTTTTAGCACGTGATCCTGCTTCCTACTTTGGAGGAAATAGAAACCATCAAGTAAGAACTCAACATTTTCCACTTCCTCCACCATAAATTTATCTATATCCCCACCCATATTTCCCCCTCAGTCTCACATGAAGGAATGACCTTCCTCCACTCCTAGGCTAGCTTTAGGACACAGTCCGAAATTACTACTCCTGTCTGCTGTATTTTCAATTCTTCTTTATTGTACCCCAGACAATACTAGCTAAATCGATACCTTGCTTGTAGTGAACATTTGATAAACATTTATTACATTAAATAAATATAAATAAATGAATAAGTTTGTCAGGTAAGATATTTACAAAATGGTCATAATAGCTACATTTTCATCTGAGATATTGTTAAGAATATGGAGATATTGTAAACACTCAGCAGTGTTACTTTTTGCAAATATTTGAAGATCATATCAATTTATGGAACAAATATCTGAGTCTTACAAGTGTCTTATTCTGCGTGCTGGGAAAAGAGAGTGAATAAGACAGACAAAGACTCCACTCTCATGAGGCTGACATTCTAGAGCAAGAAAGCAGGAAATAAATAAGTAATCAAATAAGATCATTTCAAATGATGGAAGGGGTTATGAAGAAATTAAAAGAGGGTAATGGTTAGGGAGTGGCATGTGTAAGAGAAAATTAGAAGGCCAGGCCTGTGCAGCAAAAGCATAAAGAACAAGGAGGAATAAAGTGTGAGATGAGAAAAGGAAGGCAGTCGCCAGACCATGATATGATTTATAGAGTCAATTGTAAGTGCATTGGGATGCCACTGACTTTTTATAACTGAAGAAAAACATTCATAATTATAGTGTGCACAAAAATTGTACAACTTGACCACACAATCACATACACACACACACACACACAGCTCATGAAACAACTATCCAGCCCAGTTCAAGATATAGAACAGTTCCAAACCTCAGAAGATTCCCTCATGCCACTTCTCAATCTAACCACCCCGTCCCCAGTCCCTAGCAAAGGTAAAGTCCAGTAACCAATAATTGGCCTTCTGTCAAGGCAGATTAGTCTTGCCTATTCTTGAACATAAATAAATAGAATCATACAGTACAGACTTTTGTACGTGTTCACTTGCTTAATCCGGGAGATTCATCCATGTTATGGGATGTGCCAGTAGTTCATTCTTTTCTATTACTTGTTCTATTTTGTTGTATGAATATACAATCATTTATCTATTGTACTGTTAGTAGACATTTAGGTTGTTGCCAATGTTTGTTTATTATAAATAAAGCTAGTTAAATAGTGTTGAAACTTTTGATGGACATAGGCACTCATTTATTCTGGTATATACCCAGGCGTAGAATTGCATATATTTAGCTTTATTAGATATAGCCAAACAATTTTCCAAATGTATCATATATTCCTTTTTACTAGCAGTGCATGAAAGTTCTAGCTTCTTTACATCCTCAACAGTATTTGGTATTGTCAGTCTTTTTAATTCTTAAAATTTTAGCTGTTTTGGTGCGTGCATAGTACAGGTTGAGCATCCCTAATCCAAACATTTAAAATCCAAAATGCTCCAAAATCCAAAACTTTTTGAGCACTGACACAACACCACAAGTGGAAAACACTGCAGAAAAATCACCTATAGATGACATGGTAAAAATCTATGATGGGCTTATTGAAGGACTAGAGTAGTGTGCATTCCTAACAGAGTAAGAATTCATGGCAATGTATAAAATCAGACTTCTAACACAAAAACCATAGTTAATGAGGCAGATGACTCTGGGGGAAATATTTTTAAAAGCCATCCAGCAGAAAGCCTCCTCATCCATAGAGGACCCACTTGCTGGTCCCTCAAGTGCTTCTGATGTTTCTTTTCACCTTTTAAAAAAGTGTATGTAGTAACCTTTTAAACAGAACACAGCATCATCGGTAGAGACTGAAAGCCTGCCATTGTTTGTTGTTGCTGTTGTTTAACAGCTAATACAGGTATTCTGTTGATGCTGCTGTTCTGCTTAGTTTCTGTAAACCACATTATTTTTTCACTGTATTAATATTATGTCATATTTTTTACAGTTAAGTGATTATGTGTAAATAAGTGTTAGAAAATGATTACTTATTGTTAGCATATAAATTCAGAGTCAGGAATGTTGGTGATGCCATGCAACCACAGACTGTCCACATGGGTGGCCAAGATAGTGACACCTTTGCTTTTTGATGTACACCTTGGCTTTCAATGTACACAAATTTTGTTTCATACATAAAATTGTTTAAAATATTATAAAAATTTATCATCAGGCTATGTGTATAAGTTATATGCAAAAAATTGTTAAAAATACATAAACGAATATTGTGTTTAGGCTTGGCCTCATCACAAAATACCTTATTATGTATATAAAAAGATTCCAAAATAAAAAAAAGTCTAAAATTCAAAATACTTCTGGTCCCAAGCATTTTGGATAAGGGCTACTCAATCTGTAATATCTCATTGTAGCTTTAAATTTACTTTCCTTGATGATAATAATGTTGAACACCTTTTAAATATTCTAATCATATATTTGAATTTAGACCACTGATAGTTTAGGCAGAAGTTTGATCTTATTCATATTTCTAGAGATACCTCTTGTTGCTCCATGGAGAATTGGCTGTAGGGAAATACAGTGGAAGTAGAGGTAACATTTAAAAAACTATTGCAGTAGTCCTTTCAGTAGATGTAAGTGGCTTGGATAAATAGTGGCAAAGGGGTTAGAGAGAAGTGAAAAGATGCAAGATATATTTTGGAGGAAGCCTAGCAAATGTACCTACCCACTGGCCATGGGGGAGAAAAGGAGGAATCAAAGGTGGCCTAAACAGCAGAATGAATGCTGGTACGTTTCCCATGATGTGGAAACCCCAGAGCGGGTCCATTGAATGTTAGGAGGAAAATTATAGGAGATGAAAGAAGAGACTGAATCATACCGCAGCAAACTATGCCAACCCCAAAGTAAAATTTAAAAAATTCCAGTCACAAACTGTGCTCAAAGAGACATTCTGGGCAGAGAACTGCAATGGACTTTGACTTGCTTCCTGTCTTGCAAATGAACTCTGTAGCACTGTGCAGTATGAGTTTGCCAGCAAAACTTATATGACTTATTTTATCACTAATGTCGGGTTTTTTGTTCTTTCCTTCCAAGAATAAATATGTCTCTACATAATGAAATGAAAAATCAAGAAATTTAAAATTAGATTAGTTTGGAAATTACTGGCATTTTTCTTCTTGTGTAAGGTCACTCTGCCCTTGCAGGCCAGTGCTGGGGAAGTGACACATTTCTTTCTCCATCCCACACTTCTGCTTATTTTCATGCCATAAAAAGCAGATCTTCAACATTTCAAACGCTTAGTGCATGTGCAAATATTTTTCTCCTCATTTAAGACTTTAAGTTATGTTATGTAAAAAGCAGCATGCCAGACCACTAGTTTACTAGGCCATTTTCATACAAAAAACAAAATTCTGTCTTTGCAGAAATAGTAAGCTGACTCTTCAAGTTGGCTGGTATTAGCCTGCCTGCTGCTTTTAGGTAGTGATTTTCAGTTCTCAAATCAGAGATAACTCTGCATAAAGAAGGACCTCATAGTTGTTAACAGCTTACTATAGATAGTCCCTGTGCTAAACATCAATCCTGTGAGGTATGCACTATTATTATCTCCATTGAACATATGAGAAAACTGAGTTCAGTAGCCTGTCCAGGATCACTTGGCTGATAAATAGCAGGGATGAGATCAGAACCCAGGTTTATCTGAATCTAAAACTGAAGCTTTTGATGGTTCCCAAGCGAGGACAGTGTAGGCTGGAAATTAAGTGAGTGTGTGCCAAAGCCAGCCCCCATGGATTTGCATCACAGCCCTACCATCTACTGGCCATGTGGCCCTAGGCAGTCTTTTCTGGGGACCATCATGGTACCTATATCATTGGATATTGTAAGAATTAATAAGTTAACATATATAAAACACTTAGAGCTGTGCCTAGGTTATGCTATGAAAGTGTTAGCTATCACTTAAAAAATAGCTTTATTGAGATATAATTCACATACCATTCAATTCAAACATTTATGGTCTACAATTCAATGGGTTTTAGTATATTGAAAGAATTGTACAATCAGGCCGGGCACGGTGGCTCACGCCTGTAATCCCAGCACTTTGGGAGGCCGAGGCGGGCGGATCACAAGGTCAAGAGATCGAGACCATCCTGGCCAACATGGTGAAACCCCATCTCTACTAAAAACACACACAAAAAATTAGCTGGGCGTGGTGGCACATGCCTGTAATCTCAGCTACTCAGGAGGCTGAGGCAGGAGAATTGCTTGAACCCGGGAGGCAGAGGTTGCAGTGAGCCGAGATCATGCCACTGCACTCCAGCCTGGTGACAGAGCGAGACTCCGTCTCAAAAAAGAAAAAAAAAAAAAAGGAAGAAAAAAAGAAAGAATTGTACAATCTTCACCACAATCAACTTTAGAACATTTTATCACCCCAAACAGAAACCCAGCACCCATTAATAATCACTCCCTCTCCCATCCCACCTCCAGCCATAGGCAACCACTAATCTACTTTGTGTCTCTATAGATTTATAAATCTATAAGAATCTATAGAATATAGATTGCTTATTCTGGATATTTCATATAAATGAAATCACGTATGGGTCCTTTTGTTTCTGGCTTCTTTCACTAACATAGCATTTCAAAGTTAATTCATACTGTAGCACATATCAATACTTCATTTCTTTTTATTGCCCACTAATATTGCATTGTGTAGGTATACCTCATTTTATTTATCAATTCATGGACATTTGATTGTTTCCACTTTTGGCTATTGTGAATAACGATGCTATGAACACTTGTATACAAATTTTTATGTGGACCTATGTTTTTATTTTTCTTGGGTATATATCTGTGAGTGGAACTATAGCTATTGCTTGTCACTGCTTCTGGCTTTGTATATGTGAATATGCAGAGGTAATTCTCTCATATAAACACAAGCCTTGGAGTTTTTACTCTAAATGACCTAATGTGGTAAGTATCCTTCCTGTTTCTTATCACAAATGAAGAAACTGAGACTGGGAGATGTGCCTTACTGGTTCTTGGTCTGCAGCTTTGCCCAGGCTATATCCCCTTTTGAGCATACCCCCCTGACTCTTCCCCTTGTCAATCCTTTAGGTTTGAGCTAAGGCCTTACTTCTTGCTGGAAGCCTTGCTTAGACCCCCTGGCTGGGGCAGGTACCCTGCTCTGTGCCTCCACGATGTCCTAAGGGTTGCTTTACCATCAGCTTTGTCACATTTTCCTGTACTACCACAACCAACCAGATGGTAAGATGCTAGGGAAGGGGCACTGTCTTCCTCAACTCTGTCTTCCATGCTAAGTACAAGGGCTGACATGCAGTGGTTGTTCAGTGGATGTTGATAGAAGTTAAGAAGGGAGGAAGGAATCTGGCCCAGATACATGCTTAAAAGTGATATCTCTGGTCTATCAGACTGATAAAATATTTTCTGTCACATCATATGGCCCTAGTTTGAATTGATAAAAAAGAAAAGCCAAGGAATGATTATTCAGATTGGAAAAAGAGTCTTTCCTTTTTTTTTTTTTAAATTTATTTACTTATTTATTATTATATTTTAAGTTCTAGGGTACATGTGCACAACGTGCAGGTTTGTTACATATGTACACATGTGCTGTGTTGGCTTGCTGCACCCATTAACTTGTCATTTACATTAGGTTTTTCTCCTAATACTATCCCTCCCCAACCCCCCAACCCACAACAGACCCCAGTGTGTGTGATGTTCCCTGCCCTTTGTCCAAGTGTTCTCATTGTTCGATTCCCAACTATAAGTGAGAACATGCGGTGTTTGGTCTTCTGTCCTTGCGATAGTTTGCTCAGAATGATGGTTTCCAGCTTCATCCATGTCCCTACAAAAGACATGAACTCATCCTTTTTTATGGCTGCATAGTATTCCATGGTGTATTTGTGCCACATTGCCTTAATCCAGTCTATCATTGTTGGACATTTGGGTTGGTTCCATGTCTTTGCCATTGTGAATAGTGCTGCAATAAACATATGTGTGCACGTGTCTTTACAGTAGCATGATTTGTAATTCTTTGGGTATATACCCAGTAATGGGATCGCTGGGTCAAATGATATTTCTAGTTCTAGATCCCTGAGGAATTGCAACACTGTCTTCCACAATAGTTGAACTAGTTTACAGTCCCACCAACAGTGTAAAAGTGTTCCTATTTCTTCACATCCTCTCCAGCACCTGTTGTTTCCTGACTTTAATGATTGCCATTCTAACTGGCGTGAGATGGTATCTCATTGTGGTTTTGATTTGCATTTCTCTGATGACCAGTGATTATGAGCATTTTTTCATGTGTCTGTTGGCTGCACAGATGTCTTCTTTTGAAAAGTGTCTGTTCATATACTTTGCCCACTTTTTGATGGGGTTGTTTGATTTTTTCTTGTAAATTTGTTTGAGTTCTTTGTAGATTCTGGATATTAGCCCTTTGTCAGATGGGCAGATTGCAAAAATTTCTCTCATTCTGATGGCAGTTTCTTTTGCTGTGCAGAAACTCTTTTGTTTAATTAGATCCCATTTGTCAATTTTGGCTTTTGTTGCCATTGCTTTTGGTGTTTTAGGCAGGAATCCTTGCGCATGCCTATGTCCTGAATGGTATTGCCTAGGTTTTCTTCTAGGGTTTTTATGGTTTTAGGTTTAACATTTAAGTCTTTAATCCATCTTGAATTAATTTTTGTATAAGGTGTAAGGAAGGGATCCAGTTTCAGCTTTCTACATATGGCTAGCCAGTTTTCCCAGCATCATTTATTAAATAGGGAATCCTTTCCCCATTTCTGGTTTTTGTCAGGTTTGTCAAAGATCAGATGGTTGTAGATGTGTGGTGTTATTTCTGAGGCCTCTGTTCTGTTCCATTGGTCTATATCTCTGTTTTAGTACCAGTACCATGCTGTTTTGGTTACTGTAGCCTTGTAGTATAGTTTGAAGTCAGGTAGCGTGATGCCTCCAGCTTTGTTCCTTTTGCTTAGGATTGTCTTGGCAATGCAGGCTCTTTTTTGGTTCCATATGAACTTTAAAGTAGTTTTTTCCAATTCTGTGAAGAAAGTCATTGGTAGCTTGATGGGGATGGCATTGAATCTATAAATTACCTTGGGCAGTATGGCTATTTTCACCATATTGATTCTTCCTATCCATGAGCATGGAATGTTCTTCCATTTGTTTGTATCCTCTTTTATTTCGTTGAGCAGTGGTTTGTAGTTCTCCTTGAAGAAGTCCTTCACATCCCTTGTAAGTTGGATTCCTAGGTATTTTATTCTCCTTGTAGCAATTGTGAATGGGAGTTCACTCATGATTTGGCTCTCTGTTTGTCTGTTATTGGTGTATAGGAATGCTTGTGATTTTTGCACATTGATTTTGTACCCTGAGACTTTGCTGAAGTTGCTTATCAGCTTAAGGAGATTTTGGGCTGAGACAATGGGGTTTTCTAAATATACAATCATGTCATCTGCAAACAGGGACAATTTGACTTCCTCATTTCCTAATTGAATACCCTTTATTTCTTTCTCTTGTCTGATTGCCCTGGCCAGAACTTCCAACACTATGTTGAATAGGAGTGGTGAGAGAGGGCATCCCTGTCTTGTGCCAGTTTTCAAAGGGAATGCTTCCAGTTTTTGCCCATTCAGTATGATACTGGCTGTGTGTTTGTCATAAATAGCTCTTATTATTTTGAGATATGATCCATCAATACCTAGTTTATTGAGTTTTTAGCATGAAGCACTGTTGAATTTTGTCGAAGGCCTTTTCTGCATCTATTGAGATAATCATGAGATTTTTGTCTTTGGTTCTGTTTGTGTGATGGATTATGTTTATTGATTTGCATATGTTGAACCAGCCTTGCATCCCAGGGATGAAGCCAACTTGATCTTGGTGGATAAACTTTTTGATGTGCTGCTGGATTCTGTTTGCCAGTATTTTATTGAGAGTCTTTGCTTTATTAAACCACTTAGAACAATCTTCTTGTAAATAGTGAGCCCCTGGGAAAGTGTTGCTTGAAAGACAGGGTGTGTGTCACAGTGATACCCAGGATGCTTTTAGGGGTATACGGAGGACATTTTTAACTTCACAGTCTATTATTTATTTCATATGAATATAGAATATAGCTATATTATATGAATATAGCTAGGATATAAGACCCACAATATCATTTTTAGGAGCAGGCTAACGTCTTTTTTTTTTTTTTAAATTAAGACTATCCTCTTTTTTTTTAATGGAGCCTTGCTTTGTCACCAGGCTGGAGTGCAGTGGCTCCATCTTGGCTCACTGCGACCTCTGCCTCCCGGGTTCAAGAGATTCTCCCTGCCTCAGCCTCCCAAGTAGCTGGGATTACAGGCGCCCGCACCATGCCTAGCTAATTTTGTATTTTTAGTAGAGACAGAGTTTCACCATGTTGCCCAGGCTGGTGTCAAACTCCTGACCTCAGGTGATCCACCCTCCTTGACCTCCCAAACTGCTGAGACTATTCAAAATATCTATTAAGTAAATAATGGTCCAGATGAAACACAGATATAGGAAATCTTGTATAGGTGGTAAAAATAATTCAAGTTTTAGAACACCATTTAACATTTAAAATGTGAAAAGTTCTAAGTACAAAGTGTACTTTATAAAGCAGTGTATGTCCAGGTTGACTGAGCACACAAATCACCTCAAATATTGCTACAAAGGAGATTTTGAGTCAGCAGACCTGGAAAGGGCTCTGAGGCACTGTATTTCTAATAAGTACTCAGGGAATACTGATACTGCTGATCCAGGACCATACTTGGTTATAAAGCACAAATGAAAGTATAAAGTAATAACAATAATGCTACCTGCTACCTTTTGAGTTCTTCTATGCACTAGGTACTCTCTCTCTCTATATATATATATATAAAATATATATTATATTATATATATTATATATTTAATATATAATATATTTAATATATAATATATATATTGTGTGTGTGTGTGTGTGTGTGTGTGTGTGTGTGTGTTTTATAGATGTCAAACTTAGCAGTATTCACAAAAATCCTGCAAGGTAGTTATTAATATCTCCAGTTTACAAATGAAAATTAAAAAATCAGAATAATACTACCTACTACCTTTTAAGTCCTTCCACGCACTAGGTACTCTTCTAGGTGTCTTGTAGATGTCAAACTTAGCAATGTTCACAAAACTCCTGCAAAGTAGTTATTAATATCTCCAATTTACAAATGAAAATTTAAAAATCAGAAATGGCTTGACTTTTAGACACAACTTTCTTTCCTCCACAAAGCAGGATACACAAGCAGCAAGGAAATGATAATATCCTTGTCCCTATTATTGTCAATCAAGCTAGAGGGGCCTGAACTACTGCCTTGATTTTGGCCAGTGCAAGTTCTCAGCATTTGTTCCATTCACATGTCCTGTCTGTGACCTCAGTGTAAGACAGAAAGTAATCTGGTCTAAGGATCAAAGCCTGAAGTTTTCCCATTTCCCCACTTTCAAAACAAAATAGCTCTGGGAAAGGGATACATTTCTATCCCATGGTTATAATAAAGGAAAAAAAAACCTACTAAAGTCCAACTTGGATTAAAAAACATTCTTAAAACAAGTAAAAATAAACATATACACACATACACATAAACATATACATGTTAATGCGCAGAACAGTTTCAGCTGCCTGCAGGGAGTTTTGTTGTTGTCTCCAGTTAATACTACTAATTCATTTTCACATGGGTACTCTGTGAGTTAAACACTTTACATTTATATGTTTTTTTTTTTTGTAAAGATTCCAACATGCCTAATTAAGAATAAACCCAAGGGAAAAAAAATAAAACCAATGATTTCCTTTCAGAGGCTTCCAGGGCCCTTTGTGGTGTGGTAGGGGGAAGGGAAGGGAGTCTCTATTGCTAGTCACAGGCTACTAAGGTGCCTACCATAAAAGCCTTCATGAGGGAATGTTATGCCCTACCTGGATAAATAGCAGATTTCAAAAACCTAAGGGCTTGGGCTCAATCTGGCCTGTTTTGTGTTTTTGTGTTTTTGTTTTTTTGTTTTAATTGGGAAATGTCCTTATAAATCTGGGCATCTGGGTTTTCTGGAAAAATTGGAAGACCTGGAAACAGCGGGCCCAGATTCCTGCAATAGCTTCAGTTACTTGCTGCAAGGAGCAGCTGTTCCTCTTCACTTTCCCAGCAGGCTTCACTCATTTCCATTACCTGCCTGGCCGTGGAGGCTACTGAGTTTGGAATACCTAGTTTATAAGTAGAGTTTATGAACAGCCAACCTTTGCTCTCCTCATCATTATCCTAAGAAAAATCTGTCCAAGCAACTATGTGTTGGGACAATGAAAAGCAGTGTCCTTTTAACAAAGTGAAAGCAGCTGGTTCATGCAAGAATTATTCATTAACTTCGTGGAAGCCAATGTGTCCAGATTTTAAATAATCTGTGTTGTTCAGATATGCAAGTGATAAATCCCCTGTGTTCCCCTCCGTGTCGTGCAGCTGGTCGTCAGCTGGTATACTCTTGGACTATTTCCTGTGAGGATCATATTAAGTGATGGGAGTCTAGAGGTGGCTCAGCGATTATCCTATCTAGTTTGCTGGTAAGTGGGAGTTGAACTCCCCAGGTCCAAAAAGGTCAACAGAATGAATGGATGGTATATAGATATATGGTGGGGAGAGATGATACCCAGAAAACTGAGATACTTTTTTAAAAAGCAGATACTTTCTCATGCTTGATTTAGAGGTGGAGAACATTACAGTCCTCTAATCTGTTATTCATTCAATAAATATTTATTAAGCACCAACCGTATGCTATGCACTGTGCTAAACAGGGAACACAACAATGAATGAGACTGAATCCCCTGCCCTGGAGAAGTTCAGTCTGGAGGTGGTTATCCAAATATATGCACCTTGATAGCTACGCGAAAACTGACTGATGCCACCTTATAGGTGGAGCAAAGACCTGTCCATTGTGTCATATTCCTAATCCCAGAGAGATTCCACAATATTCCCATCAGTTTCATTCCTGCTTCTACAAACAGACATATATATTTCGCTTTGAAAAAGCAGTAGCACAGGTGGGTAGGGCAGACCAAACTGGGGCTGTGCTGAACTGCAAACGAACTGTCACTACTCAGGTACGGCCAACTCTTAGTAGGCAGGAACGCTGCAAGGTTGCCAGAATGTTGGGGTTTGTGAGGAAAGCCAGAAATTGGATTTTTTAATATGACATCTTCTTTTTTGATAGTGTTTTAAAACATTTTAAAACTCAGTGTAGATTAACAAAAATGGGCTTTCACGCAGGTTTAATTAGGGAGTCCCAAGACTATGACCTCTGATTTCAGGAGTCCCCGTGCCTAACCTTTTCATTGTATTTAACATCGCATCTTACCAAGAACAGGAAGCCTGGAATTTGTTTTTTCCAGGAAGTCCCGTTGGGTCTCTCATGTTTTTGAAAATCCAACACGTTGAAATACTCAGACTTCCTGTATATCTCTTTCATTTCTCTCTCTCCTCCCTCCTTCCACTGCCTCTCTTTCTCCCTCTCTCTCCCTTTCTCTCACTCTGTTACCTAAAAATAATTATCTTAATTAAAAGAGTGGTAATTTGAACACATTTATCAACAAGTTATTCTTTAAGGGTAACCTTTGAAATATATAAATAATTAAAGACATCATTTGATTCTTCTGACATGAATCTTTAACTTTTCATATTCATGTCACTCTGGCTTGGAATCAAAATCCTTCGCCAGACACTTGTCCTTTACTTTTGAACTGGTCTTGAGCTAAAATGCCCCTGAGTGACTTATCATTCAATGCTTACAAAGACTTCATTCTGTATTATTCACAGGTGTTCCATTCACCTTGCCCAGACAGTATAAGGTAATTACATGAATGGTTTTGTTTGTATCTCCCGGTTCTCAGAGCTGCTTCCTTTTTATCTGACTGTAGCTAAAGAGAAATAAGATAGAATTGAGAGGGTAAAGCCTCCCTGGCTTTTCTTTTTATTCAGAGAAAATATTTTCATTCTTTAACTATTCACTGCAATTTCTCACCTCATTAGGACCTAATTTATGGACAATAAGTAGAATTAATTTTACTTAGTAGCCCTGGATTTCTGACTTTCCTTAGCAACATCCCAGAAAGTCTTCAGCTTTAATAATGCTTCGCCTTCCTTGCTTTTCTAGAATCATATTCTAAAAAGACAAAGCAAAACAGATAAACCAGTGTCCCTAATACAATATATTCATTTAAAACATTCTAACATCTTGGGATGCTCTGATACTTGGTCTTATTTTTCTAATCTCCTTATATTTACCATCAAAAGTATATGTGTTGAGCATGGTACTAGTATAAAAAGCACATAGACCAATGGAACAGAATAGAGAACTCAGAAATAAGCCCAAATACTTACAGCCAACTGATCTTCGACAAAGCAAACAAAAACATAAACTGGGGAGAGGACACCCTTTTCAACAAATGGTGCTGGGATAATTGGCTAGCCACATGTAGGAGAATGAAACTGGATCCTCATCTCTCACCTCATACAAAAATCAACTCAATGGATTAAGGACTTAAATATAAGACCTAAAACTATAAAAATTCTAGAAGATAACATTGGAAAAACCCTTCCAGACATTGGCTTAGCAAGGATTTCATGACCAAGAACCCAAAAGCAAATGTAATAAAAACAAAGATACATAGTTGGGACTTAATTAAACTAAATAGCTTTTGCACAGCAAAAGGAACACTCAACAGAGTAAACAGACAACCCACAGAGTGGGAAAAAATCTTCACAATCTATACATCTGACAAAGGACTAATATCCAGAATCTACTAAGAACTCAAACAAATCAGTAAGAAAAAGGAAAAATCCCATCAGAAAGTGGGCTAAGGACATGAATAGACAATTCTCAAAAGAAGATATACAAATGGCCAACAAACATATGAAAAAATGCTCAACATCACTAATGAGCGGGGAAATGCAAGTCAAAACCACAATGTGATTTCACCCCACTCCTGCAAGAATGGCCATAATCAAAAAATTTAAAAAAACAGTAGATGTTGGCATGGGTGTGGTGATCAGGGAACACTTCTACACTGATGGTGGGAATGTAAACTAGTACAGCCAATATGGAAAGCAATGTAGAGATTCCTTAAAGAACTAAAAGTAGAACTACCATTTGACCCAGCAGTCCCACTACTGGGTATCTACCCAGAGGAAAAGAAGTCATTATACAAAAAAGAGACTTGCACACACATGTTTATAGCAGCACAATTCACAATTGCAAAATCATGGAAACAACCCAATGCCCATCAATCAACGAGTGGATAAAGAAACTGTGGCATATATATATACGATGGAATACTACTCAGGCATAAAAAGGAATGAATAAACAGCATTTGCAGTGACCTGGATGAGACTGGACACTATTATTCTAAGTGAAATAACTCAGGAATGGAAAACCAAACATCATATGTTCTTATTGATATGTGGGAGCTAAGCTATGAGGATGCAAAGGCATAAGAATGATATGGACTTTGGGGACTTAGGGGGAAGAGTGTGGGGGGGTGAAGGATAAAAGACTACAAATAGGGTGCAGTGTATATTGCTCGAGTGATGGGTGCACCAAAATCTCACAAATAACCACTAAATAACTTGTTTATGTAACCTAATACCACCTGTACCCCAATAACTTATGAAATAATATTTTTTTTAAAAAAAGGAAAAAAAGTATATGTGTTGAGTATTGCCAACACTGACTCTCCTCTGGAAATACCTTGTCCATCAGGAATTTAAAAGTGATGGTTTTACCATTATGACTTCAAGCTGAGGCCTTAGTAGTTAGTAATGCCTAAATGTGATCTAATTTTCTGATAATGAGGAAAGTGACAATTTACAGAGCCCAAGACAATAATGGCAGCTGGCATTTTTTAAGTTGCTTACTACATGCCAGCATTTTTCAAATCACTCTGCCTCTCAGCTCATTTAACTACTGTTATCATCCCATTCTTATAGGTGGCACAGCTGAGGCATGAGGAGGCACTGTAACTTGCCCAAGGTCACAGAGGTGATGGCAGAGCATGTATTTGAATCCAGGCCTCTGGCCCCAGTCTGTAGCCTTAACTAGTTGACTGCCCTACCTCCTGGAATTGGGATAAAGCAAAGCAGAGATATAGTTAAAGCTGATGTGTTTTTCCCTTACAAGTTTGCCTTGAGAACATTTAGTTCTTTCTTTTGTCCCAAATTCTTCATTTGTAAATTCCAACAGTCTATTTACCAGAATGTTGTGGCAGCTCATTATTTAAATGTGTTCATAGTTCCTTGCAAGAAAGGCTACATAAATATTACAGAACTGTTTTAAAAATATATGAAATGTGTTCGCCTGAATATATGACGGTTGTATTTCTCACTATAAATAAATAAATGAGTGCTGATTTTCTAAGTCCTAAGGACGTGGTTGCACCAGGTCCCTCTTCATGAGCTCACAGTCCAGGCTGCTGAGGCTATGGGGCTGAAGGTCAGACTCTGTCCCAGGTGACTGTCCCCTGAGGCCTCAGGAAAGTGCCTCCCGGGCAGTGGCTAGGCCTCCTCATGCCTTTGCATTCAAACCTTATACAATGCTGAGTGCCATGGGAAAAATATGAAGAAGCAGCGAGAAAATGGATAAATTGTGGTTCACTCACACAGCGACATACTAACTCAGCAAGCAAGAAAGAATGAATTAAATAAATGTACAACATGGATGAATTTCACAAGCACTGATGTTGAAAGAAGCAGGCATAAAATAATACATATTATATAAATTTATTTATATAAAGTTTAAGAACAGGGAAAACCTGGAGTGGTAAGTGGAGCATGTACAGACTAAGAAGGATATCAGAGAAATTTGTGGAGTAGAGAAAATGTTTTGTGTATTGACCTGAGTGTGGTTACATACAGATTCATACATATGTAAATATCAAAAGGTTGTACCCTGTTGATTAGCATACATTATGTATATTATGTATACATAACCTCAATAAAAAATAAAATGAAATAAAAATTACATAGAAGACTGTCAAGCTGAAATCACCTTCGGATTTGAGGCCAGCACTGAAGGCAAGGACCAGCTCACAATAGGCTTTGAATGCCAAGCTAAGCGGTTCGGACTTCATTTAGGAAGCCCAGGGGTCTAGTGAAGAAATGACAGGATTGATTTCTAGTGTTGAAAGCTCATTCAGCATCGTTCTGTATAGAGGGAGCCCTGCAGCTGGGGCAAGGCAGAAAGCAAGGAGACGAGATCACCCTAAAATTCCTCTTCTGGGAAAAACCTAATTATAATCCTATCAATTTGGTGAGTGCACACTTTCTTTAAATAGAAAATGTTCCCCCCATGAAGTCGGGGCAGGAGAAGGAGGTAGCTACATGTATTCACCTTGCTACACTTGGCACGCTGACAATTTAGAACTGTTTTTCACCACGCAGGCTCATAGACCCTTCATGCTCCCCAAGGCAGGCCTTTCTGGCTTCTTGCCTTTCTCAGCTTCTCACACTTCCCAACCCCCAACCCCTGTCATTGTCACAGTTTTCTTCCTTTCCTCACAACAATTGCATGGAGGAGGACAAGGTGGTTACTGCTGGCCACGCTGACCTAAATAAAATGCAGGGGTCACAAGGTCATTTCCATGGGGATTGTGTACAATTTGCATACTCTCAGTCAGACATGCTGTCAAAATCCAAGCAATTTTCCATATTAAATATTGGTCACTTAAAAATTAACATTATGAAAAATGGAACTGGGCATAGATAATTTTTAATGTATCTATATCATAGCTGCAGGTCTTTTTACTTTTTTATATTTGTTTGGAGCTGTTTCCATTTATTTAATAAATATTTTTAATATAAAACTGCTTAAAGAATATTTATTTATGCATTTTAAAGACATACACATAGGAGAATGCTATATCAGTAACCTGGGCTCTTTTCTGTAAGCTACTTCAGGTACACTCTCGTATTTTTCATCAACACTAAAGTATCCACTTACAAACCATTAAATGAAGTAGGATATTTAGACTTAAAATCAACACATTTCAGCATATGTAGGTCTCTAATTAAAAAAATGGCCAGGTACAGTGGCTCATGCCTGTAATCCCAGTGCTTTGGGAGGCTGAGGTGAGAGGATTGCTTGAGCTCAGGAGTGTGAGACCAGTGTGGGCAACACAGCAAGACCTCATCTCTACTAAATATTAAAAAAAAAAAATCAAGCACGGTGGTGCTCACCTGTGGTTCCAGCTACTCAGGAGGCTGAGGTAGGAGGATCGCTTGAGCCTGGAAGATTGAGGCTGCAGTGAACTACAATTGAGCCACTGCATTCCAGCTTGGGTGACAGAGTGAGACCCTGTTTCAAAAAAAAAAAAAAAAAGTGTGTGTGTGTGTGTGCGCGCGCGCGCGCATGCACTGGGAAAGACAGGATAATGAGAGAACAATGTTGAACTTGATCACATCCCTAAGAAGGAAGAAGGAAAAAATTGATGGTAGGTGGTCAGCTTTGTGCACTAGCCACTAATTGATACTGTACTGTTAATCTAGGATGACTCGGTCACTGCCTAGATTGATGGAAATGGGAGGAAGGTTGAAAGGCAACTTAGATATATGAGATGGTTTTTTAAAAATGAAATTAATGCAAAAATTCAATGATGAACAAACTATAAAAATTTAAATAACAGGATCTAACCCTGCATTTGCATGACCTTGTCTCATTTGCCTCACCCTAATCCTGGCCCTGGTTCCAACAAAACTTTATTTACAAAAATAGGCAAGTGACCTGTGAGCCATGGTTTGCCAATTTGGTTTTTTAAAGCATTGCATTAAAATAAAGTCATGAATTGCTTAATGATCGGGATACATTCTGAGAAATTCATCACTAGGTGATTCTGTCATTGTGCAAACATCATAGAATGTAGTTACACAAGCCTAAATGGTATCGCCAACTACACACACAGGCTATATGGTATAACCTATTCCTCCTAGGCTACAAACCTATACATTACGTTACTGTACTGAGTACTATAGGCAGTTGTAGCACACATGTTGTTTATCTACACGTATCATTTAGGCTACACTAAGTTTATTATAAAAGTTTTCTCTCTTCAATAATACATTGACCTTGGCTAGCTGTAACTTTTCTACTTTATAAACTTTTAATTTTAAAAAACTTTCAGATGTATTTATAACAACACAGCTTAAAACACAACACATTGTACAGCTGTACAAAAATATTTTCTTTATATCTTTATCTCACAAGCTTTTTTTTTCTATCTTTAAAAGCTTTAAAAAAAGTTTTTAAACATTTTTTTTTGTTGTTGTTAAAAACTAAGACACAGATGTACTTAGACTTGGCCTACACAGAGTCAGGAACATCAATATCACTACCTTCCACCTCCACATCCTACCCCACTGGAAGGTTTTCAGGGGCGATAATACACATTGAGCTGTCGTCTCCTATGATAACAATGCCTCCTTCTGGAATACCTCCTGGAGGACCTGCCTGAGGCCATTTTACAGCTAACTGTTTTTTAATAAGTAGAAAGAGTACAAAGAGTACACTCTAAAATAAGGATAAAAAGTGTAGTGTAGTAAACCAGTAACATGGTCATTTATTATCATGATCAAGTATTATGTACTGAACATGATTTTGTTGCTATACTTTTATATGACTGGTAGTGCAGTGAGTTTGTTTACACTAGCATCACCACAAATACATGAGTAATTTGTTGCACTAGGACATTACGACAGCTACAATGTCCCTAGGTGATAAGAATTTTCAGCTCCACTATAATCTTATGGGGCCACCAACTGATAAAATATATTTAAGGTATCTTTATATTTTACATGTGGTTCATCATTGACCAGGATGTTGTTATGTGGACTTATATTTTTTACCTTGATTACTGAGTATTTTTTGCATTACCTTAAACTGTGTGTCTAAGGTGAGTACTTTATTCACCTCACCCTGATCCTGGCTTTGAGTGGAACTGGTAAATTGTGACTTCCTTTCAGGTTAAAAGACAAAGAAGTTTGAATGTAAAACAAAGTTATGCAAAATTTATCATGTAAAACAAAATGAAGTTACACGTGCATTATGTTTATGTAATTCCTCTTACATATAACTGCCTTAGACTCCAGATAGTACAATTTTTATGAGTGTGAGAGAAGACGGACCCCATGGTACCTTCTAGTCCCAGGTGGAGTAGACCTAGGCACAAGAATCCACCAGATCAAAAGCTCTTTCAGCCAATCAGGAGCAAAGGAGCAGTGCCAATAGATCCAGAGCTGACACTAGGGTTTCAACAATTCCCACAGTACTTTATTGTGTAGTATCCTCTAAGCTCATATTTTTGTGGTATGTCTAAGGTTTGTGTCTCCTGAAGCTTCATGTCAGAGCTACTTGATAGTCGTAAGCACACATTATGGTTCAAAAGCAACTCAGGGTTTCAAAGAAAACCACAGTCTACAGATGAGGTCAGAATTTCTTCAGGGTGTAAGTGGTGATTTGTCTCAGTCTCATGATTTTCATGTACTCATTTCCCAAATAACTCCAGTCTCAAAGAGCGCATCTGAAATGTTACACCTCTTGCAAGAAAGTACAGTACAGTGATTCCCTGTTCCAGGACATTATATGCTTTAGTGAGTCATTAACAGAATATTTCATTTTCCTACTAAGGTGTCAACTAAACTCATAATCCCTTCTAGGGTCAGCATGATTTCCTTCTAATTGATTTAGTACATACTTAAAGATTTCCTGATGTCCAGTTCTGGGAACATCACCATCCATGGGGTCATCATGAAAGTGGTCACAGTTGTCTTTAAAATCTGCAAACAGTTCTCAGAACAGTTAATGTGATGTTTATGCACATCTACCCCTAGAAAACCAAACTATTAATTTGCTTGTGCGGGAACACTTTGGGCTCATCTGTACAGTCATTTATTTTGGGGCAAGTTCATTCCTTGCCATGAGAATTTTAACTATTTATGTTATAGCTTTTGGACTTAGTTGTTGTCAGTTGGGATAATTGTATCCAGTAAACCTTTTTTTCTTCTCCCCATTTTTTTTTTAAAGTTTTCTTTTGTTATTATTGTTGTTGACTTTGAACATATGGTGAGGTTTTTTTTCTCTTTATATTTTACCAGCTAACTTATTTGATATATTACAAATAAGTAACACAAAGTACATAGTAATTTACTAAAGAAGAAAAAGTTAAGTCACATTGAGTTTCCTGGAGACAAAGAACACCCCTTTCTTTTCTCTCAGGCCATTTGGGATATAAAATTAGAACAAACCTAAGAACATGTTGGTATGTATCTTTGTGCTTTGGTTGCCAAGTACAAGAGGTGAAACATGTCTCCAATAAATAACTTTGGGGGTACACACTCGTGCTGGACAACCCGAAAATAAGCACCCTGTGCTGGAAAGAACAGAGTGCTCCCTTCAGTAATTTAAAAGCATCTTTTCCTGATTGTGGCTGCCCATACATGCTGGTAGTTCAGTTGGCAGGATCATTAAGTACTAAATGCTCCACAGGAGAGAACAAGCCCAAAGTGCTCCAGGAGTGCAAAAATGGGAATGCTCAGTGCAGACCTGAGAAGAGAGAGTCCAGAGGTGAGCCCAGAAGAGCCAACCACATTCTGGCAGGATGGGGAGCAGTCTGGCTAGCAGGGCCTCCCAGAAGTTAAGGGACACCAGGGCCACTTCCTTTTTTTTTAAGGGTCCTAGTATATTAAAAAATAAAAGCTGAAGAGGGTGTTAAGATTGTGGTATATTTTGGGTGTTTACAACAATTACAATTACAAATTGAATATATTTATATCCCACTGATATCTTTCCAGGGTTGTTCCACCTCATTGGAGATTACAACCAAAGTCCACATTTGAGGCTACCAGTGAATGGTAGGCCCCAGCTAAACACCTTCCTGGCCGCCACTGCCACACAGTTCACCACCAGTTTGGACCAAACAGTCCAACTGGCAAGGTACATGCTGTCCTTAGAGTTTCTTTCTTACCCTGTAACCTGGAAGGCCCATGTGCCAAGCAGGCCCTTAATAAGTACATGTTGAATAAATGAATAGACCAGTCTTGAAACATCAGCAAGACCATTCTCATCTTGTTCCGTTCCTAAAATGCTTCCCCTTCCCAGGTTGACTCCCCTCAACCACGTATCCTACTCACCCTTGAAGTTCTAGCCAAGCACCATGTTTTCTGTGAAGTCTGTCTGCTGCTGTTATTATACCTACTTTACTCTATATGCTCAAAAGTCCTCCTGTATTTACAGTTAGAACCATGTATAATAGTTTGGCACCCCCACTCCCACCCCAGCCTAGAAAACTCAAGTTCTTTACAGCCAAGGACTATGTCTTACTCTTCTTTTGGATCTATAGTGTAAGGCCTAAAGTTTTTTGTGCTGCCTTGACATCTTTGAGCTTCCTGGAGCCCCCAAAGACTAACTGTGAGTTCTGCTTTTGCCAGATAGGCCCTCCCCAGTGGAAAAGGCTCCTCATCTGGCTAGTTTCCCTATTAGCTAAATGAGCTGCACGCTACCTGGTCTTCAACCTAAGGGGTTCTACTTCCCTGCCAGCCTGTGAAATTATTCAAATAAGCCACTCATCCTCCAGTGGGAACCAGGGGTCACCCCAGCCTGTGTTGCTACAGAACTTGCCTCCCATAGGCCATGCTTGTCCACTCTACTCCTGAGTGC
Organism: Homo sapiens; assembly: GCF_000001405.40. NCBI lineage: Eukaryota > Metazoa > Chordata > Mammalia > Primates > Hominidae > Homo > Homo sapiens. The sequence continues at coordinate 156,604,831 of NC_000003.12, forward strand.
AACCCCAAGTGACGCTGCATGGTGTCCTGTGTCCTCCCCTAGGCTGTGAGCTTATGTGAGTCATAAACTGCCATCAATCTCATCTGTCCAGTGTTGGGTGCTGGATGTTCCACTATCTCATACTATTTAGGGTGGGGAATTCCTCTTTCAATAATGGAGTGAATAGAAGGTGATCAGAACAGTATCCCACACAGAGGTGTCACTCAATAAATTTGTGCTGATTGCATCATCTTCATTTGATGAAGTTCCTAGCCAAGTAGAAGACTGGAAATTAATTAAATATTTGCTGTAGATGACTATAGATTTTTCTACAAATAATCCATTTGAAACATATAGCAACAGCTTCTATTTGCATAATTATGCTTCAAGCAATCTTTTTCTTTACTGTTCACCATACTGTTAACCAATAAAAGCAAAACTGCCTAAGAGCAAATCTGTACTTAATTTCTGTACTACCGATCTGACATTTACATTGCAATTCTTAATAACTAATCGAGGTAAATTGTAACTGTGTCCAATCATGGAAATAAGATTCCAGTATCAGTCAACATTGGGTATAATCAAGAGACTAAAAACAACTGAAAGTGCATTAGAACTCAGACTTTCCCCCCACAATGACCTACTTAATGTATTTCATTGTCTCCCTTTATCTCACTTCTTTGTAAGCAAAATGGCAACACTTGGAGGCACTGAGAGACTTGTCCTAGAATCTGCAATTAGTTTTCTTATTAGTGTTTCAGGGAGAGTTTCATTCGCATTACTGTTATTTTATCACTTGGTTTCCAAGGTCCAAAAGGAAAAAAAAAAAAAAAAGGCCACGTATTTTCCCTTCTGGGGGCTCCTGCTTTTTATCTTAAAGCAGTGGGGGTGGGGGAACATGTACACCAGCAAGCAGTTCTCCTGTCCAGCTTCCAAGTCACACTCATTAGTAACGGGCCTCAGCCCCTCCCAGCACCCGGCCACTTCTCTCCTCTGCTGAGGGCTGGAGAGGGTGGGGACTGGGGCTCTGAGAGGGACCAGGGGATCAGGAAAGCTCAGATCCACGCCTTACCGCTCCTTGACCACACTGGAATGTGATGACTAGCTTTTTTCAGCCTGGGCTCTGCATGACAAAAGTTAGTGGAAAACGGTCATCAAACATTTCCAGCAAGCTTCAGACTTCTCCAAAGGACAGGGCCCTTCTCCAAAGACCGCCTGGCGCCTGGATTAGGCCGCTCCTAGCCTAGCCTCCCTGCTGCTCCTTTTCCCAGAGTGGTCGGTACACAGGACGTGCCGAACGTGCGATTATTAGAAGGCTATTACCAGAAGCAAGGGGATGTGCTCAGGGTGAGGCGCAGGCAAGGAAAAGACATTTCCAAACAACCCAAACAGCTTGCGACTGGGGACAAACCATTTCACCAGGGCGGTGGGGAGCCAGCCGGCCGGCCGGCCGGCCGACCCGGGGTGCGTGTGCCCAGAAGCTGTGCGGGCTCAGTGTGTAGACGCTCTGGCTGCGCAGCGCGCGTGCTCAAGTTCCAAAGCGCTGCACTCCACGGCGGCTGGAAAAGGTGGAAGAAGGACAAAATAAAACGAAATTTCCCCACACATCGCTAAAGGGAGGGGGCAGGCAGGGGGCCAAGCTCTGAAGAAAAGCTCTAAGAGATCTGTGGTGAACGGAGGAGAGACCCAGGGCAGAGGCTGGTGCTGTATTTGTGTCCAAAATTTGCCCGCTTTCCTGCTGTTTGCTGCTGGCTTGGTTGGCCAGAAAAAGTCCCCACAGTTTACCCCTAGATACGGAGGCCTTTCTCAGTACTCCACACACACACATTATCCGGATTTATTTAAATAAGAAAAAAAGTAGAGGGAAAAATATTTTTCATAAATATCTAGTACTAATAGTTTCATGTATAAACTGCCAGTAACTGCATATATACATACATGTATATGTTTTTAAACCAGAACATACCAGAGTTGTGTAATCTATTTTAAAAATAATTTTATTGTGGTAGAAAACTCAGAACTTAAAATTTACCATCTTAACCATTTTTCAGTGTATAGTTCAGGAGTGCTAAGCATATTTACATTGTTGTGCAACAGATCTCTAGGACTTCTCCATCTTGTAAAAGTGAAACCCCGTTCAACGCTAATTCGCTCTCCCCTCTGCCTTAGTAACTGCCTTTCAACTTTCTGTTTAATTTTGACTATTTTAGACTCTATATCTGAGTGGAATCATGCAGTATTTGTACTTTTGTGAATGTTTAGCATAATGTCCTCAAGTTTCATCCGTGTTGTAGCATGTGACAGAATTTCCTTCTCTCTTAAGGCAGCGTAATATTCCATTAGATGTATATACTTTTATACATTTTCTTCATCCATTCATCTGTTGGTAGACATTTGGGTTGCTTTCACCACTTGGCTATTTTGAATAATGCTGTGATAAACCTAGGTGTGCAAATATCTCCTCAAAATCCTGCTTTGAATTCTTTTGGATATATACCCAGAAGTGAGTATATATGCTGGATCATATGGCAATTCTATTTTTAATTTTTTGAGGAACTTCCATACCGTTTTTATAGTGGTTGAACCATTTTACATTCCCACCAACAGTGTGCAAGGATTCCAATTTCTCTGTATTCTTGCCAACATTTGTTATTTTCTGTTTTTCGGATATTGGCCATCCAAATAGGTATGAGGTGGTATGTAATTATGGTTTTGATTTATCTTTCTCTTATGATTAGTGATGTTGTGCATTCTCTTCATATGTTTGTTAGCCACTCGTACATCGTCTTTGGAGAATTATCTATTCAAGTCTTTTGCTTATTTTAAAAATCAGTTTATTTGTGGTTTTGTTATTGAGTTATAGTAGTTCCTTATATATTCTGGATATTAACTTCTTATTAGGTATATAATTTGCAAATATCTTCTCCCATTCCACAGGTTGCCTTTTCACTCTGTTGATTGTTTCCTTTGATGTGCAGAAGTTTTCAGGTTTGATATAGTCCCACTTGTCTACTTTTGCTTTTGTTGCCTGTGCTTGAGGTGTCATAGCCATGAAATCATTGCCAAATTCAGTGTTCTGAAGCATTTCCCTTATGTTTTCTTCTAGGAGTTTCATAGTTATAGGTGTTAAATTTTGTTCTTTAATCTATTTTGAGTTAATTTTTGTATATGGTAGAACGTAAGAATCTAACTTTATTCCTTTGCATGTGGATATACAGTTTTCCCAGCACCACTTTTTGAAGAGACTGTCTTTCCCCAGTTGTATCACACTTATCTTTTCATGTTAAGAAATATATTCAACTTCATAATTTTTAAGGCTGCATAGTATTTCATACAAGCAGATACATCATGATTTACCCAACCAGTCTTCTATTATTGAATAGCATAGATATGTTCAATTGTTTCTGGATCATAAAATAAAATTTCCTTCTCTATGTATTTGGCTTCTAGAGTTGTCACTTTAGCCAGGCTTTTTGAAGTTTCCATATTCTTTCCAGCACTGCTGCTCACGAACTGCCACCTCCACGCCCTTACAAATGCTACTTTTTTACTGCTAAGAATTTTATCATACTCCATACAAACATTATGCAGAAATTCAGTATTCTTTTCATTGTGGTAAGAAAGTGCAGCTGGGAGTCAGGAAATGTGGGTCCTAAACTGAGCTCTAGCGTTGTGGTAAGAAAAGCACAGTGTAACAGGTATGGGCTGAATTGTGTCACAACAAAGTTCATAAATTGAATCCCTAACTCCCAGTGCCTCACAATGTGACAGTATTTGGAGATAAAGCCTTTAAAAAGTGATTGAGTTAAAATGAAGCCATTGGGGTGGGGCCAAATTCAATCTTACTGGTGTCCTTATAAGAAGAGGAAATTTTGACACACAGAAAAAGTCCGGGGACTTGTGCACACAGAGGAGAGACCATGTGAAAACATAGCCAGAAGTTTGCTATCTGCAAGCTAAGGCAAGAGGACTCAAAAGAAACCAAACCTGCTGCACCTTGATCTTGGACTTCGAGTCTCCGGAACTGTCAGAAAATACAGTTTTGCTGTCTAAGCCACCCAGTTTGTGGTGCTTTGTAAAAGCAGCCCTGGCAAATGAATACAGCAATGCTTGAGTAAATTACTTGAATCTGTGGGCTTCAGATTCTTTCAAACAAACTACAGGATGAGATTATGAGATCTGGACTATTCTTAAAGATGTGATTTATTTTAATGGGGTTGCACTAAAGAGAACACTAGCACACATAACCGAAAGTATAGAGAAAGGACAGACTTCAGGGTTGATTCTGTGGATTAATCTTTCAAAGGCCCGGGTGTTTGTTTGTTTGTTTGTTTGCCTCTTTGCTCTGCACACCACAGTGTGGACTTTTTCCTAAGTCTAGGTATCTTTACGACGTGGAGATAGATGACTGCCAGCAGCAATAAGGGCAAAATCCTTTCTTATTTACATCTAAAAGAGGCCAGCACACTTCTACTCATATTTCATGAGTCTGAATGGCTTAAACATGTCCATTTCCAACTCACTCACTCATTTAGAATTAAAGGTACTGTGAAAGGCTTGGAGCAATAATCTGGCTGGAAAGGACATAGAGAGGCAATAGTCACGTCCACTAACGCTAGGAACAAATCATTTAATTTCTGGTTAGCTGTGATTTCTATGTAATCATCATGCATACTCATGAAAGTGAGATCATAATCTACAAATATATTTCAAATATAACATTTTAAGAATACGAACCTTAACAGTTAATATATTGAGTATATTTTGTAGAGATATTTAACTAAATATTTAATGATTTTTGATATCATTGTTTCCTTTGTGCAGTTAGAAACCAATATATTATTTTCAGGTCTTAAGTATTCAGGCCCTGAAAAGCTCTTAGACTTTAGGCATTGTGTGCAATGAATGAAAAAGCCCTAGAGGCAAGACTGAAATGTGATGGTAATTAAGAAAATCCAAAATGTGATAAACTATTTTGTTCTTTGCTAGAAGAAAAACTATGTTAATGGGAGAAACAAAGTCCCTCTGGAAGCTGAGAAAGGGGAAACAAAACTTGTAACAATTTTCAATGTGTATCCAGCACCATCCACTGAAATAAATTTTGACTAAAAAAATCCAAGAAGTTGTGGGCAGGCACTACTAGAAACCCCTTTTCCGTACTGATATATCCTTGCAGCTATGTGTCCAGCAAAACAAAAACAAAAGCCAACAAAAAAGCAACAAATAACAATAGCAACAATACAACAGGAAAAACAGAAAGAACTGTATTTTTCACTTTTGCAAACCCGGGTATCATTTGACATAATACTAGCCAATGAAATACAAGTGAAAGTCTGCTGAAGATTTCTGGAAATCTTTGCTTTACTATAGATGTCTCCTTTCCTCCTTTTTACTTTCTTTTTCTTCCTCTACCTAAAATGCAGACATATGGCTGGATGTGGAGTAGCCATTCTTTGACTAGAAAGTGACCAGGAAGAGAAAAGCCCCACCCCAAGGATGGTGAAACAGGAAAGGCAGAAAGAGTCTGGAGGTTGATGATGTCGGGAAACTGCCACTCCAGTCCAGGAGTGCCCACCTCTAGAAACATGAGAAAGAGAAATACCTATTTGGTTGAGGTACCTAATGTGGTTTCTGTTGCATGCTGATCTGATTAACGTAACCACATGGAAAAAGTTAAAAAAAAAAGGTAAAATTAATTTAAATAATACATTTTATTTATCCTATATATACATGTCATTTTTACATGTAGTCAATATAAAAATTATTAAGAATGTATTTTACAATTTTTCACTGGAAGTTTTCAAAATATGGTATGTCTTATAGCACCTCTCAATTAGGACCAGCCACATTTCAAGTGTTCAATAGCCCATGAATTTGTCTAGTGAGTACCATATTAGACAGTGCAATTTTATAGCCTTAAGTATCATATTTAAAAGTTTTGAAATTTAACTACAGAATATAAACAGAATCATAATTTAACTTCTAAGAAAAATGAATATATTCAAAACATTAATGGCATTGTGTTTATTTCAAATTGTTATGGCTTATAGTTTTTGAAGATGAAAACCAAAAATGTAGTTAATTTTCAAGATGTTAACCCAAAGTCAGGGATATCTGCTGAGTCCTCTTAACCTTAGGTTGCTTCTTTCATAATAACATTTTGGGGTTATTGTAAAGAAGAAATAGAAGCCAACAAGAAATAAAACTAAATCAGTTACCACAAATAACTATAATCAGCATGTTAAGAAACTGTCTTCTTGATTTTTTTTTTTTTTTTTTTTTAGACAGAGTCTCGCTCTGTTCCCCAGGCTGGAGTACAGTGGCATGATCTCGGCTCACTGCAACCTCCGCCTCTCAGGTTCAAGCAATTCTCCTGCCTCAGCCTCCCGAGTAGTTGGGATTACAGGCATGCACTGCCACGCTAGGCTAATTTTGTATTTTTAGTAGAGACGGGGTTTCTCCATGTTGGTCAGGGTGGTCTCAAACTCCCAACCTCAGGCGATCTGTCTGCCTTGGCCTCCCAAAGTGCTAGGATTACAGGCGTGAGCCACCGCACCTGGCCCTTGAATTTTTTATGTATCAATACTTTTTTCCCACCCGAGATGGAGTCTCGCTGTGTCACCCAGGCTGGAGTGCAGTGGCAGGATCTCCGCTCAATGCAACTTTTGCCACCTGGGTTCAAGCAATTCTTCCTGCCTCAGCCTCCCACATAGCTGGGATTACAGGGGCCCACCACCATGCCCGGCTAATTTTTGTATTTTTAGTAGAGATGGGGTTTCACCATGTTGGCCAGGCTGGTCTTGAACTCCTCATTTCAGGTGATCCACCTGCCTCGGCCTCCCAAAGTGTTGGGATTACAGGCATGAGCCACCATGCCCGGCCTATCAATACTTTTAAGACAGTTGAGGTTACACATTTTATACTAATTTTTATTTTTAGCATTATTTCATAAGCATTTTTTATATTAAAATTTTTTCAAAAACATTCTCAATGATTACCTTATACTATGTCTTCATATGAATAAACTATAATTTGTCTATTACTTTAATGCAGATACTTAGGTTGTTCCAAACTTTGTATTACTGTAAATAATTTGTTCCACTATCTTCATACATAAAACTATTCTCACAACTTGCTTTATCTTCTTAGGATAGATTCCCAGAGGTGAAATTACTGAGACAAAATGCGTGAACACTTCTTAATCTTCTGATATAGACTTGCCAGACTGCTTCCCAGGAAGATTTGAACCAATTTACCCTCACAACAAAATTGTGTGAGCCTTTATATCCTTACATACTGTTACAAGCATTCTGTATTAATCCTTCCTTCCTTCCTTCCTTCCTTCCTTCCTTCCTTCCTTCCTTCCTTCCTTCCTTCTTTCCTGCCTCTCTCTCTCTTTCTTTCTTTCTTTTTTTTGAGACAGGATCTTGCTTTGTCACCCAGGCCGGAGTACAGTGGCATGGATCAAAGCTCATTGCAAACTCCACCTCCCTGGGCTCAAGTGATCCTCTCACCTCAGCCTCTTAAGTATCTGGGACTACAGGTGCTGTGCCACTATGACCAGAAAATGTTTTTATTTTTTGTAGGGCAGTGGTCTCACTGTGTTGCCCAGGTTGGTCTGAAACTCCTGGGCTCAAGCAATCCTCTTGCCTTCCAAATGCTGGGATTACAGGTGTGAGCCACTGTGCCTGGCCCTGTATTAACCTTTTAGAAAAGGTAATGGGGGAAGAGAAGAGAAGGGCTAATTTATGAGGAAACTATGTCTCAGTGTGCTTTAATTTTGATTAGTTGATTACTAGTTAGAATAAACATTGTTTGCTTTTGTTACGTAACAACTGCTGTTTGTCTTATAATTTTTTATGCAGTTTATGTATTAACAATATGAATACTTCATCATGCTTGTTTTAAACACTTTTCCAGTTTGCTTACCTTTACATTTTATTTTTTAAAGTCAAGTTTATTGTGGTATACTTTACACACAGGGAAATTCATCCTTTTTAGTATAAAGTTCTACGCATTTTCAAAAAATGTATAAAGTTTGGCAATTAGCATCACAATCAAAATATCGAATACTCCATTACTTCCAAAAATTTTCCCCATGACCTTTTATAGTCAACCCTCCTCCCACCTCCAGCCCCTGGCAACAACCCATCTCTTTTCTGTCCCTATAGTTTTGCCTTTTCCAGGATGTCATATAAATTGAATCATATATAGAATATAGCTTTTTGAGTCTGGCTTCTTTCAATTAGCATAAAGCATTTGAAAAAAATCCATGTTATTTGTATATGTCAGCACTTTGTTCTTTTTTATTGCTGAGTAATATTCTATTGTATGGAATCCCACATTTTGTTTATGCATATACCAATTGAAGGACATTTGGGTTATTTCTAGTTTTTGTCAATAATGAATAAAGCCACTATAAACATTCACATACAAGTACTGGAACACAAACTTATTTCTCTTGGTAAAAATCTAGTGGGATTACTAGATTGCATGGCAAGTGTATATTTAACTTCACATAAAACTGTCAAACTATTAAAAAAAAAAAAGAAACTGGTCAAACTATTTTCCAAAATGGCGCTACCATTTTGTATTCCCACCGGGATTGTATGAAAGGTTCAGTTGTTCTATGTCTTTGCTGTCTCTTGGTATTGCTGGTGTCATTTTTCATTTTGGGTTTTTTAATTGTCATTTATTTGGATTTTTTAGCTATTCTAATAGATATATGGTGGTATTTCATTATAACTTTAATTTGCATTTCCCTGAGAATGCAAAAACAAGCAAATAATATCTAATGAAATAAATATCCTAGAGAAATTAACAGTGTTTGTGAATTTAAATTTGTTGATCTTTTAATATATTTTTCCACTTGTTTTAGATTAGAAAGTTCTTTCTCAATGAGAAAGCAGGAGAAAATTTGGCTATAATTTTAGGGTTTTCAAAAATTATTTGCTCTGAATTATCCACATTTTAATCTATCTGGGTACACATTTATTTAATTAGCTACTTGTATGATGATGGTATCTATATTCATGTTTTTCCCAAAAAAAGGCTGATCAGGTTTTTCTATAACTTTTATTGACCAATCTATTCATCTAATTTACTTGTGAAGTCTCACTTATTAAAAAATAGGAGCTGTTTCTAGGCAATCAAGTCAGTTACAGGTATCTATCTGTCCCTGCATTCAACAATTACGTATTAAGCACTTACTATGTGCCAGGCACAATTCCAGTTTCTGGGACTATAACAGCTAAAGAAGTAAAGCACCTGATTACCTGGAGCTTATATTCTAGTCAGGACAGACAGATAATAATTAAAGAAATTAGTAATTGTGTAATAGTTTGTGTGGTGATAAATGCTAAGAAGGAAAGTAAAGAAACTAAGAAGGTAAGAGGCACTGACAAGCAAGCACCCTTTTGGGCAGGTTGGTCAGACTGACCTCTCTGAGAGAGATTTGAGTAGAAACCTGAATGTATTAAAGTAGTAAGACATGGAGCTATCTGGAGAAGAAGCATTCTGAGCAAAGCCACCCCAAAATGTAAAGACTTCATAATAGGAAGGAGGCTGGCATGCAGGGGAAACAGCAAGGAGGCCATTGTGCATGAAGCTAAGCCATGGAGGTGGTGAATAGAGATGAGGTGAGAAGTGAACTCTGAGGGCTCAGATCACATACAGCTTTGCAGACAATGTTTATACTAAATCAGACATAAAACTACTAGAGTACTGAGCATAAGGTGATGTGATCTGACTTACATTTTTAGATCACCCTGGCTACTGTGTGGATAATTGTTTAATACATTTAATTTAAATAAGAATGAGTCTATTGAAAGAAAAATAATAAGTCAATGATAGTGCAAACAGTACTTGGATACAGTAAAGCTGATGAAGGTAGTATGTTAATGCCCAAAGTGTGGGAAACAGTGGTTTAACTGGTTACTGCTACTATCCAGGCAACTGCAAATTCCTGCCAGATTCTCTTATGACCAGTCATTTTCCTTAACCTTCTTGAAAATTCTAAGAGTTCTCCTACTGATTCCTCAATAGGGATTTCTCACCTTTCTGGTATTCAAGTCTGGTTCCAGGGCTTCACACTTTACAAAATTATTGCACATTTATTATTTCAGCAGAGCTTAAGGGAACTCACCTCAGAAAGGTCTGAAATCTTGAAGTGAATCAAAGCTCTCCCAGCCTCCATCAGTGATCCAGCTGTGTGCTCTCAGGGCACCAGAGAGAGAAGGCTGCATAATCACAGATAAACTGCCTTGAAGGCACATTCAGGCACAACTTCCTCAATTAACAGCACCTGTAGTTTGGGACTGGCATTATCAACAAGCAGTTCAGAGAGTTGTGGTGTGATTCCACATGTGCCGAGGAGTACCATGCTTGGACTGACTACATAAAGATTTAAGTGAAAGAAAATATAAAGTGAAAGAAAAATAAAGTTCCATCTTGTTGAAGTTACAGTTTTTCAGGTCTCTATTACTCACATCTAGACTTAATCCTGACACATATCTTATTTGTTTCACCCTCCTCAATATCAGAACCCTTTATTATGAGCTAGAAGATCTAGCATGCCACATATAATTAGGTACATAGACAGAGTCCTTATAAAATCCATAGTTTTCATTGTTGCCACATTAGGGTAATAGGTCCATGGGCATTTAAATTTTTCTTTTATGACATGTGTCAGATAAATTAGGACTAAATAATAAGGTCAAATTGATTATTTAAAGAATATCCAAAATGTCTCCTTTTAAAATGAAAATAAAATAACATGAATAAGTGATGCCTGCCCCATGCCAGGATCTGTGTGAGATGTGGGCCCCTCTGTGGTGCATGAAGCAAGCCCTGGGCCCTCAGCCAAGGTAACTGGAGTCTTGGGACTAGCTGATTGTACCTCACCTATGAGCCCTTCTAGCCTCAGCCTCCTCCCCATCACATCACACTGTCAGGCTGTCTTTCCTCATCTATTGTTCCTAAAGAACCATGGCAGAACTACAACAAGAGGTTGGAGATTTTTCTTTCATTTAGCACTTAAAATATTTGAAATTGTATGGGATGACTCAGTTCCAGGAAACTTCAAGTATCCTGTGACACTTGTTCAGTGAAGTGTTGAAAAAAGGCCTGCTCTAGGGTCTTATGGAAAGATGTGAGTAAGCCAACTTGTAGGAGGTAAGAACAAAATGTAACTTCAAGAGTGTCTCTTTCATTCCCTTGTGGTTTGCAACATCGTCTTCTCTGCCCTACTCCTACAATGTTCTCTTGAGCCAAGCCTCTGTGTGTTGGCATCAGAAAAGCTCTGCATCCCTGCCACTGGCTTCCCCATAGCAACTGGCTAGCACCCTCCTCCAAATTCTATTTATGAAAGTGTGTGTGTCTGTGTGTACTTTAATTATAAACTCCTTTGAAGGGAATACTTATCAAATAATTTTAAAAGCCTTGATATTAAACACTATTTTCTTTAGTTCTTTTATCTATTCTTTAAGGTTGGCACTGCGAGGCCCATTTTATATATGGGAAAACTAAAACTCAGTGGTTAAGAAACTTTCCCAGGGTCCCAAAGCAAGGATGTATTGAAGCTAGGCATTAATCCCAAATTCATATGATTTTCTCTATTACCTCCCTCAGCCATGCCAGAAAGAAACTGGGGTATAAATGTCACTTGCTGCCAGCAAAATGGAAAGATCACAGGCTTTGGAATCCAACATACCTGGGTTATTTCCTAGCTACGTGACCTTGGATAATAGACTTAAACTCAGTTATCTCATCTATAAAATGGGAATAGTGCCTACTTGATTCGATTGTCAAGAGAACGTAAAAAAGAATTTGACACAGGCTAGATGCTGCAGTAGCAATGACGGCTGTTTAAAATTAAATTTTAATCTTCAAGATAATGGCTGAGAATCTAGCACATGCCAGGCCTAGGCGTTCCACTTGATTTTATTTTTTTTATTTATTTATTTTTAGAGACAGGGTCTTACTCTGTCACCTAGGCTGGAGTGTAGTGATGTGATCATAGCTCATTGCAGCCTCAACCTCCTAGGTTCAAGCAGTCTTCCCACTTCAGCTTCCCAAGTAGTTGGGACCACAGACGTATGCCACCATGCTGGGCTAATTTTTCAATTTTTTGTAGAGACTGGGTCTCTCTAGACAGCCCAGGTTGTCTTGAACTTCTGTACTCAAGTGATCCTCCCACCTTAGCCTCCAAAACTGCTGGGGTTACAGACGTGAGCCACTGCACCCAGCTTTGATTATTATACTTTTAAAATACCATTAAGGAAATATAAATTCATTCCTTCTACAAATATTTATTGAACACCTACTCTAGCCCAGGACTATTTGAGGGACTAGGAATCCTGGAACTTATATTCTAGCAAGGTACTGGTAGGGGAAACAGTAAAGATAACAAATAAGTTAATTATATAGTATGATCAAAGATGCTAAGTGCCATGGGGGGAAAAGAAAGAAAAGGCATGAAGGAACAAGTTGCAGAATTATACAGAGAGGTCATAGCAGACCTCACTGACAAGGAAACATTAGAACAAAGCTTTGAAGGAGGGAATGAGTCAGCCAAGCAGACATTTGAAAGAAGAAAGTAGGTACATTTACTATGGAAGCTAGTGAAATTTTACATTTCAAGGTCTCTAACTTGCAGGGGCCCCTTCAAGTCCTGGAATCTAATTTTGTATTTGTGGTTCCTTAATGAGGATCCACAAAATTGCATATGTTTCAAGATTTTTCCCCACAGGAACATATTTTTTGGCAGAAGAACCAGTTAGAGCAAAGGCTCTGTGGTAAATGTGCCTGATCTGCTCAAGAAATAGCAAGGAAACCCCATGGCAGGAACAGAATGAACAAGAGAGATGAGAGGATCATGGAAGGGCTTGGAGGCCACTTTACGAATTTTGATTTTTATGAGGGGTCATAAGAGCTTGAGGCAGAGTTGCGATATGATCTGACTTACATTTCAAAACATTGCATATTGGGATCAGACTTAAGAGAAGCCAGGGCAGAGCACAGGAATTGTTGGGGGCCATGGCAGTAATCCAGGAGGGAGAGATGATGGTGGCTTGGACCAGTATGGAGGCAATGACAGTGGTGAGAAGTAGCTGGATTCTGGATATTTTGAAGGTCAAGTCAACAGGACTTGACTGATGGATCAGATGTGGGTTGTGAAGACAGATGAGTATTAAAAGTGATGAGACAGCATGAGGTCACCAACAAAGTGAGCCTAAAGGAGAAAAGAGGACCAAGTTCTAAGGCAGGAGGCATGCAAACCTTTCAAGAAAAGAGTTTGGAGACATTATCCTTATATGTGATTGAAGTCACTATTTCAGGTAAAGGTATATTGAGATTTAATTCATTCAGTATTATAACTTTACTATACAGATTGTTTAATTAAATTAAGCTAAACTGTAGTGTGTATGAGGCTCAATATTCCCTCTCCCACTCTGTGAAATTTAACTGAGAAAATGTATTACATTAGGTCAAGGAATTCGAGTCTACAGACAAGGGTTCTAGTACCAGTTATACTGATGATAGGACTGCACGCCAGTCATTCAAACCGTCTGTTCTCAATTGCCTCATCAGTGAGATGTGAATTGGAACAAATGTTCCTTCTTTTACTGCATTGATGTTCTTCATCTTGAGATGAGTCTGTACCCGATCATTTTGTTTTGTTTTGTTTTGTTCTTGCTATGGTGTAAGGAAGATAATTTTGAGCAAAGGCAACTTGAGTGCTTTATTTCTCTCCTTCACACCCATGTTGGTCTGTAAGGGAAGGTCACACACTGAACCGAATGCTTCAAGCAAAACTGAGTCAAAATATAATCCCCTGTCTCTTTGCAGGATTCCTCCGACAATATACAGTGAAGCTCCTGAAGTTCAATGCAATAAGAAGTGCTTCATTGGCGTGGCAAAGTGGGAACCTCCTGCAGGTATTTCATCAGATTTTTGCCATTAAAGAGAGTACAAGGCTGAAACCAGAGGCAGCAGCTCTTAACTGTGTTGGATCATGAACCCCCTTGAGAGTCTGATGCAACTACTCCTCTATCAGGTCAACAGGGAAAATCATCATGACCACCAAATCTTAGAAATGGAACGAACCCTCATTCTTTTTTTTCTTTTTTTTTTGAAACAGAGTCTCGCTCTGTAGCCCAGGCTGGAGTGCAGTGGCTCAATCTTGGCTCACTGCAAGCTCCGCCTCATTCTCTTGCCTCAGCCTCCCGAGTAGCTGGGACTACAGGCGCCTGTCACCAAGCCTGGCTAATTTTTTGTATTTTTAGTAGAGACGAGGTTTCATCGTGTTAGCCAGGATGGTCTTGATCTCCTGACCTCGTGATCCGCCCACCTCGGCCTCCCAAAGTTCTGGGATTACAGGCGTGAGCCACCGTGCCTGGCCAGAACCCTCATTCTTTAATAAATAAGGAGGCTGAAAATAGAGGTTAAGAGACTTGCCCTAGCGCTTGCTGTTAGTAAGTAATGACTGCAAGCCTAAAATCTAGGTCTTGACTCTCAATGTTCTTTCTTTTATATGACATTGCTTGGTAAATTTCATATTTCCCGTATTTTTGCTACAAAACTAGTTTCCTTTTTTGGTCAGTGGGTGAGGGGCTATGTTTTGTTCTTAACAGCATTATTGAGATGTAACTCACATACCATAAAATTAGACCATTTAAAATGTAGCATTCAATGGTTTTTAGTGTTTTCAAGTTGTGCAAACATTGCCACTATCTAATTTTAGAAACTTTTTTCTCCTACACAAGGAAATGCCATACGTATTAGCAGTCATTTCCATTCTTTCTACCCCCGGCCCTAATCTACTTTCTGTCTCTGTGGCATTTTTTATTCTGGGGATTTCATATAAATTGAATCATATAATATGTGGTCTTTTGTGATTGGCTTATTTCACTTAGCATAATGTTTTCAAGGTTCATCCACATTGTAGCATGCATCAAACCTCCTTTTCATTGCCAAATAATATTCCATTACATAGAGTGTTTTGATAACCTTTTGGTAAACAAATGACAGACCTTTGGGTTTTGTCCACTTTTTGACTATTATGAATAATGAAGCTATAAACACTTGTATACAAGTTCTTGTGTGAACATGTTTTCATTTCTTTTTGTATATGTCTAGGAGAATTGTTGGGTCATGTAATAACTTATGTTTAACATTTTGAGGAATTGGCAAACTGTTTTCCGAAGGGGCCACATCATTTTACATTCCTACCAGCAATGTATACAGGTTCCAATTTCTCCCCATCCTTGCCAACAGCTGTTATTTTTAAATTATTTATCATCATCATTATTTTTATTATTATAGCTGTCCTAGTAAGTGTGAAGGGGTGATACATGTGGTTAGTGGCTACCATATTAGACAAAGCAGAGTCGGGGCTAAAATGAAATTAAAAATCCACATCATACATTCTACACTAATTTTTTTCAAGCCAACACTTACTGAACTTTTACTATGTGGCAGTTACTATACTAAGCATTATCTTGGATTATCTCATTTCATTCTCACAATATATGATGGAATAAGTACTGTTACTGGCTATAAGGGAAATGGCTGCACTTTAGTCAGGAGTAGGCTGAGGTGGCCTTCAGTCGCACCATGACTCAGCAGGTTTGGAGCACCAGCACACAACCCTGCAAGTTATGTCATGTGAGGCACATTAGGTGATCACCCATGTGAGCTTGTGCTTGGCTCAGAGCCATATTGTCTGTAAAAGGTATAATTACTCTGCTGATGCTGTACCTATGGCTTGCTTGTGCCCAGAGAGAGAGTAAAGCCACGTCAAAACTATCTATGATTCCTTGAGTGTTTTTCCAGCTACCCACCACTCACCCACTGACTCCCCTCAGACATCAGTTAGAACCTAACAATTGGCATCATGAACAGGATCCTGAGGTGAGTGAGCCTTCGGTCCCCACCGATTCTGGGTCAGCCATCTGGCCACAACATGGGTTATGGTACCCGGTGGCAGCTGTGCTGCTCAGATAGGCTCTGGTGGAAACCTGAATGGTAGTAGATGGGTCCTCTGTGAGCATGAAAAAAGCACTGAAGTAGCTGGAAGTGCAGAGCACCGAGAAGGAGCGAGCTTTTGCCGGCAGAGTTGGATGGGCATTTTTGACTGTGCTATGAGAAGTACACACACAGTTCCTAAGTGATGCAGCACAGCATTTGCAAGTGAGCAGGTGTCTGGCACAGGGCAAGGTGATCACACCCTGATTGAGTGGCTATGGGCAGCCATACAGACTGTGTGGAACAACACCAGTGAAATACCGAAAACAGTGAGTAATGGGAGTTGTATGCTGAGTTGGTGCAAGTCATCTGGGAGATGGGTATGTGGCAGGCTATGTTTGACCTGAATACCCAGAGGCCAGATGATGAACGTTTCACCTCCCACATGAGGGATCTTGTGTTGGGTTCTGTGCTCCGGAGTGCCTCTGCCTCCCTAGCTGCTGTCCTCACCCTGTACATAGGGCACCACATACATGAAGTGACCATTGCTGTGACAGCTCTTGGGGAAGCAGAAGGCTGTCAGCAGGACTGAGGGGTCTATGCCATAAAGAAGGGGAAGATGCTCTGCCCACAGGGGCCCCCCCATGGGAGAAAAGAGGGCCCCAACAAGTAACATGCTCACGGATGTGGATAGATTTGATTTTGACCGGGGTTGACCGAGAGAAAATCAATAAGCAGCCCAATGAAGTACTCTTAACTTTGTGGAGATAATTGTCTCTGGAGCAGCAATTCCAGAAAATGCCCAACGGGGAGAAGGACATTGCTGCGTGACCCAGTCCCACCCGGGCACTTCAGCTCAAAGACTACTTGCTGCAGCCAGGTGGAAATGTAGAGCCTTTTCTGTTTGATTAGGAAACTGGCTGAGGTGCCCATCTTGGGGGGACACCAGACAACCAGCGACCACGTGTGGAATTAGTGATCCACTGGTCTTCCACTAGTGTACAATGGGTGCTGGTGCTGGTGGATACTGGCACAGATTGTGTCCTTGCTTATGGGAACCCAAATAAATTTCAGGGCTAACCTGCTTACATTGATGGATATGGAGGCTGGTCAGTGGAAGTGAAACCTGTATCTCTGCACCTTGGCATCTGCTGTTTGGCTCCCCATTTATATTCTGTGTATTTCTCTCCCATACCAGAATACATTCTGGGGATGGACATTTTACATGGCCTGGCATTACAAACCACACCCAGGGAATTCAGACTCTGAGTGTGTGTGGTGAAGCCGATGCTGCGTGGACATACATGTCACCAGCCTCAGGTCCTGCCACAACCCTGACAGGTTACTTCCACCCATCAATACTGTTTGCCAGGTGGGCATACAGAGATAACTGAGACAATTAAAAACCTGGAGGAGGTGCAGATAGTGTGTGGCACCCACAGCCCCTACAATTCTCCAGTGTGGCCAGTTAGAAAGCCTAATGGAACTTGTTGGATGATGGTGGACTATTGGGAACTGAATAAAGTAACACCCCCTTTGCATGCAGCTGTACTGTCAATCATGGATTTGATGGACTGTTTGATGACAGAACTGGGACAGTATCACTATGAAGTGGACTTGGCCAATGCATTTTTCTCCATTGACATTGCTCCAGAGACCCAGGAACAGTTTGCCTTCATGTGGGATAGGCAACAATGGACTTTCACAGTGTTGCTGCAGGGCTATGTGCATAGCCCCACCATATGTCCTGGTCTAGTTGCAACAGATTTAGCTGCCTGGCAATGTCCAGAAGGGGTCCACCTATTCCATTATATTGATGATATCATGTTAACCTCTGATTCTCTTGCAGATTTAGAAGTGGTGGCACCCCTCTTGCAGCAACATGTAGCAGCATACGGTTGGGCCATCAATGAATCCAAGGTCCAAGGGCCTGGATTAGCTGCCAAATTCTTGGGAGTTATCTGGTCAGGTAAGACAAAGGCCATCCCAGAGGCTATGATTGATAAGATTCAGGCATATCCCTGGCCCACCACAGTGAAGAAGCTGCAGATTTTTGTGGGGCTCCTGGGATATCAGCGGGCATTTGTGTCCTTTTTAGCTCAAATGATAAAATTGTTGCATTGGTTAACAAAGAAGGGAGCTCCCTGGGATTGGGATGATGCGGCTGAGACCGCCTTCCTGGCAGCCAAGCTGGCTATTCAGCAGGCACAAGCCCTATGGGTAGTTGACTTGGGGCACCCATTTGAGCTGGATGTGCATGTGACCACAGATGGTTTCGGCTGGGGGGCCTGTGGCAGTGCATAGAGTGCTTGCAAGTGCCAGTAGGCTTTTGGTCCCAACTATGGAAGGGAGATGAGCTCCAGTATTCCCTGATAGAGAAACGCTAGCAGCTATATATGCTGCCCTTCAAGCTGTGAGAGTGTGACAGGATGGGCTGCAGTCGTCGTGTGGATAACTTACCCAATAGTGAGATGGGTGCATTCATGGGTAACGACCCCCCAGACTGGGACGGTGCAGACATCCACTTTGGCAAAGTGGGGTGCCTACGTGGAGCAGCAGGGTACACTGAGTACAAACCCCTTAGCAGCAGAGTTGCAAGAGGTCTTGGGACCTGTAGTCCTAATGCAAGATAAGGCCATGGGGCCTGAGGCAGCCCTAGACCCTGAGCCTTCACCATTTAAGGAAGGGCATCCCTCAATTCCTGATGGGGCATGGTAAACAGATGGGTCTAACTGAGGTGCTACTGCAGCCTGGACTGCCGTTGCAGTCCAACCTTGTACTGACACCATATGGTTGAAACCGGGTGTGAACAAAATAGCCAATGGGCTGAACTTAGAGCAGCATGGATGGTGATCACAAAGGAGGTGACACCTATGGTAATCTGTACCAATAGCTGGGTGGTCTCTCGAGGCTTAACCTTGTGGTAACTACCTGGCAAATACAGAAGTGGCTAGTTGGCCACTCACCCATTTGGGGCCAAGCCACGTGGCAAGACCTCTGGGAAATGGATCATCAGAAAGAGGTAATTATTTATCACGTGTCAGGCCATATGCCTTTGGCCACCCCTGGCAAGGATGAAGCAGATGCCTTGGCCAAGGTCTGATGGTTAGATTCAGCACCTCCACAAGATGTGGCTTTGTGGCTACACTGGAAACTGGGACGTGTGGGGGGTAAACTGATGCAACATGTCAATAAGTGTTGGGGTCTGTATCTGCCCGTACAAGATATTTGTGAGGCTTGTCAGAAATGTCGGGCATGTACTCAGGCATACCTTAAACAGAGGCAGCTGCCCAGTGTTACATAAGTGACGATAGGGCGAGTGCCCTTGACCAGGTGGCAAGTAGACTACAAGGGTATATGCATACACTACAGCTGTGGACACGGCTGCAAGCCTGTTGTTCACCTACCCTTGCAGGATGGCCAACCAACAGAACACCATCTGGCCTCTGCAACACTTAGGTGCCCTGTATCGTCACCCTCTGGCCATTGAGATTGATAGGGGAGCACATTTCACTGGAAAACAGGTATAAGAATGGGCACAAGAAATGGACATAAAGTGGGGATTCCATGTGTCATACAACCTGCAAGCTGCAGATATGATTGAGCGATGTAACAGGCTCTTGAAGAATGGGTTACGCTTGCCTGTCACACCCTCGTCTTTGCGGGGCTGGAGTTCCAGGCTGGACCTGATGCACCAAACCTTGAATGAATAGCCACAGAAAGGTGGCCTGGCCCCAGTGGAGGCTTTGTTACACCAGGCCACCACCCTCATTCAGTTACAGATACATACCAAGGATGACCTCCCCTGACCAGGTATGGGGATGAACGGTAACCTGCCGTGATGAATGTTGCTTGCCCCAACACCCCTGAAGGCGAGGGAACAGAAAACCTGGCTGTGGCCATGGACCCTCCAAGCCCCCACTGTGGTGGTTGCCATTGTAGCTCCCTTGGGGGAGGGCCTACAGTATGACTTGCTTGTCATTCCTTGGGTGTTCAATGCATAGTCCCCACGGTTGACTGTTCATAGGGGAATGGCCAGGGAAGGAACCCTCCTCAGGGGACATATGTACTGTCTGTGTGGCATGTTATGAGCTCCCCCGTGACTTTTGCATGGAGACGGGACTCAAAGGAACCATGGGGAGCTGAGAAAGTATGGTACCATCTCCCAGGGCAAAAGCTCATGGTGACCACGTTGTTATCCAGGGATGAAAGTTTAGCTTGTATTTTGCCTGAGGGACGTGATTTACCTCTGTTAGTACCTGTGCCTGCTCTATCATTTTGGCTGTAGGTTAACATGCTCCAACTGCATTGTGGACTGGGCCCACACCTACGCTGAAGTGACCAATGTTTCCAACTCTTTGATCTGTACCACCCTTCCAGCAGCAGCTGCGGACTGCTTGCCTTGGCACATACACCCCGTGTCTTCAGTGAACTGGACATGGTTGGAGACTTGGGGCCCCATGGCTGATGCCTCGAATGCAATGCAGCAAGCTTTGGACAAAGGCTGCCACAAGGCCCATGGTGCACCCACCCCCTGGCTGGCCCATAGTGTTTATAATGGGTGGGGCTGCCTAATGGGGGAACATGTAGTACCCCCAGCCCAGGTGCCATGATGCATAGAGCAACATTGGGGTAACACCACTGTGGGATGCCTACCCATCACAGTCTGTGTAAACATAACACATGTCACCATATCGAAGGTATGGTGGAACAAGTGGCCCCACCAAGGTTGGTCCCCGATAGATGTTGTGCCCCCGGGGAGTTTATGGATCTGTGGGGACACAGGGTGGCCTTACCTACCAGCACACTGGACTGGACATTGTACCTGGGGGTGGCCTTATGTACCTGCCACCCCCATGCCACCTGCCATGTGTTTTCCCCACATTGCCCAGATACCCGCATAAATGGGAGGCACTACACTCTCAGTTTTTGTGAGTGCAACAAGCCCCCTGATGGTTGGCAATGACTATCCCTGGAGCAGGTGTCATAACTGTAGAAGCACAAGTTACTGCTCTTGCAGAGCACAGCACTCGGGCTCTGAATTACATCTGAGTGGCCCTCCTGTTAACAGATGAGGTTGATCAGATCAGAAAGGTTTTGTGGCAAAATCGAATGGCCTTAGACATAGTAATAGCTTCCCAAGGAGGCACCTGTGCCTTTTAAGGAACACAATGTTGTACCTTTATCCCTGACAATCAGCAGAACATAACAGTAGCTCTGCAACAGGTCTCATGGGAGAGTAAGGTGGTCCAGAGCCTTACTGATGACCCCCTGCAGAAATAGTGGGCATCCCTAGGCTCTGGCCTACTCTGGGCCCTAATAGTCATAAGTAGCATAGCTGGGATCCTAGTAGTGAGCTGTTGCTCTCTGTATTGTTGTTATTGTTATTGTTATGGATGCAGGGCTCTGCCCTACAGGCACATGTCCCTGCCCAGAGGGCACTCTCAGCCTAGGGGGTAGAGTGTAAGGGAAATGGCTAAGCTTTAGTCAGGAGTAGGCTGAAGTGCCCTTCCAGCGCAGCATGACTCATCTGGTTTGGAGTGCAGGTGCACAACCCCACACATTATGTAACCACACCATGTGAGGTGCATTAGGTATCACCCACGTGATCTTGTGCTTAGCTCGAAGCTACTGTTGTCTGTAAAATGTATAATTACCCTGCTAACGCTGTACATATAGCTTGCTCATGCCCAGAGAGAGAGAGTAAAGCCACGTCAAAACTGTCTACGATTCCTTGAGTGTTTTTGCAGCTACCCACCACTTGCCCACTGACTCCCCTTGGACCTCAGTTAGAACCTGACATTTTATAAATGAGGAAAACAGTTTAGAAGTTTAGTTACTTATGGCTGGTAAGTGGCAATGCCAGGATTTAAACTTAGTTCTGTTTGTCTCCTGAACCAAAGTCTTTAACCACTACACTGTACTGCTGAATATTTTATTTAGTAGATTCACTTTTGCAAATGATTCTAATCACTCATTACTTTTTGAATTCTAAGTTTTACCCTCATCATGTGTGCTCTCTACCTCCTAAGGATATCTAGTACAGTTGTTTTCAAACTTGGTTAGGTATCAGAATCACCTACTTGAATATGCTTCATTCACTTTGTAGATATTTCTGATATATACCAAATTTTGAGAACCATTGAGTCTGTTAGAATAAGGTTCAGCTATAATGAACAGAAATAGTGCTATAAACTAGTTTCTTTTTCTCCCCCATTAAGAAGCCCAGAATAGTCATTCTAGAGCTGGTATCGAGCTTGGTGTGGGGAACAAGACTCCTTTTACTTTCTTTGTTTTGTGTGGCTTCCATTCTTCTAAAGTCATCTCAGTGACCAATTGCCTGTTGGAGCTTCATCTACATCTGCATTCTAGCTAGCAAGAAGGTGGAAGGGTGGAAGAATACATACCTTCTCTTTAATGATTGTCAGGAATATGCACCACTTCCACTTAATCCCATGGGTCAGAATTGAAACATACAGCCATGCCCTCCTGCAAGGAAGGCTGGGAAAAGTGGTCTTTATTCTGTGTGGCTACGTAGGCAGCTAAAAATTAGACATTCTCTTATGATGGAGGAATTAGGAGGAATAAACCTTCAAGAATAATTAATCTCTGTCACACTCAGCAGGGAGGAAAATTTACCTAATCCTTATATCTACATTTGACCATGAGACCTAAGAGAAATTCTTTCTATAAGAGGTTTTTAGATCTCATAATGAAGGTGGCTAAGGCAGTGGCTCTCAAACTCTGCTGCACATTAGAATCAACTGGGATCTTACAAACTAATGATGCCTGACTTCCACACCCAATCATTCTGACTTAGTTGGTATGAAATAGAACCTAGACATTAGGGTATTTAAAAGCCCCCCATAATGATTCTGATTTGCAGGAAAAGTTTGGACTAAAGGGGGGGAAACACTCCTAAATCTTTTCCTTAACTCTATCACAGGATCTTCAACCTAAGATACAAGTAGTGTGGATAAGATCCACTGAGTGTTGTTTTGCTCCATTGATGGGCTCCTATTTTTTCCTGTGCCATTGACATCTCAGCAGTTGAACTAGTGAATGTTACTGGTAATAAAGTTACATGTGACCAGGGAAGATTCATTATCGGTATCGCAAAAGACAAAGACAACTCAGACGATATGTCCTACTCACAAAAGCCAGTGACATTTTCATGTACAAAGAACACATTTTAGTTGTAGCTATATTTATACACATGTTATTTGTATGTGGCATGAAAATAGCTATTTTGGTTTTCTGTGTGTGCACGCATGTAGCAGGACCCAGACACAGTAGTGAATCATCCTTAAGTACAGCATTTACATTTTAAACACAGGAACCTATTCAAATCAAATGTGGAAGGCCCTCTCTATTTGGCAGTATATTTGTCATCCGGAAGCTCAAAATAGCCTTTTAGAGATCTAAGCAGTTTGAGCTAGTGGCATCTCAACCTATTACTAGCTGTCAGATATTTTATCCATTCAAGCAGATAGGTGGGCAAAGGTTATGTTTTCTTTGAATTGCTAATGCAGAGGTCTGCCTTTTAAGTTGAGATGTGAAATGAGAAGAGGAGTAAAAGAGGAAATTCTCAAAGACGAAAGCTAGATAGGTCATTTCATTCACCTCTTCACCTTCAGAAAGAATGACATTAAAACATTCTAAACAGGTGAGAATCTATACTATTTTTATAGCTCTTCAATGACAGGATTGCACAACCACATTCCTACCATACCACATTTCATTGCAACAATTTGCAGCTAGGAAATTTCTTTTTACATCTAACCCAAGGATTCTGACCAGGTTGATCCCATTTCCTCCTCGCTGTTCTTCAGAGGGACAACACCATTCTTTTATAAAATTATCTTGGTACTTACATAATTACATTAATCTTCAGGTTTCTCTTTTACAATCCAAATACTAATAACATCCCTTCACACCTTCCTTTTAAATAGTTTTCAAATATAATCAGCTTTGCAGCAATCTTCTTTTAACCTAGGGGTTCCCAGACTTGTTTGCACATTAGAATCATCTGAGGAGCTTCAAAAACTACTGATGCCTGTGTCCCACCCCCAGAGATTCTGATTTAAGTGTCTGGAGTATGTACTAAAGTGGAGATTTTTTAAAAAGATTCTCAAGTGCTTCAAAAGTGCATCAAGTTCAGAAACCACTATCTGAACCTGCTGCAGCCTATTACCCACTTCTCCTTCTGTTTGCTAATAGAACCTTGATAATAGTCCCAGATAAGAAATCATGACTGGCCTAAAACTGTGGTTTCCAGTTCTGCTACCATTAGAATCACCTGGAGAGCTTTGACTATACGGAAGCCTGGACTCCACCAACAAATTAAATCAGAACATCTGGGGGTGGGACCAGGAAACGGTATCTTTAAAAATGCTCTCCAAATGTTTTTAATGCACCACCAGGGTTGAGAGCCATTGGTGGAGGTCAGTGACTCTCAAAGTGTTTTTTAAAGTCCGGAAGCATCCGCATCAACTGAGATATTTAAATAATACAAATTCTTAGGTCCAAACCCAGGCCTACTGAATCAGCATCTCTGGGGGGTGGAGCCCAGCAATCAGTGTTTTAACAAGCCCTCCAGGGGATTTCAATGCTTGCTAGAGTTTGAGTAGCACTAGTCTAAGTCCATTATGATAAGCCTGTTCCCTGATTTCCCAGCCTTCCTTCAACAACAGGTGGCTGTGTGACCCAGTTCAAGCCAATGCCACCCAGCAGAGTTCTACTGAGAAAACGTGGTTTCTGGGAAAATTTTTGCTTTCTTGGTACAAGGGAACACACATCATGCACTTCTGCTTCTTCTTTCCTTACAGTCTTGGGGGTAGGTAGTCCCTGAAGCCTCAGCTGCCATTTTGGGATCATGAGCAAAACACACTTGTGGAAAGTCCAAGAAAATCACAGCGATGCTGCCCAATACTAGCAGTAACCTACCCTCAGACTTCTAGTTATAAGAAAAACCCTACTTGTTTAAGCCATTGTTAGTAGAAATTTATGTTGCTTGCAGCTGAACAAAATCTTTATACAGAGTCAAATTTCCAAGTACCTTTTACATGGAGAAAACTCAGAGCTGAACCCAATACTTTTACATGGAGCTAGTAACACTAAATTTCAGGGAAGGTCATCTTCTAATTGTGATATTCTAAACACTTCATCAGTAGATCTTAAACCTGGCTGCCTATCAGGATTACCTGAGGAAGCTTATCTTAAATGATTCATGGACCTCACCCCAGATATACTGAATTTGAATCTCTCAAATTGGGACTGGGAGACTCTGTAACTTAACAAGGCGATTAGTATGCCCTCAGCTGACCCCAGTCCACAGCATGGCTGAGACTAGGGTGAGGCAAGTAAAAAGCCCAGGGTGCAAAATTTAAGGAGGCACTCACTCTCAGGGTTGTGCAAGCATAGGGTCAACAGTTGCATGTCCAGAGAGTAGATGCCTTCTTTAATTTTGTGTCCTAGGCACCTCATTTGGCCTCTTCCTAGCCTCTACCCTGATTCAGATAAGGTAGATGTAACAGGTGGTGCCAGTCATTTGTCATGACATGGTGGTAACCCCAGCCAAATATTCCTTTACAAAAATTCACTGATTGTTCCAACTGAATTATTTTTTTAGTGGTGGTTCCTGCATCATAAAGACATAGCCTATACTCTATAAATAATGATAATATATAGTTTATTTTCAATTTGGGTTATGCATCTAGGTGTCAAATGACAACAATTTCCTTCTGAGCTGAAAAATAACTACAGCACTGATTGTCTCAGTCCCTGTTCACCCACATAAAAACAGGAATGTGATCCTGAGAGAGAAGAATTTAATTGGGTGAGTCAATAGGTGTCAGGTATCAGCATGTTGGTGGCAGAATCCAGGGCTGCAGTCCTCATGTAGCTACTAAATAATCAAGTATTGGTTACTTGAATTAAAAGTGGAAACTAGTAGGTGTTGGTAAAAATGTGTTGAGCTTGGCTACTCCTGTTTTCCAAAAGCATTTTAGGACACATATATGCTGCAGTATCCCAGAAATAGAAGTGTGGGTAACTTAACCCAAAGTTGTGGTTCCTGTGTCCAGCCTGTGTTGGATGGTGTGTCAGCACAATGAATGCTGAAGAATCTCTGTGGACTGTCATTCTAGAGCCTCCTAAGAATGCCTCACTAGGGTTGGCAGAGAGGTAGGGGTGCTGGCCAGGCAGACGAAGGGAAGTCCACACACGGCTTTGGTTGAAGCAGTGCCAAAGGCCAGGATAAAAGCTGTAGACCTGTTTAACTCCAGATTTTAGGGCTCTCGCTTTTGATTTTATAGATGTAGTACTGATGGGAACAGCTGGTGGTATGTAGCGGGAGGACAGCCTGAACAAAGTGAAATATACGAGGTTCCTCTCATCATCCCTCCCTACTTCTGCAGAGGTGGCATTAGAGCACCTTTCATCTTAATGTGACTGGTGAATACCCCAGCATCAGGCAGATATTTCACATGTGCTTGCCAAAAATAATAACCACTCTTTTCTGCCCGATGGATGCTAGACACTCTGATTCCTCAATCTGTGATTGTCCCTCAGGTCTATGGCAGCAGGAATAGATGTCCTGCATCTTACCATGGAGAGGGAATTAGTTACAGTTCTACTGGTGAATCAGGAATTGAGTAACTCTCCTGGAGGCAGCTTCTCTACCTCCTTTCCTGACAGTCATTAAAGCAGGCAAGGCGGCACTCAGCAGCAACTGACAAGCTGGAACTGAATTAAATCAACACCTGAATGGTCAGAGGGTTTAGAAGGAGCCAAAAATGTGTTTTCCAGCCAGGATGATTGAGAACCCACACCTGGTGCCAGAGTACAACACACAGGTGCCTGCCAGGGCACCCAGGCAGATATGCTATGCTCCTGGTATAGGGTGGGTGGAGGGGGCTCTGCCTGCAATGTCACACTCCTTTAAACACAGGTCGGGTGTTGCTACAAGATGCATCTTGAGGTATGAAGAGAAGAAATGACACAATGCCTGGGGCTTGTTTTAACATACTTCAATTTAAGAACTTCAGCAAAGAAAAATAATAAAGGGGGCCAGATAAAGCAAATGTAGCAAAATTGTGATCATTATTGAATCTGGATGTTGGATAAATAAGGATTTTCTATTAGGGTAAACAGGATTATTCTTGCCCCAATAAGACAAAAAGGAATAGAATAATTTTATGGCAAATAGGATTATTCTAATTGTTCTTACTTTGTGTACCTGAACACTTTCATAATTAAAAGTCTGTTTAAAAATTCCAATCAATCATTATAAAGCTTGTAAACCTCACATTAAGTTGATGTATGCCTTTGAATACTACTCATTTCTTTCAGGTGACAGCAAGCAATAGGGAGCCAGAACCGCATGGAATTTGGTTTGAAATGTCCTCCTCACCCAGCCCCATCCACCACCACCTACTTGGGCTCAGAACCCTTATTTTTTAGTGAAAAGATGGCAGGACTGAGGCTTATGAAATCTGAACATGAGTTCTTGTTCGTTCATTAACAGTGAGACCTGCAACAACTCACTTGCCTGCTTGGAAGCCTCCTTTCTTCCTCTGTAAAATGGGGATGATCCTTTAATACCAGCTTTGCAGGTTACTGGAGAATCACATGAAATAATGTACACTGTGAAGTGTGAAGGCAGTGTTGGTTGTTATTAACACCAGCAGCCTGACCTTGAACCAGGCAACCAAATGCTCTGTCTCAGAGCCCTCATCTATGAGATGAGTGAGGGGATTACATCATGGTACACAGGCTCTGTGAGAACCACGTAGGAGGCATGTTAAAATTCAGATTCCGGGCCTGCCGTGGTTTAGATATTTGACCCTCCAAACATCTTGTTGAAATTCAACCCCTAATATTAGAGGTAGGGCCTAACGGGAGGTGTCTGGGTCATGGGGGCCGATCCTTCATGAATGGCTTGGTGCCAGTTGTTGAGGTAATGAGTGAATTCTTGCTCTATCAGTTACCATGACACTTGATTGCTTCCTCTCTGGCTATGTGACCTCTGTATACACCAGGTCCTCTTCCCCTTCTACCAAGAGCTTGTCCCATGGTGAGCTGAAGCCCTCACCAGAAGCAGATGCTGGTACCATGCTTCTTGTACAGCCTGCAGAACCGTGAGCCAAATAAACTTCTCTTCTTTATAAATTGCCCAGCCTCAAGTATTCATTTACAGCAACACAAATGGACTAAAACAGGGGCCCACCACAATCTACTAATCAGGATTTCCAGATGTGGGGCATAGAGAAGTCACACGGCTGATTCTGCTTTGCAGCCTAGTTGGGGGCAGCTGAATTCAGTAACTGTTGAGGTCCTTTCACGCTCTAACAGCCGAAATGGCTGTTTGGGAATTTCGAGTCGATTGAGCCAAGTTATTTTGATGGTTAGGTGCAGATCACAGATTTGGGGTAATTTCATGGTGATAAACAGTGAAAGAGAATCAGAATAAACAAAGGAGAGGAAGCTGGGCACTGGCATGGTGGACTGAGGCCTTCATAGCTAGGAGTAGACACACACATTAATAGAGTGGAGGGGGCCAGCTGTTCCGCCCATGCAGCTGTCATATAAAAATGACTGGTGACAGGGGCTTCCCAAGCCACCTGAAAGAGCTTATAGGAGGAGAGTGAATTGTCTCAAGTCACCTATAACTCATACAGTCTGTGGGACTCTTAGGGTGGCTTGTCCAGGCAGCAGGCCACATGTGGGAGGGTGGCCTTGAAGTCCTGGCTTCAGGCCTGCAGCTCCTTCACTGCCAGGCCCACATGATTGGCTGCCTACCACGCCTGCACTCATCCTACTGGCTGCTCCTCTGCTTATCCTCACAGTACATTCCAACATTTGTGAACGCTTGCTCACAAGTCTCTCTTCCCACATTCTAACTTCTTTCAGAATTCTTGTTTGTCTCGTCTGAAAAGCAATCCAGTTCAGTATTTGTTGACTGCCTGTTATATTCAATGCCTTGTGCTAAGGACCTCAGTTGATACAAAGAGGAGAAAGGAGTTGTGCCCTTGAAGCATCAGTCAAATGTGGGGAGAGAGGAGAGAATCAGACAAAGCACACAGATAACCCAAACCCCAAAAAACTAGCAAGTACCCTGAGAATAGTGAATAGCATACGTTGTGAAAGGATTTCAAGGAGGACGATCACATTCAAAACACTTCATGGCAAAAGTGGTATTAGAAATGGGTTTTGAATGGTAAGTAGATTTTTACCAGGCAGGGAAGGATTGGGGCACAGCAGGAGCAAAGACACAGAGGTAGCAAAAGAGGATATGTGTTTGGAGAAAAGCAAGCAGTGACATCTTGACGAGGTCTTGGAAAAAAGAGGAGGCCAAAGGATCCAAAGGTAGGCTGGGGCCAAACAGAAGCAGCACTTACTTCAACTTGGTAAATAAGAAAGGTTCCTAAAGGTTTTTGAGAAGAGGCCTGACACGATCCAAGCAGTACTTCGAGAACTTTGACTTAGTGCCAGTGTGCAGACTAGAGAGCCAGATGGACTAAGTGACCTAGAGGGGATGGGACAAGAGAGTAATGGGCCACAGGGGTTCCCCAACACCTCAGCTGCCAGAGTCCAAGAAACCATGGAGTCAGGGCTAAGAAGGAGGGTGTCATGAGGTGTTATTCTTAAAACTCTTAGGATAAGATAAGAAGCCCTCCACTCTAGACCTATACCTGAGATCGGGAGAGGTCAGCGTTTTCCTGCTGTAAACCAAAGGCATACAATCACCATTCCTGAGAGAGCTTTTTTTGAACATTGGCCAATTTACCTTCCACTAATATTAACAGCCATTCCATGGGGATCTGCAAAACAAAAACAAACAAAAGTGATTGAAATGAAGGCTAGGGCACCTTGCTTTCTTTGCATCTCAGAACTTCTAAACAGTCCCTGAGTGTAGATTTTACTCTTTCATGGAAGTTTCTCTCCTCCCCCTCTTTATAGGATCTGCAAGATCGCACTTTCTGATGGCTTCATCCCCTAGCATCATCTGGCTACTTCTCCTGCTCCAAACCACCACTCCTCCTGCTCCAAACTGCCATCTCTCATCTAAACTACTTCCAGAGCCTTTTAGCTGCCTGCTTGTACTCATGCCCTCTCCCTGTTCCCCCTCCAAGTCACAGACAGTCAGAAACAAACATCCAGTTCTGTTAAAGCATAAATAACACCATATCACTGCCTGGTGTCAGCCCTCCAATACGCCTCTCATACTTAGGTTAACATCTGAAGTCCTTAGTGTGACCCACGTGGTCTTCAATGATCTGGCCCCTGTGTCCCCCTTTACCCTTACTCTCCAGCCACTCTGGCCTTTCTGCTGTTTTCACACCCACTGAGCATGTGCCAGACTCAAGCCTTGCCCTTGCTTTCCCTTCTGCCTGGAATGCTCTCCCCCAGATATTTGCATGGCCAGCAACCTCACTTCCTTTAGAGTTCTTTTTAAATGTCACCTCCTCAGAGAGGCCTTTCTGAATCCTCCAGTCCCTCTCTACCCACTTGCCCTGCTTCATTTTTCTTCATAGAGTTAACCACAATAGACACTTGTATAATGTCTGTGTGCTCCGGTAGAATGTAAGATCCCTGAGGCTAGATCTCCATTCTGCCCACCTCAGTTTGTTCGGGGCCTGGATAAGGGCTAAGTTCTCAATAAACAGTTGTCAAATGAATAAATTGTAGCTCTTCTCTCTAGCAAACACCTTCCTCTGGCTCTGCCTTTGTTTCTCAGTCCTCATTCTCTTTAGTCTTTGCAGAGTTTGATCTAACTTAGCACCATGTCTTTCCCCTTGATCAGCATGGAGCTGAATTCATCTATTATGGCTCTGATACTTTCATGGGCTCCCTAAATATAAATACGCCTGAGGATTCAGTCCTTACTCTTCAGCTCTTTTCCCTACTTCCCTCCCTCTGCCTTTCCTCCATCTTCATCTCTTCCCTCTATGCAGATGATATCCTAATATTTACTTTCAGCCTAGACTCCTCTAGAAACTCTCCTTCCAAATGCCTCCTGGGCATTCTAAAGGGACCTTATGTCTCATATACTTAAAAACTTCATTCTCTTCTTCACTTTTCTATGTCTGTTAATGGCACCACTATTTTCTTGACCCCTGAGTTAGAAGCCTTAGTGTTGTTTTTTCCTTCCTTCTTCAGATCCCCTTTCAATTAGTCACAAAGTTCCTATTGAATCTTTCTTTCAAATGGCTCTTACATCACTCCCACTGTTTCCATTGCCACAGCCATGTTCCTGGTCCAGCCTTTACTACATGGCCAGAACCAGCTTGACCTCTTTGTTGGTAACTTTCCTGCTTATAGGACCCTATTCGAGGCCCCCTTCTCCTATATCTCTACTTCAAGGAACTCCTCCAGGCTCTGAGCCAACTAACCTAACCTCACTGATGACCATGCATTTCCAGTCCGAGTTTGGTTCCCTGTTCACCCCTGCACTGCCCAAACCTGCCAACCCTGATCTTAATGTGTAGAAGCCATACGGACCAAGCCCACCAATTCCACAGCCTGTGCCCAGCTCCTAGCTCCCATTTCCCCAGGTGTTTTACTCTGTTTGTGCAGCTAACAAAATACCTGAGACCAGGTAATTTATAAAGAATAGAAATTTATTCTATTTATGCTATTCCAAGGAGGCTTGGAAGTCCAAGATTAAGGCACTAGTAGGTTAGGTGTCTGGTGAGGGCCAGGTCTCTGCTTCCAAGATGGTGCCTTGAACTCTGCTTCTTCCTGAGGGAATGAACACTCTGTCCTCGCATAGTGGAAGACATAAGTGCAAAAGGGCCTACAGTGCTTCCTCCAACCTCTTTTATAAGGTTGCTAATCTATTCACAAGGGTTGTGTCCTCATGACTTAATCACTTCCTAAAGGCCCCACCTCTTAATACTATCATATTGGTGATTAAGTTTTATAAGAATTTGGGGGAGATACATCCAGACCATAGCACCAGGCAATGAGGTTTGAACCCCTTGCCTTTACTTTCCTATCCTCATTCCCAGCCTCAGATAAAAATCAGAATATTTTTTCAGAATCATTTTGAAAGAGCTGTTTTAAGCCTTGGCTTCTCTCCCCAAAAATTATTAATGGGGCCGGGTGTGGTGGCTCATGCCTGTAATCCCAGAACTTTGGGAGGCTGAGGCAGGTAGATCTCTTGAGGTCAGGAGTTTGAGACCAGCCTGGCCAACATGTTGAAACCCCGTCTCTACTAAAAATACAAAAATTAGCCAGGCATGATGGTGGGCGCCTGTAATCCCAGCTACTCGGGAGGTTGAGGCAGGAAGATCATTTGAACCCAGGAGGCAGAGGTTGCAGTGAGCTGAGATCACACTACTGTACTCCAGCCTGGGCAACAAAGTGAGACTCTGTCTCAAAAAAAAAAAAAAAAAAAGTATTAATGACTCTCTATTTCCTATAGAATGAAGACCAAATTCCTTAGCTTGGAACTCGAGTTTGACTACAATCTACTTTTTAAGCCATAGAATTCATAGAACAGGCGTAAGACTCAAATGCCAAGTCCTACCCCAGGTAGACTTCAGAGGGGCTGGGAAGATAATAGAAGTGAAAAATATGGGTCCTATATAAACAGTAAGGAGTAGTATGGACTGTGGCAAATGGGAGAACATGTGGCCTATTTAAAAGCGAGAGCTGGGTGTTGCTATGAAGAAATTTGGGCTGAAGGTTGCCAGATGTTCTATTTATTCAACAGAGGTTATAAATCTGAATTTTTAGGCAAAATTTCCTGAGTTTTTAAATGTTGGCTCAAAACAAAAAGTAAAGTGCAGTGCAAATAAATCATATCTGCAGGCTGGATTCAGCCTCAAAGACGCCTGTCTGGAATTCTGCCCTCTATAGCAACCAAATTGGTTTATTCACTGTCTATCAAACACTCCTTACAAGTTTTTTTTTCACTGTTCCTGATCAACCTGGCAGGCATTCTCTGTTGGTCTTCACTTGGAAGTCCTGGCTCCTTCTAGTCCCTTTACTTCCTCCATGAAGCTTCCTCGGGCAACTCTCACCCTGAGTAATCTTTTACCTCTGCTGTCATAGTACTCATAGCCCCCGGCCAACACAGAGAGTGAAATAACTAAACCAAGTGTCAGAGGAACTGGGTCACACTGCTCCCTGCTAACCAGTTAGGTGAACTTGGCAGGACCAGCATCTTTCAGAGAATCAATTTTCTCATCTACAAGTTGGAGCCAATAATTTTTGTCCTACCCCAGGTAGACTTCAGATGAAATAACACAATTATAAACTGTAGAACATAATATAAATTAATAATCATAAACCTAAGTAGTGCCTTTTATATGGCCTGAGAAGCATGTTCCACTTCCCTGATCCATTCAAATTTCTACTCTCCTAGATAACTATTTCATACCCTTCTTTCTCTCTTCGAAACTTCATCCCTAGGCTAGGCTGATAACCTTGTTTCCTATTTCCCTGAGAAAATGAAAACAATCAGAAGAGAATTTCTACAAGTTCCCACCAACACATCTACCACCCACCAGCATATGCATCCAAACTCTGCTCTCTTTCATTACTGTGGATGAATCTAGCAAAGATCTAAGTGTGCACTCGATCGTATTGCTTCTCACCTACTGAAGGGCACTTCTTCAACAATTCTCCTTTGTTCGGCATCATCAGTTTTTTTCCTTTCTACTAGATCTTTCTCATCAGCTTAGATCTTTCTCATTGGCCTATAAAACTTAGAGTAAACAAAAAAAACCTCTGTCTTGATTCTACTGCTTCCTTACTGTATCTCCTTGATTTTATACCGAAACTCAAGAGTTGTCTGTGATTGCTGCCTCCAATTCCTCTCTTCCCATTTCCTCTTCCCCACTCCCCCTGTCTTTTTCCTTCTGTGTAAAGCCTACCCTAATCAGGCTTTTGCTCCCATCCCTCCACCCATATTGCTTTTGTCAAAATCTCCAGGCCCCTTTACACTGCTAAATCCAGTGGCAGCTCTTAGTCTTCATCTTATTTGGCTCTTGAACAGCATTAACAGAGTTGATCATTAGGCTTCCAGAATACCACACTTACCCACTTTGTCTCCTACCATGCTTCTGACTGCCTCTGTTGTCTTTGCTGATGCTTTCTCATCTCTACAACAACTAAATGTTGAAGTGTCCCAGGTCTCAGTCCTTCAACATCTTATCATTTCTTTTGCATTAACTCTCTTGGTGATCTCATCTAATCTCGTGGCTTTTAATGCCATCTCAATACTGCCAATGCTGATGATTCCCAAATTTATAGAAGTCTAACCTTTCACTACACCCCTAACCTAGAAATCATACTGCCTATTCATTTGATGCTAATAATGATCTCAAACTTAGCACGGCCAAACCTGAGCTCTAGCTTCCCTTCATACCCCAAATCTCTCCTCCCAAAGTATTTTCTTCTCTGGCAGAGCCCATTCCTTCATCTATTAAATATTTATTGAGAACCTATTCTGTGCTAGAGCCTGGTACAGATGCTTACAGGCTTACTGACGGTCCGGGGGTAGAAACAGCAAAATTCATGTAGGGTTGGCATCACTCATGACGCCTCAGTTTTTCATGCTCTCAGCTTTACTTTCAAAACATATCCAGAGTTTGGCCACTTATCATCACTTCTACTGCTGTGATTCTGGTCCAAGCTGCCTTATCTCTCACCTGGCTTACAGCATTACACTCCTAATTGCTCTCCCTATTTTTTTACTCTTGCTCTTCTATGGTCCATTCTCATGCCAGCAGCCAGAGTGATCTTCAAAATGTAAGTCAGAGCATTGTCACTTTGCTGCTCAAAATCCCCTGATGGCTACTTATCTCACCCCACACAAAGTCAAAGTCACTGCAATGGCCAACAAAGTCTTTCCCACATCTTGTAATTTCTGATTGCCCCTCTGATCTCATTCCCTACAGCCCTCTCTCTTACTTACTGTGCTCCAATCATTCTGTCCTGTTTTTTGTTTGTTGCTTTGATTCTTTCTCTTTCTTTTCTTTTCTTTCTTTCTTTGTTTCTTTCTTTCTCTTTCTTTCTTTTTTCTGTCTTTCTTTTTTTCTTCTCTTTCTTTCCTTTCTTTCTTTGGAAAGGTGAAAGAATAAATGAAAGAACTGGATAAATGAAAGAATGTCTACATGCCACTAAAAATAAAAACACTGTGAAGGGCTTTCCCTCCCTCCCTCCCTCCCTTCCTTCTTTTCTTCCTTCCTTCTTTCCTTTTTTCCCTCCTTCCTTTTTTTCTTTTTCTTTCTTCTTCCTGGAACCTTTTTGGCATGACCCTGTCTCAGACCTTTGGACTTGCTATTCCTTCTTCCCACAAGGCTCTTCCCCCAGATATCACCATGGCTCACTCCCTCAACTCCATCACATCTTTACTTAAGTGGTACCTTCTTAGCAAGGCTTTCCCAGGTCCCCCTATTAAAACACTAATTTCCCTTTCTCCCTCATGCACAGTTCCTTACATTCCATATTTTCTTTTTATCTGTTGTTAGATGGTATCAAATCTATTGCATTTGTCAACATCTAACATGCTATATATTCAGTTAACTTGGTTTTATCTGTCTCCCACCCTAGAATGTAAGCTGTACGTGAGCAGGAATTTGTCTGTTCATTTGTTTGTTTGTTTTCATTGATCCGTAGCACTGAAACAGCACCTAGCATATAGTAGGCATTCAATAAATGTTTTGGGGAATGAATAAATGAATTTGGCAAATTGATCTTGTCATCTCTTTGTATTTTTTGTTGTATTTCATATACATTTTATTAGCCTTTCCTGTGAATATTTTAACACCTTTTACCAAATTATAAAATCATGAATTTACATATTTTTGTTCCATAACCCAAATAGTACTTCCTACTGCACACAGAAGGTTCCTTTAAAATGAGAACAGTTTCAATAGTTCTATTCTTCCCTAGACTTCAACTCATGCACTATTTCTTTCTTTTTTTGTTTGTTTGTTTGTTTGTTTGAGATGGAGTCTCACTCTGTTGCCCAGGCTGGAGTAGAGTGGCATGATCTCGGGTCACTGCAACCTCCGCCTCCTGAGTTTAAGCGATTCTCCTGCCTCAGCCTCCCCAGTAGCTGGGACTACAGGCAACTGCCATCACACCCAGCTAATTTTTGTATTTTTGTACAGGTGAGGGTTTCACCATGTTAGCCAGGCTGGTCTCCAACTCCTGACCTCAGGTGATCCGCCCACCTTGGCCTCCCAAAGTGCTGGGATTACAGATGTGAGCCACCATACCTGGCCCCTCATGCACTATTTCTAAGGTCCAGTGGCTTGTCTTCTATTTTGCACTCAGCCATGGGTAGCCCCAGGTCTACTCAGTACTGGGAACAGGCAAGGGGATTTCCCATTTGGGTGGAATGGGCAGATCTGTTCACCAAGACAAAGTTGCAGTCAGAGACAATCCAGGCAAACAAAAAATTGTAGAAATGCAGCCTTGTTAATTTACATTTGCAAATTATGGCTTACAAATTCTCACACTCCTGCTTGTCTTCATGATGGCCTTGTGGAAAATAAAAAAACTAAACTTCCTAGATTGAATTATTGCCATGATGGATGTTAAAGGCCTCCCTCAGAAGGATTTTAGCCATTCTGGCTAATGACCATCCTCCACTTGCTTGATCCAGGGACAGCAGTGCCCACCTCACCCACCTGCCTTGAGGATATCTCTCTGAGGCATTAGAGAACAGGGAAGTGCATGGAATTAGCTCAGTACTGATTCTATTACATTACATTTCTATTATATTTAGACTCTTACTCATGGGTCCTGACAACCAATTGCTTTGTAATATATATTCTGTCTTCAGTATTACATTATAAGCTTCCTGGGGTTTTAATTAATTTATTTTTAACTTATCTCTTGTTGTAGTCATCCTTTTCTACTCCCCTCAACCCCTACCTCCTGGGGTTTTGTGTAATATCTTGCACATCGTAGATACTCTCTGTTGGATAAATGAAAGAATGTCTAGATGGTACTAAAAATAAAACAACTGTGAAGGGCTTTCTCAACCTGGGTAGGCCAGTATTCCCTCTGAACTATCTTTAGGATTAACTTGCTTGATTTTGCTTAGGCAGAACTCACCTTCTACTTCCAAAGTGTGATGGAACCAGGAGCAGTTGCTCATATCTGTAATCCAAGCACTTTGAGAGGCCAAGGTGAGAGGCTCACCTGAGGTCAGGAGTTCAAGAAGAGCCTGGCCAACATGGCAAAACCCCATCTCTACTAAACATATAAAAAAATTAGCCCAGCATGGTGGAGTGTGCCTGTAGTCATCCCAGCTACTCGGGAGGCTGAGGCAGGAGAATCACTTGAACCCAAGAGGCGGAGGTTGCAGTGAGCTGAGATGGTGCCACTGCACTCCAGCCTGGGAGACAAAGCGAGACTACATCTTAAAAAATAAATAAATAAATACATAAATAAATAACAAAGTGTGATGGGATGCTGGTCCGTGGGGGGTTGTAAGAATTTTGTGGCAAGGTAAGTGCAGAAACAGAAAGTAAGCATTTAATAACTTATATAGCAACATGACATTGTCCTTAAACCCAAGCACATGATAATGTTTATAATAATTCATTTTTATTATATTTTACAGCAGCAATTGGTCATGATAAATTAAAAACAATTAAAAAAAAAACCCTAGTTGTTCCCTATGGGTAGCAAGAAACACTGTTTTAATGAGTTTGCTTTCAGTACTTTATCAAGGTGCTCTATAATATGTGAACGCTGGGTTTCCCAAATTTTTGAACATGCTTTTGCCACGTTGCACAACATCATAACTATTTCTTTCTTTAAATAGAACTTTTATGTCTGACTTCAGTTTATTTTTTAAAATACATGATCACAACATAAAGGGAAGACCAATATCAATGGCCATGAACAGAAGTTAATTACAAAAATAAATGCAACAAAAACAAAGCAAACAAATTAAATTCTAGCCAGAAACCTGCCAAAAAGCTCTGAACATATGGCCTGTTAAAACAGTAATAATAGTAACAAGCAAGTGTTGGAAAGGTGTTCAAATCCATCAGCTCCAAACTGAAACAACCTCCTTGTTGTAATCAGAAGGAAAGAGAATTAGAGGGTCTCACTGTGTAATTCAAGGGCACTTCCTGCCCTGTCATTGTACATCCCAGAGCACTAGCCGCAGTGACCCAGTTTATGAAAGCACTGACAGTGTTTCAAAGCCTGGCATAGGATGCGTGAGACATGTTTGTTTTAGTAAATAGGTGGCATTCCCAGAGGCTACAAGACATTATTCTTTAAAGAGTCTGTGTTTCAGATGTTTGTTTATCAGGGTTTTTTTTTGTTTTTTGCAACATAGAGCACACTTTCTCCAGAAACAATGATATAAATAGGACCACAGAAGCAAGAATGCAGATGGATTACTTCACATTTGCAATGAAAAAGAGTAGCAAAGAAGGCTGTTGCAAATGTGTGGTGAGGCATTTCAAACTCACAGGCTTCCTCTGCCCTAGTGGCTGCTGGTTCTAAGCTTCTGGCAGGCAGTCCTTTCGGGAGAATGGACAGAGGGCCAGGGACAGTCTTTGGCAGACCACAGGGCTTCTGAAGTCCCTAGGAGGGAAAGTGTCAGCCCTCCAACCACTCCCTGGACTTAGCAGTTGTCACAGGAATGGCTCTTATTTGAAGCTGGGAGGCTTAGTGGTTATGGCCAGAGCAAGGAAGGTGAGCGCATACCGTGAGGAGCATCCCTCCTGCCAACCTAGAGCTTCAGGGAGTCATGGTACAATCCTACTGTCCTTCCTGACGAGAGCTAGCACAGCGAGGCTGAGTGTGGGGAGGGAGCACATCTGGAAATATCTCCAATTTATTCAGGGCAGGGGTCCCTCTCACCTCCCTGCACCTTCTTCTCAGTACTGCCTCTGCCTGGAAGCCGGCTGGAGGCATCTCCTTTACCTAGTATTTCACTCTTTCTCCAGAAGCTCAGCAAGTAGAGCTGACAGTACCCCAGGGGACTCCTACAATTTCCTCAGTCTCCAGGGAGATGCCTCCTGAATGAAACGATCTAAGAAAAGAAACATACACAAATACACACTCCTTCCTGTTCTCTCTCAAGCACCAGAATATTTTCTGCACTGGGCTCCCACACTCAACAGCCTCATTATTCTCTCTGAGATTTTCCTCTCCTTCCTCATTCCCCTGCCTCTGCTACCACTCCCACCTTCCACGCAAACACATGCGTGCCTGCACTTACACACACACTCATGCGGTTTCCGCACAGCTATCTCTGAGGGTAGGGGCAGCCACTAAACAGAGAGGAGGAACTAGATCATCTATCTTGAAAATTTGCCTCAAGCTCAGTAGGTGAACACTAAGAAAGCTGTTCTCGGAGGTACTGGAGGGCACATAACTCTTTTCCCATTCCCCTGTTGAGTGTGGGAGCCCAGAGCAGAAAATAGTTTCCTCCCCTCAAC
Organism: Homo sapiens; assembly: GCF_000001405.40. NCBI lineage: Eukaryota > Metazoa > Chordata > Mammalia > Primates > Hominidae > Homo > Homo sapiens. The sequence goes on from NC_000003.12 coordinate 156,644,208, forward strand.
CCATCCCCCTCCATCAGTGAGCCTATAACTCATTTCAAGCCTGCTGTTGAAACCTAACTTTCCTCAGCCAGAACAGCCACAAGAAGTTATGGTTTATTTTCCCCCTCCTCCCTTGCTCTGCTCTGCCATCCCCCCAGTATAGAAGACTATGTCTGGCTTTTCTATTTTTGCTGTTGATGAGATAGATACAGTGCTAAGGGTAAGACAGTGTGTTCAAAATAGTGAGGATACATAGGATGAATTTGTTTTAAACAATATTTTAGTTATATTTCCAAATAATATGCTGAATATTTTTTTCTTCAACCTCCAGACCGCCTTTCAGGTGAAGCATCTCTAAAAATAATGCAATGGGTCCAATTGTTGATCTGAAAAAAGTACAATAAAAACACTACAAGAGCATCCAGAAGTCTGGAAACACAGGTGAAATTGTGCACTTCTTGTTTCAGATTTACAGCTAAATCCACTGCCTTAAATGTAGAGATTCATCACCTGAAACATGGTTGAAAACAAAAATATATTGAGTATTTTTTAAATGTGAATACCATAATTTTAAAATGCCATTTTCTCCTATGCTTTGTCCTGTAATTTAAAAAATTTAACAAGTGGACACTATGATTGGTGTACATTCCTGCCTACAATCTTCCAAGTTAATTGGATTAATGTAAGAGCTACTTATCTACACATAAACCATCCTATGAAAAAGGCTGACCATTTCAAATTAGGAGTGAGCTTCTAATATTTATCAGAAAATACCAAAACTGAGCTTGATTTGGAGCTTTGCATTATAGTGAAATCCTGAAGCCTCCAATAAGAGTAGGAAAGGGTCACAGTATCCTATTTCTCTTTTACTCTGAAAATAAAATTCTAATTACATAAATATTCTGTCTGTATTACACAATAAATCTAAATAACTGAAAGAAAACTTTTGCCTACAATCTTGTCACCTCAGCAAATCCAACTTTTTGTTTGGCCCTGATCTTTTCTAGCCATTGTGGATAATCACAGTGGGTGCCTTCTGCCATTTTCAATTAATACAATTTCAGAAGCATGTTCCATGTTGCTGTGTAGTCCTTGTAATCTACATTTTAATAGCTACATCATCTTTTACATTATTTTCCTGTTGTCCAACATACATTTCATAATCTTTTCTATAAGAAATAATGCAGCGAATCTTTGTCTATTTGGCTTTTTTTCCCTTACGAATTACTTGTTCAGAATCTATTCTAAGAGGTAGGATCAAAGGTCAAAACCCTGGATATGAGGAGGTTTTTATTTCTTCTAGTGACTAAGGAACTCTGAAGGTTCCACCCACAGCCTCCCACCTTTTACATTTGAGATAGACATTTCTCCATCAGAAATGTATCCAGCCACTGCAGCAGCCCCACTGGAATGCTGGGACAAGCTCATGGTTCATTTTCGGGAAAGTAGAGGCTTAAACAGTATGATTTAACCCATACAAGCTTGTTATATGTTACACATAGTTCCTACAAGAAGTATCAACAACACTTTAAGATTATAATAATTTCACTGAAAAAACAACTCATAATCAAGTGGTGACATTGAAAGAGTTGTGTGCCCCTTTAATAAACACAAAATAGTCCTCATTTTTGTTTTAATTTGCATTTCTTTTACCACTAGTGAGGATGAAATCCTTTCCATGTATTTGTTTACTGGTTAGTTCCTCTTGGAAGAGGCATCTCTTTCCTCAGCTCATTTTGTATGAGCATTTTATAGAACACAGATTTTAAGCTTTTTCGTTAACGCTAGTGATATTTTCCAGTTTCTTTTCCCACTTTAATGTAATTTTAAAGTTATATTAATGAGCTATATTCACCTTCCGTTCTCACAGAATTGCTTCAGAAAACTTTGGATACTGGTTTTTATTCAAAGGGCAGATACAAATCACTAATATGCATGTTTCCAAAGGCAACAATAGAAAAGTATCAAGTGTTTGCATTTTTATAACATGCCAGGTATAAAGAATAGAAATGTTTTTTGTCAATGCTAAATTTATAAGTTTAACTCACTTTTTTGCACAGTATAAAAAGAACAATCAATTAAAATAGACTAGGACTCTGGGGAACCTCGAGGTAGGTCATGGGGTTAGAGACTTTGGAATGTGGAGAGACAGGAGCTGGGCTTTCTTGGGATGGCATAAGATAAAGGCATGTGATGCAGGATGGATATATGCAGGTGGACTGGCAAGCAATAAGATAAAAGAACATTTTCCTTTCTCTCATCTTTCCCATTTACTTTTCCTTACCCCTTTCTTATCACTGCATCTGATTTCCTTAAGAAGTAGTTTGCAATTATTTTTAATATCTTGCTTCCTTTCCTTTCTTTCTGCTCATTCCTTCCCAGCTCCTTTCTTTTCCTTTTCTCATTTGATGGCAGTATAATACAATTACAGTAGGGTCAGACAATCTGGGACCACGCCTTACCATTTCATATTGTTTGACTTTTGCCAGGTTACTCTCTGAGCCTTAGTTTATTCATCTCTAAAATAAAACAATAATAGTACCTATTTCTAGAAGGCTGTTATGAAGACAAAAGGAGAAAATATTTGAGTGCTTAGTACAGTATAGTAGACTACTTTATTGTTCACAAATATTTGGTGTTTCTCCCTGGGGGAGCATTAGACTTCCCAACCCCACTGATGTCAGCCTAGGCCATGAGATTTGATTTAACCAATGAAATATGAGTGAATGTGACACATGACATTTTGAGGAAGAAGACTGAAGAGCCAATACACCATTTGTCATGTTTCTCTTTTCCCTCTACCATAATGACCTGCAATGTTCCAGACAGCTATTGCTCCATTCCTCAAAGTCACATAGTAAAGAAAATATAGACTAAAATCAGAGCCAGCATACAATAAAGATCTAAAATAGCAAAAAAGAAACCTTTGTTATTACAAGTTATAAGTCACTGAGCTTTGGGGATTGCTTGTTATCACAGCAAACCTAGGCAATACTGACTAATGAACACAATATATGGCATATTGAAAGTGCTTAACATTCATTGCTAATATTATTCATGATTATTCTCTTTTCTCCTTTTATCCTCCTACCATAAATCCTAACTCTGCCTCATGGGGTGAAGTAAAAATTGAGGAAAGAAGTAGATCAGAAGCTTTGAAGAGTTTTTTTCCAGGTGATGGTAGGACCAGCCACTGGGAAGGAGTCATATTCAGCAGACATAGGAAAGAAAAAAGAGTTCCTGAAGATTCCATTATTTATCTGTAACTAATATATGAAAGTTTGACTGGGTTTTTCTGAACATTCACATAATGCAAATACATAACATGGAATGCATTTCTGCTTTACATCTATTATCCCTGGAGAAAGAAGATGAATGAATGCATACTAAGTTATGAAATGGGTCATAATTAATGTGAGATATATGTAAATGTATTATTTATGAATGAATAAATAAGCACTACTTGCTGAAATCCTAAAAGCTGGCAAGAATCACTAGAATCCTTAGGAATATTAGCTCTGGCTTAATTCAAACAGAATAATCAACCCTTGATGTCAGGGGTACTAGTTAAACTATTTTTCAGAGTTCCTGAAACTCTTGAAATCTAAATATTTCCAGTATTTTTCAATGGATTTTCTCCTTTTAAAATTCACCTTAGTTTATGTAAGCTATAATTTGTGAATATTGTAGTACTTTGGCCTCTTTTCAAACGTTACTGACTTCTGTTTCTAATCATGATGGAGTAACTGGGTCTAGACATACCTTCCCGCTCTAAGCAAAATGTATGAACAATTGTTTGTAGTCATTGAACAACAACAGGTAATTCAGTGCTCTGAACCCTGAGAAAAATGAGATGAGCTCTGCAATAGTACTAGCTTTCTGCCTAGGATACTTTTCATATGGTGGTGTGGCATGGCCAAGCAGAGTGTGGCAGTCTTGCCAAGTTGAAAGATTAGAAATTCAGAAGGTGGGAACAGCTGGGATTGGAATAGCAGAGTTGCAGGAGGGGGAATTCTACTAACAAAAGAGAGAGAGAGAGCTTCAGAAAATTGCGTAGGGGTAGGGTTGCCCTTGAGATCGTTGCTGAATAAGTCATCATGAAGACATAGGGGGAAATTCCAAAGAAGCTTCATAACGAAATGACTGGGGAGTTGTAAACCAAACAATTCACAGTGTTCTCAAAGGCCTGGAAGTCATTTGACTTCTTTCCAGCTAGAGAAGTGTGTCCTTAATGACACCTAATAACACAGCTTCCAAATACATGAAGTGAAAACTAATAGAACTGTGAGGAAAAATAGACAAATCCACAATTATAGTCAGAGGTTTCAATACTTCCCTCTTGATAATCAATAGAACAAGTAGACAAGAAATCAGTAAGGACAGAAGACTTGAACAACACTACCAACCAACTTGATGTAATTGACATTTGTAGTCTACTCTACCCAACAACAGCAGAATACACATTCTTTTCAAATACACATAGAATAATCATTGAGATAGACCATATTCTAGGCCATTAAACAAGTGTCAATAAATTGAAATCATTCAGAGTATAATATCTGACCACAGGGGAATTTAATTAGGAATCAAAAATAGATACCTGAAAAATTCCTAATTATTGGAAATTACACTACACAATTCTAAATAATTTATGCAGCAGAGAAAAAAATACAAGGGAAATTAGGAAACATCTTGAAAATAATAAAAATGAAAATATGACATATCAAAATTTATGGGATGCAGCAAAAGCAGTGCTTAGAGGGAGATTTATAGCTCTAAATGCTTATATTAGAAAAGAAGAAAGGTCTAAAATCAATAAAGCTTTCAACTTACATGATAAAAAGAGGAAATAAAACAAAGTAAGCAGAAAGAATAAAATAATAAGGATAAGAGCAGAAATGAATAAAATAGAACACAAAAGACAAAATCAATGAAATCAAAAGCTGGTTCTTTGAAAAGATCAATAAAACTGCTAAGTCTCTAGCTAGACTGATCAAAAAGAAAAACATACCAACATTAGAAGTTAAAGAGGGAACATTACTACAGATTCTATAAATATTAAAAGCATAAGAATGGAATATGAACACCTCTGACAATAAATTTGACAACTTAAAAGAAATGAACAAATTCCTTGAAAGATGTAAATAACAAACCTTGATTCAAGAAGAAATAGAAAACCTTATTAGCCTCATATTTATTAAAGAAATTGAAGTTCTAATCTGGGTTTTACTGCAGGCCCAGGTGGCTTTAGTGGTGAATTTCATCAAACACTTAAGGAAAAAATAGTATCAATTCTTTACAAAATTGAGGGGGCAAATTTCCCAACCCATTTTGTGATGCCACCACTACTATGATATCAAAACCTGATAAAGACATTACAACAAGAAAAGGAAAACACTGACTAATATCTCTCATGAACATAGATGCAAAGATCCTCAATAGATATGAGCAAATCATATCTGGTAGTATTTAAAAGGATGCTGTATCATAATCCAGTGAAATCTCAGGAAAATGAGGTTGATTTGAAATTCAAATGTGATCAATGGAATTCACCATATTAACAGAAAAAAGGAAAACACTATATGGCCATCTCAATAGATACAGAAAAAGCATTTCATAAATGCTTCATTTATGACAGTCTCTCAGCATATCAAGAACAGAAGGGAACTTCCTTAACATAGTAAAGGACATTTACGAAAGTCTGCAACTAACCACATACTTAATCATAAAAGACTAGATGAGAAAACATGGGAGAAAATTTTTGTGAACTTGGGATAGGCAAAAGTTTCTTAGAATAAAAACAAGGACAAATCATTAAGGAATGATAAATTGGACTTCATAAAATGAAACCCTCTGCTCTTAGAAAGACAAAATTAAGGAAGTGAACAGACAAGCCACAAACTGGGAGAACATATTTGCAAAATATATATTTGACAAAAGACTGATATCCAGAATATATTTTTAAAAACCCTCAATAGTAAGTAGTCAACTCAATAATAAGAAAAAATAATCTAATGAAACAAGGCGCAAATGATTTGAAAATAAGATATATGAATGTTGTGTAAATACAAGAAAAGATACTCGCTATTTATCTTCAAGGAAATACAAATTAAAACCACAGTGTGTCACCACTGCATATCCATTAGACATTAGAAAGGCCAAAATTAAGAAGACTGAAATACTCGCTGTTGACAAGGACATGGATGGTCAGAACTCTCATAAGTTGCTAGTGGGACCATAAAACACTACAACTGCTTTGGAAAATAATTTGGCAGTTTCTTTCTTTCTTTTTTTTTTTTTTTGAGGCGGAGTCTCGCTCTGTCACCCAGGCTGGAGTGCAGTGACGCGATCTCTGCTCTCTGCAAGCTCCGCCTCCTGGGTTCACGCCATTCTCCTGCCTCAGCCTCCCGAGTAGCTGGGACTACAGGGGCTTGCCACCATGCCCGGCTAATTTTTTTTGTAATGTTTTTTAGTAGAAACGGGGTTTCACCGTGTTAGCCAAGATGGTCTCCATCTCTTGACCTCGTGATGCGCCCGCCTCGGCCTCCTAAAGTGCTGGGATTATGGGCGTGAGCCACCGCGCCCGGCCGCAGTTTCTACAAAGTTAAACACATACTTACTATATAACCCACAAATCTCATTTGTAGGTATTTATCCTAAATAAATTAAACCCTACATTTGCTTATATTAGTACATGAATGCTTACAGCAGCTTTATTCATAGTAGTCAAAGATGCAAACAACCCAAGAGTCCATCAACAGATGAACTGATAAACAAATAACAGTAGTATATTACTCAACTGTTAAAAGAAACTACTAACACCTGCAACAACATCAGTGATCTCAAAAAAAGTTTACTGAGCAAAAGAAGCTAGACGGAAAGCAAAAGAAGCTAGATGGAAAGAGTACTGTTTGAATCTATTTATATGAAATTATAGGAAGGAAAATCTATCTAATCTATAATTAAGCAGTTTAGTGGTTGCCTAAAACTAAGGGTTATGGGTCAGGGAGCACGGACTGCAAAAGGGCTCAAGGGAACATTTTAAGGTGATGAAAATGTGCTATTTCTTGATTATGCTATGCATGGTTGTAGTCACTTGTTAAAATTCATTGAATCATAACTTAAATTGGATGCATTTTATTGTATGTCAGTTATACCTCAGTTAAAAAAATTTTTTAAAGTTGCACACAGTGGTTAAGGGTACATACTCTGAGTGTGTCAGCCTGGGTTGGAAACCCAGCTCCAACTGTTATTAGCTGTGTGACCTTGAGCAAGTGACTTAACCTCCCTTTGCCTCAGTTTCATCACTTGCAGCATCAGGATAATAATAATTGTACCTGCCTCATAGGGTTGTTGTAAAGATTAAATGAATTAATATAACTAAAGTGCTTAGATAGTATTAATATTATTACTGGTGTTTTAGTTGGTCGACTGGCCTCCAGAGGCACCAATTTCTGAAAATGGGCCACTCTCTCCATTGTTTATTCTTTTCATCTCACATTGTTCTCATTGCTTATCTCTAGTTTCTAACAGAGGGTTACACCGGTGGTAGATACTTGATAACTATTTGTTTAATGGATGAACTATTTCTTAATGAATAAACATTTATTCAACATATTGCATGAAAAGTGCACCTGATGATAGAGTTTCTGTTTGGGGTGATGGAAAAGTTTTGGAAATAGTGGCGATGATTGCATAACATTGTGAATGTTGCTAATGCTACTGAATTGTATACTTAAAGTGATTAAAATGGCACATTTTGTTATAGATATTTTACCATAATGAAATAAAAAGTTTATATATACCTAATGGAAAAAAAACCCTACAGCTTTTTGTTCCAGCTGTGCAGAGGCTTTATAACCTCAGAAGAGTCAATATACTTGTTTCATCTTGTCTATGGCTAAAACATGCAGGAAAATGACATTCATTTGTAAAGTTCTTTAAAGTCTTAAGGTGGTAGATGTTTGTGAGCATCTCGACAGGAAAAAGAAGTGAAATTTGGATCTATTGTGAGACACTTTAAGTACCAAAAATGCTTGATCTATCAAGCGTTTGTCTAGTAAGATAAAATTGCCACCAACTCCACTACAGCTTGCTTCCCACACAAAAGCTATAAAAATATAGAAGATTCTGCACCTGTTAGCAAAATTATGAATTGAAATATCTTGAGTTCCGGTGTTAAGTTGCTCAATAACTATATGATTAACAACCTTTATCTTCAGAACTTATGTAACATGATTTACCTGAATATCTTTTTTTTTTTTACTTTCTTTTTTTTATTATTATTATTATACTTTTAAGTTTTAGGGTACATGTGCACATTGTGCAGGTTAGTTACATATGTATACATGTGCCATGCTGGTGCGCTGCACCCACTAACTCGTCATCTAGCATTAGGTATATCTCCCAATGCTATCCCTCCCCCCTCCCCCCACCCCACAACAGTCCCCAGAGTGTGATCTCCTGTGTCCATGTTCCCCTTCCTGTGTCCATGTGATCTCATTGTTCAATTCCCACCTATGAGTGAGAATATGCGGTGTTTGGTTTTTTGTTCTTGCAATAGTTTACTGAGAATGATGATTTCCAATTTCATCCATGTCCCTACAAAGGACATGAACTCATCATTTTTTATGGCTGCATAGTACTCCATGGTGTATATGTGCCACATTTTCTTAATCCAGCCTATCTGAATATCTTAAATACCTCTATAGAAACACTGATTTTGCTAATAATGGTCAGTTTTTAGGAAATGTTCTCAAAGAGGCAGCTTGAAAAATATCATTAGTTTGATTATTTCAGACCCGTCTAAAGCACATGGATGAATGTTCATCTTATGTATATAAAATATTTACATATTCTTCCTTTCCTTGACAAAAATTACTTCTTGAGAACCCATGCTGCCTGAAATGATTAAAATTACATGTACATGTTCAAAGGAAGAACAAAGAGCTTAAGTAGCTAAATTAGTTTGGACTAGTGTGTAGTGTTACTTCCTACCATTAAGGCAGGATAAAAAGAAATACAATAGTTTCACTAAAAACGAAGGTTTTGTTCATTTTTTTCTCTTCATTTCTCTGTTTACTGCTGCATGACAAGTAGAGAAAAGACGAAGCATGTTAGAATCCATGGCAGAGTCTGCTATGTATCTTGGCTCTGGTAGACTATCAAAACCTCAATTAACTCATTTTCAAAATACCGCTATGATAGAAGTTTCTCTCCCTCAAGGAACCCGATTCACTTATAGTTACTAATCTGCAAAAAGGCACAGGGAGACTTTCATGAAGAAAAAAGATACATATGGTAAACAAACCTATGTATTATTTTCTTTACAAAATACACAAGCTAAAGCTTTGAATGAAACACCAGGTGGGGGTTGGCAAGATATTTTAAATATTTCCAAAAGCTCAGTAAAAATGTTATTGACATTAAAACAAAAGTTCCTGATCTTGCTTTTGGCTTGCATTGCTATGTTGACTAAATGCCCTAATTAGGGGTTATATATGTCTAATTGGGGATTACATATGATTTAAAGTGAAAAATAATTATCACATGGTAAATGTAGTTTGTTTAGTAGGCAGATGGTTTCAAAAATATGAGGTCCTTGTGGGAAAAGCATAATGAACAAATCCTTACTGATGAAAATGTTGGAAACCATGAGCCTGTACTAATCATTTGGCAATTAATTGTCTTCTGTACTTCGGCTGCCAGTATTTATTATTTATATCTTAACTTCTGCTGAAAGCATTTACATAGTCTCACACTACATACTGTTCTGTCAATATTTTGATTATTTTTTAATCAGCCCTATGAAATCATAGATCTTTAAGGAAAAGGAGATATAGATATCTATAAGAACATTCTGTTTTTCTAACAGGCAGTTTCTGGCACTTAGTGAGTGGTTTCCCTTTGTCCTCCTCGCTGACCAACGGGTTGTTGGTAGAACTTTTCCAGTCAGATCCGTTCATTGCACTCATTCAACAAATACTTACTGAGAGCCTACTATGTATCAATTGTTGTACCAAATGTTAAGTGTAGTTAGGCAAAGGAGATATATATATATATATGGAGTAGGCAGAGAGTGTTCAAGGAAAAGGGAACAATTTATGCAAAGCCTTGAAGCAGGAAAAAGCTGGGCTAGCCTCAGGAACTGAAAGGACAGCAGGTTTAAGCTCTGTGGGCAAAGAAGAGAACGGAATGAGATGAGCTTGGAGAGACTAGCAAAAGCCAAATCATGCATGGCCTTGTGGGCCACAGTAAGTTCTTAAAAGTTTACTCTCCAGCTGTTCTCAGTGAAGATATTGGGGCAGAGTTGGACTGAAGATGTCAGGAAGTATATCAGAGAAATCAGTTTGGAGGCCATTTCCAGAGTCCAGGTGTTGGCTTATATCAAAGTGGTGAAAGGATAGTAGGAACCAGAGAACTTACAGATGAATTAGATGTGGGAGATGAGGGAAAGGGAAAGATTTCTGATCTGTATGAAATGGAGTGCCGTTTACTGAGCTGGAAAGACTTGGGATTGACAGAGCTGGGAGGCTTTCAAGGGAATCTAGAGTTTGATGGAGAGTATGTTATGTTTGAGATGCCTGAGAGACATCGAGAGAGAGAGAGAAATAGAAAGAGAAAGTTTGAGTTACTAATTACATTTTCAGGTCTGGAGCCTATTAGAAATATAGTTTATCAGCATATATTGATAGTATTTAAAGAAATGTCAGAAGAACTCTATATTTTAGAAGTTGAAGAGAAGAAGACTATATAGAAATAGCCAAAGTAGATGGGAAACTAGATGGGTAATGTACCAGAGGTCAAGAGAGGAGAAAGGTCAGCTGAGAAGTATGCAGCTTGAATGCTGTTGAACAATGAGCATGAGGACAAGCAAAGAGACTATTCAGTTGCATGCTACTAGGGTCACTGGAAGCTTTAACCAGGCAGCTTCAGAAATATCTAGGATGCTGAAGACGGATCAGAGAACATGGGAGAAGTATAGCATTTTGAGACAGCACAAGCAGACAACTGTCTTTGGGAGTTCAGGAGAGTACATAGAAAGAAAATTCAAGAGGAGGAGAGAGATTTGGGGGAGGGAGTTGGAGGTGAGATGTGAACTAAGTTTTTAGGTATGATGAGCTTCATTCAGGTAGCTGCAGAGCATCCAAGTGAAAATATCTTACAGAAGGCTGGATTATGACTTGAGAGAGAGCTTGGAAAGCATGCATGTGTAGCCAAAGCTGGGATAAGAATCTTTAGCCCGGCCGGGCGTGGTGGCTCACGCCTGTAATCCCAGGACTTTGGAAGGCCGAGGTGGGTGGATCACAAGGTCAGAAGATAGAGACCTTCCTGGCCAACATGGAGAAACCCCATCTCTACTAAAAATACAAAAATTAGGTGGACGTGGTGGTGCGCACCTGTACTCCCAGCTACTCAGGAGGCTGAGGCAGGAGAATCACTTGAACCCAGGAGGCAGAGGCTACAGTGAGCCAAGATCGTGCTACTGCATTGCAGTCTGAGTGACAGAGTGAGACTCTGTCTCAAGAAAAAAGAAAAAAAAAATAGAATGTTTAGCCCAGATCCGCTTTTGACATTACCCTGTCTGCTCCTATAGTCCACGCTCAAGGTCCTGACATAAAAAGGGAGATTCAACACAAAACCCCTCTTCCAGGCATAAGTCCTGGACTGCTCTGCTCAGCTAGCAACCATTGGCTCTATCTTCTCTCTAGAATCTGTAAGCCACTCAGTCCCTTACCTTGCCCTTTGACTTTTTTTTTCTGCAAGCTAAATTTCTACAAGTAGCATTTCTGGACCACAGTATGTTTTGATCTGATGGGTCACAGGCAGCCGTGCACCCTCTTAGGGACCACTGGACGTTGAAATGGGATGTGGTATGTTTCTATGTTCTTGCTCTGAATGGCACCTCACTTCTGCTTGGTTTCTGTAGGCTTTGCTAAATAAATTAGAAATTTAATATTTCCTGGGATCAGTTAGTGTGGTCTGTTGGGCCATCTGTGGCCCAAGACTTTCCTTCAATATTAGGGAGAGGAGAGAAGTTATGAAAGTCAAAGGAGGTGGGCGGACTTTTGAAAGTGGAACCCATTATGTATGACTGCTGAGTTTTCTCAACACTTTTGTGAAAATTGGTTTAATAAAGATTCCTCATGAGAAGTGCTTTCTCATGAAAGTAGCATACAAGTATATTTATAGGCTTATTTTCCTTTTTTCAAAATAACTTTAGCATACACCTACTCAAATAAGCTACCAGTCTCATATGAACTGACTCATTTGTCAATAATAAATGCAGACGCCAGTGTGGGGGCTGACTACTCCATCAAGAACACGTAAAGTATATTGTGTTTTTAGCTTAAGCATGTTGGGAAGCAGTAGACTTTTCTTTTTCTTGTTGTTCTAATGGCATCTGCTGACTCAAACATGGTTTCTCTGTCCTGAGACAGACTAATTCATTGCAAAGGGGACAAAAACACAACATGGGCAGAATGTAGGAGAGATGATTTATGGCACACCAAGAAAGGAATATCTCAACTTTATTGTATTAGTTTCCCAGGGCTGCTGTAACGAAGTATCACAACCTGGGTGACTTAAAACAACACAAATGTACTGTCTCAGTGTTGTGGAAGACAGAAGTCAACAATAAGGTGTCAGCAGGGCCGTGATTCTTCTTAAACCTATGGAGGAATCCTTCTTTCTCCCTTCATAGCTTCTGGTGGTTTTGGCCTTCCTCGGTTTACAACTGCATAACTTTAATCTCTGCCTTCATTATCACATGGCATTCTCACTGTCTGTCTCTGTGTCTGCATGTGGCCATCTTCTTATAAGGATGCCAATTATATTGTGTTAGGGACCCATCTTAACTGATTACATATATTTCCAAATTATCATGACTCTATTTCCAAATAAGATCATATTCTGAGGTACTAAAGGTTAGGACTTCAATAGATCTTTTTCAGGGGAGATACAGTTCAATCCACAACACTCATATTCACAAAAAGAAAAAAAATGAAAAAGAATAGTTATGGATAATGGGTTGAGAGGCTAGTTGACCCTATTACTGTTCTCAAACTACTACTTCTTTACCCTCATGTAACAAAAAGAAAAAAATTGCTTCCTGGGTATTCCTCCTATTTGGCTAAATTGCCCTCTCTTCCTTTCTTCAGGTAGATATGGTTATGTACCTATTTATCACTTACTACTCACCACTAAATATTGGGTAGAGGTTCTCAAATTTTGTTGTGTATTTCATACTACCTGAGAACTTGTTGAAAACATACAGAAGCCCAGGCCGTATCCTACTTCAATAAGCCTGGGCCCCTCTATCTTCTAATGGCTCTCTAGGTGGATTCTAATGCGCTCTAAAGTTTAAGAACCACTGGCCTTGGGCTTGCAGTCTTTCAACCCCAACCTTTGCCAGCATCATGGAAGAATTCATTATCTACAAAGATGACTCAGCCATCACCAAGTCTTCTCATACCTTGCCTTCTTCACCCTCAATGACCTTCTAGTCCACTCCATCAGAGCCAGCTACTTCCACAGCCACACTCTGGACCTTGTTATCATTATTTTACTAAACTGATGTGATCAGTATTATAGTGAATGAACTGAATTTTATACAGCAGAATGATAATACAAGTTTTTTTTTTTTCTCTAAATCACTCTATTAGTCCGTTCTTGCACTGCTATAAAGAAATACCAGGGACTGGGTAATTTATGAAGCAAAGAGGTTTGATTGGCTTATGGTTCTGCAGGCTGTACAGGCAGCATAGCAGCTTCTGCTTCTGGAGAGGCCTCAGGAAGCTTTCAATCATGGAGGAAGGCAAAGGGAGAGCAGACATCTCACATGGTAGGAACAGGAGCAAGAGTGGGGAGGTGCTATGCACTTTCAAACAACCAGATCTGGCAAGAACTCACTCACTATCTTAAGGATAGCATCAAGAGCAGTGGTGCTAAACCATTCATGAGAAACCACCACCATGATCCAATCACCTCCACCAGGCCCCACCACCAACATTGGGGATTGCAATTGAACATGAAATTGGGGCGGGGACACAGATCTAAACCACATCAATCACCCTTTTCCAACTCCTCTATAGGCTAGTTGCTTTTTTGTTTGTTTTCCTTGTCCCTAGTGCAGACTTACTTTCCTGGCTTCTTTCAGGTCATAAAAATTCTCCTGGTAACTCAGCCACAAGAATGGTCTCAGTTCAGTAATTAAAATGTTCAATAAAATTTGAATGACACTCATAAAATTTGAGCCTCCCCACCCCCATCTTGTTGCTGCAGCAGACTGGAAAACCTAGGGGGTGGGGAGAAGGGATGGAAATACAGACGGCTGCTTCTTCCGTCTCCTTGCTCTCTGTCCACCCACACCCACCTTCTTAAACCCCCAATTAACTACCTCTGTGCTTTCAGGGTTGGATCAGGAAAAGGGAGGAGAGGTCATCAAGGTCCCACTTGGTAGGCACAGACACAGTCACCTATGGCAGCCTCTCGGTATGGCAGAATCCTGTTGCTCACTCTTTACTTCACTGGGTATTTTTGTGAATTTCAGGGAGATACTCCCCTTGGAACATCCAACTATGCTCCCATTGTGAAGGCAATGTCTCTCCTCAGGCTGGCCCTCTACAATTCTCTCCTCAGCCCCTGGCTATCTGGTGGCCACTCCCTTCCCTGTGGTCACATACCCCCTCCAGCCAGTTTTGGAATATGAGGTTGCCCCAGGCAAGCTTCTCCACAGGCCCACATCTGGCTCAGGAGAAACAGTCACCCACCCTTGCCTCACTGCTTGTGGATGTGCAGTTTGCTCCCAGTGCCCCTGCCCACTTCTCCCCTTTCCTCCCCACCTTCTCTAACCTGGATGATTTGCACAGAGCTACTCGTACCAGTCCTTAATGCTCTTCAAACTCCAGAGGCACATTTAAACCTCGTCAGGTGGTTTCGATAAAGTATCCTTTTTATTTGAGCTAAGGAGACAGGAATGCCACTATCTTTGCCTGGGAGAGAAGGAAAGAAACACCCAAGGCACTCCAACAATTCTCCAAAGAAAACAGGTCCCCCCTATTTTCCCCCTCATCACTAGCCCTCTTCTACTACTAATTCCCTCCCAGGTTAGATTTCATGGTACATACTTTCAGTAACCTCCTTGCCAATACCATAAATTCTCTTGTCTATCTTTTCCTCACATCCATCTGGAAAAACCTCAATCCTGGATGAACTCAACAGCCCACACTCTCCATGCCTGCACCAAGGCAGCTGAGCCACTGGCAGCTGAAGTAAGAAACACAAAAGGGCAGGCTGAAAGAACTATAATTTTAAGGTCAGTCACTCTGGGCCCTCCACACTGCCAACAATGCTGTTATAGTTATTTGGCCAGCTGGCTCTCTTAGTCTCTGCAAGAGCCATCTCAAGTCTTCCACACTCTCTTCAACCTCTAATCCCCTATTGTGCTGTTCATGCTCAGAAAATGCCTCACCTTTTATTTCTTGGAGACTACAAAATTAAATAACTTCTTCCCCCTAGCAAAGTTACTATCCAACCTATACCTTCACCCATCCTATTCTCTTTCCCTCCTGTTAAAATAGAGAGGGTCTTAGTGCAAGACCAACTCCTCTGTTTCTTATTTGGATCCCATCCCCTCCCACCTTCTTAAGAAGCATACGCCACTATCTCTTCTCCTAGCTTCAACCTCTGTCTTCTGGATTCTTATTAGTATCTAAAGACAGTAAAGTCTCCCCATCTTAACACATCTGTACACTTAGAATTACTTCATATATGAAAGTTATTTAACCATCCATATTACCCTATGAAGTAGATATTCTTTTAGCCCTAATTTTTAAGAGAAACAAGTTCAGAGATATTCCATAACTTGTCTAAGATCACATGGCTGGTAATTAAAATGAGATTCAAACCCAGGCGGTTTGATTCCATAGCCTTTTCTAGTCTCTGGATTCCCTGTTTGTTTTTATTATCTATTCTTTTTTTTTTTTTTTTTTGAGACGGAGTCTCGCTCTGTCGCCCAGGCTGGAGTGCAGTGGCGCGATCTTGGCTCACTGCAAGCTCCGCCTCCCGGGTTCACGCCATTCTCCTGCCTCAGCCTCCTGAGTAGCTGGGACTACAGGCGCCCGCCACCACGCCCGGCTAATTTTTTTTTTTTTTTTTTTTTTTTTGCATTTTTAGTAGAGATGGGGTTTCACCATGTTAGCCAGGATGGTCTCAATTTCGTGACCTCGTGATCCACCCGCCTCGGCCTCCCAAAGTGCTGGGATTACAGGTGTGAGCCAGGGCGCCTGGCTTATCTATTCTTTCTTTAGATTTTCTATTGCGTTGTCTTATCTCCTTATGATCTGCTTCCTTCCCACCCTCCCACCCCTAACTTTTATTAAGATAAACTTGAAAGTGGCAGAAAAGCTGCAAGAATAATACAATGGGCTACCTATATAACCTTTTTCTAGATTCACACACATAACTATGCATATATGCATATACACATACATACACAAAGGCAGTTACCCAATGACATGATTCAAATTTCGGTGACTATGCCTACTAAATGTAATTACACAAAGTACAAACTTCACTGCAAGAACTTCAGTCTGCCAACCATTATGTAATTAACAAATGTGCATCATCATCAATGACAGTGACCAATCATTCACTGCTTTGAAAATCTGTCAGCAATTGATCACTGCACATCTGTTTTTCAGTTCATGCACAGACAGCAAGGCGTGAAATTGTGTTACTTCCTTGTCTCCCAGTGATAAACTCACAAAATATTTTACAAAAATAGATATTAAAGGCCGGGCACGGTGGCTCATGCCTGTACTCCCAGCACTTTGGGAGGCCGAGGCAGGTGGATCACGAGGTCAGGAGTTCAAGACCAGCCTGGCCAACATGGTGAAACCCTGTCTCTACTAAAATTACAAAAATAAAATTAGCTGGGCATGGTGGCTCCTGCCTGTAATCCCAGCTACTCAGGAAGCTGAGGCAGGAGAATTGCTTGAACCGGGACCTGGGAAGCAGAGGTAGCAGTGAGCAAGATTGCACCACTGCACTCCAGCCTGGGCTACAGAGCAAGACTCTGTCTCAAAAAAACAAAACAAAACAAAACAAAACAGATATTAGAAAGAGGAAATTGGCCAAGAAAAATGAAAGTGAAGGAAAAACATGAAAAGTAGTAACACTGGATGTGAAATTCAGATCAAACATAGAGTTACAGAAACGATAGTTGGCTATGGCAATATTGACACTGTGATCATTAGAAAGACTCTAGGTATGCAGTCAGGGGAACTTAGTAAAGGTGGAATTATTGACATTAATGAAGAAAGTGGCTGTGACAAAAAAGGATGAAGATGTCCCAGAGGAAGTGACATTGCCAAAAAACTTCACAAAAAAGTAGGTAGATTGATACAATTAGAAAATCTCTTTAGAAACATTTCACAACACTGAAAATGCAAAGGATAAAATAATGTAAGCTAATCTAAACTTAGAAAGGAATATGATGATTTGTGAAAGTGGAGAAAAGATGCTTCATCCATAAGATAAGTTATATAATCAGAAGAAGCAACACTGTTCAAATTATTCTTGGTAAGCTTTTTATTGTTGATGTTGTTTGTTTGATTGTTTGTTTGTTTTTGAGATGGGGTCTTGCTCTGTCACGCAGGCCGGAATGCAGTGGCATGATCATGGCTCACTGCAACCTCTGCCTCCTGGGTGCAAGCCATACTCCCACCTCAGTTTCCTGAGTAGCTGGGACTACAGGCACACACCACCATGCCTGGCTAATTTTTGTATTATTTTTGGAGACACAGTATTTCATCAGGTTGCCCAGGTTGGTCTCAAACTCCTGAGCTCAAGCAAACTGCCCATCTTGGCCTCCCAAAGTGCTGGGATTACAGGTGTGAGCCAGCATGCCTGGCCTTTGGTAAGTTTTAACAAAGAAATAAAACACTTTAATCCTCAATATTTCTAATGTTTTAAATTACAGTGCACTAAATACAAATTAGTTTTGTGTTTTTTTTTTTTTTTTTTTTACAATTTTCTGCATTTATGACTGACCGTAAGAGTGTTCTTAATGTTTTGGTAAACATTTTTAAAGGTGACAGAACAACTGTGATTTTCCCCATTGATTAAGATCACTTTGTAGTTTCAGCTTGCATGGTCATTTTTATAATCTTGTACTACCATATCTTTTTACAGTCCTGCAAAGTGAAGACTGCATGCATATGTATAGATATAGATATTACAGAGCCATTTGAAAGTCCTCTACATATAAAAGGATGTTTCATTTCCTACACATTTCAACATGTATCTCTTTTAAGAACAATGATATTCTCCTACATGATCACAATATCTCTCTTATCACACTCAAGAAATTTAACATTGATACCACAATATATCTAATATTCAGTACATCTGCAAATTTATTCAATTGCCTAAATAACATCCTTTATAGCATTTTAAAATATCCTGTATCTATATTAGGTTTAGGCATAGCTTTTACTTTCCTTTCATCTAGAATAGTTCCATTGCCTTTTTTTCCCCTCTCATGACATTGATAGTTTTTAAAGAGTTCTGTAGAATGTCTTACTATTTGGATTTGTCTAATGCTTAGGTTTAGATTAAATATTTTGGCAACAACACTACATAGATGATGGTTTGTCCTCCCTTATTCATTAATATCAGAAGGCTCGTAATGTTCATTAGTACCATCAGTATTCATTTTTAAGTTTGATCATTTGGTTAATGTGATATGTGTTGGATTTCTCTATTGTCAGATTATCTCTTTGTGTTATTAATGAGTAATGTATAAGGAGATACTTGGAAACTATGACTATTTTCCAACCTCTCACCTATTGGCATTAGTATACATTGATAATCCTTTCATTGTCAATGAAGAGCCATCCCTGGCTCTTCAGTTTACCTCGTATACCATTATTATTACTTTTGTGATTCAAAATGGTGATTTTCCAATTCTATCAATCTGTCCACATTTATTAGCTAGCATTCTTCTATAAAGAAAAGCTTTCCCTCTTTTTTTGTATCCCCTCCCTCTCCCTTTTTTTTTTGTTTTGTTTTTGAGAAAGAGTCAGGAGTGCAGTGGCTGCGATCTCAGCTCACTGCAACCTCTGCCCCCAGGGTTCAAGCGATTCTCCTGTCTCAGCCTCCCAAGTGGCTGGAATTACAGGTGCACACCACTATGCCTACCTGATTTTTGTGTTTTAATAGAGACAGGGTTTCACCATATTGGCCAGGCTGGTCTCAACTCCCAGCCTCAAGTGATCCACCCACCTTGGCTTCCCAAAGTGCTGGGATTACAGGCATGAGCCACCATGCCAGGCCCCCCAACTTTTTTTGAGTATTTTTATAGACTCATGGATTTTCTTTTTATTCACTATTTTTTAATGAATTACCATCATTATTCTTTTTATCATTCAAATTGCCCTATTTTGGCCTGTAGGAGGACCTTCAATTTGCTTTCTTTGTCCTTTGACTTGTCCCACCAGTTTGTGAATGCTTTCTTGGTTATTTTTTATGAATGCTAGATATTGCATTTGGATCATTGTAAAAATAGTTTTAGACCAAGAAGAATGTTATCTTTCTTCAAGGAATTTTTATAGGTGCTTCTGGTAAGAGATTAAGGCCAGTAGCAATCCTACATCACCTTAATTCAATCCAGTTGGAAGGCCTCAGAGAATATGAAGTGGGTGGTTCAACCCTCCAGGAGGGTTGGCCTATTTCTATGTTACCCTTACTCTCATGTAGTCCTTTGGGTCCCAACCCAAAACCTGACATCACTTCCCTTTACCTTCCTTGAACTTCAGTTTTATCTCCCTATCCTTGTTAGTCTGTTAAAATTTCTATTAAGCTTCTCAGACTCCTCTTCGGAAAAGTGGTTCTAAATGCTCTACTCACCTCTCCGAGTTTCTTTCTCCCAGATATTATCCCAGATGTTGTCATGTTAACTCTCAGAGTAATTTTCAAAATATTTTGTCCAACTTTTGTGGTTTTACTTGGTAAGAGTGTTAGCCGAATTGCCTAATTCATTACTGGAAGTGAAAGTTCCCCTCATTACAGCTTTACTTTTAAAAATTAAAATATAATCATGTCATTTTCCTAATTAAAGCACTTCAATGACATCCATTTTTCTTCAGAATTCTTACTTAGGAGGCCTGAAGGTCTACATTCCCAAGTAATCTCCAGCCACTCTCCTTCTCACTTTCTATTTTGCAGACACAGTGGCTCTCTTTGGCATGCCACAACTTCACAATTCTGGCTTTGCACTTAACATTCTGTCCCCTGACCACCATTAGCTGCTCCCACCCATATCCTTTTGACCTAGTTCATGCTTACTCCATCATCAGAGCCAACCAAATGTTTCTTCACCAGGAAAGACTTCTTCCAAAGCACTTATTAAAGTTTACGGTTGTAAGTTGATTTGAGTGGTTATTTGAGTTAATACGTCTTCTTCCATATGCAACACGAAGGCAGAGATCATGTCCGTTTTTTTCACTACTTGCGTGCCCAGCAACTACTTGTAGCAGACATTCAACAAAATAGAAGAATAAATAAAAATCATGTCAACCAACAAGTTCTTTTCTGGGTCACTTATCTGTGTAACCATACTATTTATTTTCACCAACTCCCTGTACCTAGGGTTCTGTCAATGCAGCTAACATTTCCTGCCTTTCAACTTGAGGTCTGATAAAAAGTTTTGGTTTCCATTTCTCTAATGCTGACATTTATTTCATTTCAATAGAGAGTTATTTTTAACCAAAGTAACATTGTTTTTTGGTGACTTTGCAAAACTTTCAAACCAAGAGGTTATCTTTGTTTCAATGTAAACACACTGATAATTGAAAAAAAGCCATTCAGAGCCTTGATGTCTAATTTAGCTAACTCTTCAGAAAGTGAAAAATAAAAACCAAAGAGTCTCAGGCAGGTGATGAAGTAAAAATAATGCATACACTAAATAATGCTGCAAGTGTTTTATTTGGCTTAGTATAGATTTCCCTGGTACCATAAATTTCCATCTGTTTTGCATTTGAAAATAAATGACAGCTGCTTCTTTAAAGTCTGTAGGCAAGAAGAATAATAGGAATGCTAATTGATACTATAAGTTTTTGTTTTAAGGCCAAATTTAGGCTTACATTACTAGAAGCTTGCATGAGCCTGTATCGATTTTTTATTTTCATATGCTTGGCCTGACTATTTTTTCTTTCTTTAGTCACATAACATACAAATATCAACTGTTTGATTTCTTTAGCCTCAAAGTCATTTCTTAGTCAGCTTCCCAGAATGGGGTCATGAGGTCACAATTGGGTAATGGGAACTTTAAATTCGCTCATGTTTATAGGGATTACAGCTTCCTTCTGCTAGAGAAATGTGATATGAGTGGACACACTACTGGGCAACACTTCACTCCCAGACTTTGTGAAAATAAATCTCCCTCCTCTGCAAATGCAGAATATGGCCCACTGCTCCTCTTTTAAAAAACACACTTTTAAGACCTCCTAATTAACCTACATGTAAAATGGATGAATGAACATGTTTGCTATGTAAGTTTGACAGTGGGGACTTTCTTAGGTATGGTAGCAAGTGGCTCCAGCGTCTCCCCTAAACTTTAGATTTAATTATGCAATATCCTACTAACTTTCTCACTTAAATATCTAATATGTGTCAATCTTAACAAGTCCAAAACTACATTATCGTTTCTCCCTGTTCCCCAAAACATGTTCTTCCTACAATCTTCACCATCTAAGTGAAGGACAGATCCATTCTTCTAGTTGCTCAAGCCAAAAACTGAGGACTTATTTCTGGCTCTTCAGTTTCCCTCATACACCAAATCCACTCAGCTTTACCCTCAGCATGTGTCCAGAATCTAACCACCTCTCTCCATTATCATGATCCAGGCCACCATCATCTCTTGCTTGGTCTATTAACTAATCTTCCTGTGTTCACTCTTTCCATCCTCTCCACACAACACCAGAGTGATCCTTTTAAAAAGTAAATTATATAGATTTCTGTCTCAGGGTAAAATCCAAAGTCCTTACTATGGGCCAAGCCTAAAAGATTTTATGAAATCTGGCCTCTGGTCATCCCTTTGACCTCATCAACAGTACTCTTGTTCATTCCACTCCCATCAGACTGGCTTCTGTGATTTCCCTCTAACATGCCAAGCTTGTCCCTACACATGCTATTCCATCTACCTGGAATGCTCTTTCCCTAATAGCTGTGTGACTTATGCCTTCGTTTTCCTCAGGCTACTGCTTAAATGTTTTCTTTTTGGGGAGGCCTTCTAGTAACAGCACATCATATTTTTTAAAAACACTTCATTTCCTTTTCCACAGCACTCTCTAACACCTTATGTAGAGTGACCACACATCTTGGTTTTTCCATGACAGTCCTGATTTCAGCTGTACTATATTGACATAATTGTGAATAATTATTCTCAAAGTGTCCTTTTTTGATAAAGTATGTGGTTGTCCTACCCTTACCATGTCTTATTTTATTTTTACAGCTTTCATCGCCACCTGATACCACCTGTCTTCCTCTTATTAGAATGTTAAGAGTTGACCATTTATTTTATTCTCTACTGTATTCCTAGCACTTAGAAGTACCTAGAACACAAATGCTCAAGAGTATGTGTTGAATGAATAAGTGAAGTCATTGATTACCTGATGTATGTCCAGTGCTCTACTGGGAACCAAAGAGGAGAAGACAAATACAACACAGTCCCTATTCAATGCATAAGGCCCATGAAATTTAAATATATATATTTATATATAATAAATATATATATTTATTTATATATAATAAATATATATATTTATTTATATAATAAATAACTATATTTATTAGTTATATAAATAAATATATTTATTATACAATATATATTATTTATATATATTTATTTAAAGTGGCTCAAGTGATTCTCATGTGCAGGCCAGTTTAAAAACCCAGGAGCTATCTGCCTAATGGAGGAGTCAGAGATGAAAGGCAGGTGAGCATCAGAATGATCTCTCTTTAGTGAATGGCTAGGATGTCCAGTCTGCCAAAATCACCATATTGAATTTGGACATCAACATGAAAACGTATGCTGTGTACAAGAGACTGCACAGTGAGGCTGCCAAGGGATATTAATGAATTCAGTTCCTAAATTCTATTACTGTGCTGGGGAAAACAAAAACAAAAACCAAAAAAAAAAAAACAAAAACCTTCTTTACTATAAAAACAGAGTGTTGGCTTTTCAGTGCCTGAATAGCAAAAGTGGGAACTCTTCATGGCCCAGAATGTCTTTGACAGTATAAGAAGTGGGGAGAAGAAAGCTTTCCCACAGAGAACTGTGTCTGGGGCTGGATTAAAATGAGCACTCAGTCACAATTTATTTGTTGTAGGAAAGGGATTTGTAACCAAACCCATGCACATAAACTCTAATTATTTCCTCAGGATAAATTCATACAAGTAGAAGTGCTGTTAACTCACATGATCTCTGCACACGATTATCAAGATCTTTTAGTTGGGAATTCACTTGTTTTTTTGAGTAGAGGTTTTAAATTTTTTTTCTATTGGATTTTAGATGTACCCCAAGTAAAAAACAGCTGAGTCTCTTAACATTCTAAAGAATAATACTTCTAGCTACTTTAAGAAATCTGCTGATGGTAATCCTCTTCTCTGACAATATAGTTAGGCTTAATTCATCATCTCTATGCAACTGTTCCTCAGGGACATGGTTCCAGGAACCCCCAAGATACCAAAATCCGTGGATGCTCAAGTCCCCCATAGAAAATGGCATAGTATTTGCATACTATGCACATCCTTCTATCTACTTCAAGTAATCTCTAGGTTACCTATACTACTTAATAAAATGCTATGTAAATAGTTATTATATTGTACTTTTATTTGCATTAATTTTTTATTGTTTTCTTTCCTAAATATTTTTGATCTATGGTTGGACGAATCTGTGGATGTGGAGTGTGCAGATGCTGAGGGCTGACTGTATTTGGCCTTGCATGTAAATCTCTATTATGGCACTTACCATGCTAGTGTGTTTGTTTTCCTACTTGGCCACACCCGTAAGCCACCTCCTCCCCACCCCCAAGTGTTTTAAAAGACTATGAGCTCTTAAAGCAGTAGTGCCTAGAGAATTTCTGCAAAGTGCAGATTCTCCTGACCTGTTCTCTGAGATTCAGGAGGACTACGGTGGGACTGGGGCATCTGCAGCAGGCTTTCCCAAGTGATTCTGGGTGGTCAGTACACAGACTTCCCTACAAGAAACTAACAAGTGGAGACTGTCTTAGTCACCATTGCATAACTACCGCTAGATAAATGTGTGTTGAATCAATTGATTGAATGATCAGGAAAACATCTGGGGATTTCTCTGAGGAAATCATCACATACAGACCTAAAGCCAGTTAGATCAGACAGTACTTTCAGTATGTGCTGTAAGAATTACTCAACAGGTCCAAAACTGAAGGGGATTCAAGAGAATACTTGACTGTTAGGGATCTTGAGAAAACAAAACAGTCAAGCAGATGATTAGGCAATTTACAAATGCAAATCTTAGATAATCAGAATAGTTTGTGATCTTGCTTAAGCATTTTAGAACTTGTCCTATTCACACTTTTATCTGTTTCATTTTCTACTAGGCCTTTTAACCCTCACCTTTCCTAAACAGAAGCACTCTGGTGCCTTGTCAGAGGCAGAGAAAAAAGTGAGTTTCAAGAGGGAGGAAACTATAACTGAGAGATATTTTTAAAACTTGGAAATGGTCTGCAAGCTGCATGTTCCATCACCTTATGAAAATATGAATTTTAAGTTTACATTTATCAAAGCATGTTCATGACAGGCTCTAAACCAACCTACCTTTGAGGTTACCTTTAATTCATTAATTCACGTTTGTTAACTTCCCTACCTTGTTGCTTGACATATTCCCTAGGAGCATTTTCTAATCTTCTCTCGCCAACATCATATTTGAAGTAAATAAATTACACCCAAATCTTATCTTGTTCTAGAATCCCACGAGTGCAGAACTCCTTCTCAGGGAAATAGGAAATCTTCCTTTGGGTAAGTTCCAGGAGTTGGTTCATTATAACAACATCAAGACAGTATTTTTAATAATAAATTTTATAGGTTTAAAAACAGCAGTACTTCAGTTGCCTAGAGAATAATAGTTTCATTTTATTTATTTATTTATTTATTTATTTACTTATTTATTTAGACAGGGTCTTGCTCTGCTGCCCAGGCTGGATTGCAGTAATGAGACTGCTTATTTATTTATTTATTTATTGAGGCAAGGTCTTGCTCTGTTGCCCAGGCTAGATTGCAGTAATGTGGCCATGGCTCACCGCCACCTCCTTGGCTCATGTGATCCTCCTGCCTCAATTGCCTAGTAGCTGGGACTGTAGGTGCATGCCACCCTGCCTGGCAAATTTCTTTTTAAAAATTTTTGGTAGCCAGGCGCGGTGGCTCACGTCTGTAATCCCAGCACCCTGGGAGGCTGAGGTGGGCGGATCACGGGGTCAGGAGATCAAGACCATCCTGGCTAACACGGTGAAACCCCATCTCTACTAAAAAATACAAAAAATTCACTGGGTGTGGTGGCAGGCACCTGTAGTCCCAGATACTCAGGAGGCTGAGGCAGGAGAATGGCGTGACCCCGGGAGGCAGAGCTTGCAGTGAGCAGAGATCATGCCACTGCACTCCAGCCTGGGCAACAGAGCAAGACTCCGTCCCTGCAAAAAAAAAAAATTTGGTACAGATGGGGTCCCACTGTTTTCCAGGCTGGTCATAAACTCCTAGCCTCAAGCAATCCTCCTTCCTTGGCCTCCCAAAGCACTGGGATTATAGGTGTGAGCCACTGCATCCAGCCTCTTTCACTTTAGATATATGAGATTCATGCACATACGCAATTTTGAGTTAAAGAATAAATTACTCTTACATATACACTCATAGAAAATGTTATAGCTTGGACTTAGCTCTCTTAGATAAGGAGTTGTCAGTCTGCCATTTATGCAAGTTGGCTGTATTTCCCATATACAGCATGGGGAATACTGTCTTTTAGTACAGCAAAGCTACTAAAGCCTTTGTTTTCAAATCTCAGGTTTTTCATTCTGCTCTGAGTCATGTTATTCACAGTTTCCTTATGTGGTAACCAAAAATGATTATCTTTCCACAAGAAGGATGTTAGGAAATTAACTAACAATTATGAAAACAGAAAGCAATAGAATATTGGTATTTACATTTGATAGCACTTACTGTTAATGAAAATGAAAACCGGAGGCCTTGGGTCACTTGAAATTCAAGTAAGAAGGAATGGCTTTTATATTAATAAACTGTTCATTGTAAGTACTCTACTGATAACTGATCAGTCATGCTAAAGGGAAATCCAGCAGATAAGAATGACAGAAATTATCAATAAAAGGAATTGGAAATTAAAATATTTCCATTCTATAAGCATATTTAAAGATAATTTGGCCAGGCACAGTGGCTCATGCCTGTAGTCTAGCACTTTGGGAGGTCTAGGCAGGTGGATTGCTTGAAGCCAGGAGTTTGAGACCAGCCTGGCCAACATGGTGAAACCCTGTCTCTATTAAAAATACAAAAATCAGCTGAGCGCAGTGGCCCACACATGTAATCCAAGCTACTCAGGTGGCTGACGCAGGAGAATCACTTGAACCTGGAAGCAGAAGTTGCAGTCAAGATTACGCCACTGCACTCCAGCCTAGGGGACAGAGTGAGATCCTGTCTCAAAAAAAAGAAATTAAAAAAATAAAGATAATTAAATAGCTTATTAAATAGCTTAGAGTCACATATAAAAAGTATACACACACATACGCCATATATACATATATATTGCATGTACATGTGTCTTTTGTAGTTTTGAAGAGTGCTCAGGGAGGAGCCACATCTTATTCATCTATGTGTACTTATAATATTTAGTCCAGTTACTAGAATGTAGTAGATACGCAGTGAATAAGTTATGAAAAAAAGTGAACATGTGCAATTAGAATGAACTAAATAAGCAAAAAATACTATAATTACTTGGAATATTGAAGAGCTATTTGTTTAAAAGACAATATTAACATGGAAAGCTGTTTATGATATAATGTTAGGTAAAATAATATAGAAAAATACCTTGAATAAATAAGACAGATTATAACTATATCAAAGTGTTAAAATGAGATTTAGACAGGGTCCTGTTCTGTTGCCCAGGCTGGAGTGCAATAGTGTGACCATAGCTCACCGCAGCCTTGACCTCTTGGGCTCAAGCAATCCTCCTGCCTCAGCTTCCGAGTAGCAGGGACTAGAGATGCATGCCACCGTGCCCAGCTAATTAAAATTTTTTTTCCGTAGAGATAGGGGTCTCACCATGCTGGCCAGGCTGCTCTTAAACTCCTGCTCTCAACTGATCCTCCTGCCTTAGCCTCCCGAAGTGCTGGGATTACAGGCATGAGCCACTGCGTGGCCAAAATGAGACTTTAAAATGTTCAACTATGGGCATCGTTATTTCTTCTACTTCCTGTTTTTAATTAACATGTTTCTTAATCTTACAATGATTTGGTATATTTACAGAATTATCAGGAAATGTTATAGGAGTTGTATTGCTTTGTGACAGCTCTTGTATTTCTGACATACCAACTCACATTACTATCTAACTGGTAGAGCCTAGAAGACTAGTTAGGAGACATGATAGTTTATTAGCTAAGAATGTGTTCATATATACATAACAGATAACAGTTTAATAAAATTGGGATTTACTTTCTAAACATATTAAGTCTAGAGGCAGCCAGTCTAGGATGGCTGCAGCAGTTTCAAGATGTCATGAGTAACCCAGGTTCCATCTTTCTGCCCCAGCATCCTTAGCTTGTTGCTTCCATCTTTGTATTTTCCACATCATATTCACCTTCATTTTTGTCATGAAACTCCATCTCCATCCTGTTATTACTCTAGAAGAAAGAAAAAAAGGAAGAAATTCAAGGGGTGACTCTATTAGGAAAGGAAACGCTTTTCCAGAAATCTCAAGCATGTGTCTAGAAGTGTATCCCATGGCCATCCATAACCCCATGGGCTCTAGGGAAATGAATTTTTCAGCTAGGCACACTGTCATCCCTCCTTCAAAAAAAGATGGGCCACGTCCGAGGTAGAGATTGTAGAGGATACCTTTTCTGGAGCAGTAGAACTTCAACAGTCTGAGGGGCCTAAATCCAAGATTTTGAGTCCAGAATTTGGTGCCACTTTTCCCTTCGAGGCAATTAACATTCAGAAAGCAGTAATGGAGAGAGGCTGAGAAACTAGCCAGAGTTTTCAACTGCCTCAAGGGGAGTGGGTGTGGGATTGGGTGGGTAAAAATATTGAGTTCAGGACCTAAGGAGGAAAGATTTTAAGTTGGAACTGGGCTATACCCTGGAAGTAACTTTTAATTATTCTCTTGATTGGATTAAGGTGGTCTGTCCCTAGTCTAAATGACTACCAATATGTCACACCTCCCAATATTCACAATCTTGTGTAGTTCCTCCCCACACTGACGCTGAGCTTGGCCATGAGACTTGCTTTGGCCAGTGACACATTAGTAAGCATGATAAAAGTAAAGGCTTGCACATTGAGGCTTGTCTTTTTGGAATGTCCCCTCTTGCAATCCTAAGATTATGATGCTGTGAGGAAGCCTAAATTAGCCATATGGAGAAGCCATGTAGAGAAAAACCAAGGTATGTAGCTAACAGCCTTCTTTCTGTTCCAGCATCCTTAGCTCGTGGCTTCCATGTCCATATTTTCCACATCATGTTCACTTCATTTTTGTCATGAAACTCCATCTCCATCCTTAAGTCCCAAGACTTATGACCCTAGTTAAGCCATTCCAGCCAGGCCCCAGTATGCCCACGCTAATTGAAGCCCCAGACATCATGGAGCAGAAATGAGCCACCTGTACTATGCCCTGACTGAATTCCTGTGCCAGAGAATTCAGAATCATGAGTAAATAAAAGAGCCATTGTTTTAAGTCATTATATTTTGGGGGTGGTTTGAACACAGCAATAAATAACTGAAATACTACTAAAAGCATAAAGAATGTATAACAACCTAATTGTTACAAGGGAGTGGAATTAATAATCTACAAGAAGGCACAAAAGGACAGAAAAGAAACAGAACAAATGAGAAAAATAGAAAGCCAACAGTAATATGGTAAACTCAAATATTAGCTTCTAGGCAATTCTATGTATGAGTAGACACTGACCAAGATCTTGTCTCAATAAGATTTTAAATGTAAAGATTTTCATCTTTTACCTATTGTCCTCTGAATTCCGCCCATATCATTCTCACCTTAGTTTAATGGCCCTGCCTTGATGCAATTTGAAATAAGCTGCTAAGGAGATAACACCCTTAATCTATTCATTGCTGGTGCGCTTACCCAGTCTGGTTTAGAACCGTTTAACAAAGGCTTAGAATCATAATGTCTATGATTATTACCTCTTAGCTCCTAGTTTTACTGACTTCCATGTCTGGAATTACCAGCACTTCTTTTTCGTACATATGGATTATATGAACTAAATGTATTGTTTCTTCCCTCACTACTGAAAATCTATTCAATATATGGAGTTACAATTCAAAGTATTTTACAACCCAGAAAATATGGCCATTCCGTATGTGGTGTGTATTTCAGAGGTGCTCTGCAAGCTCCATGAGGACAGGCGTGAAGTTCAGGCTACATGCCTGGTACGTAATAGACGCTCTGACAGACATTTGCTGAATGAATAAGTTAGTCACTACGGCGTTTGTGGGCTTTAAAACACAAGTAAATGCGCTTCTATCGCCAAAACCTCACAGCTTCCCTTCTGCAAGGTGGCGTACAAGGCCCACGAAATAGTCGGCCGCCGCAGGTGCGCAGCCTGTCCAGCCTGTCCGGCTCGGGGCAGGCGACCTCGTCTGGTGGCAGTGGGGGAGGCAGCCGTTTGCTTCCTCACAGGGTGTGCCGGAATCAGAGGCTGGAGGCGTCTGGGGAGTAGGCAAATAAACAAAGCCAACCGCACCGAAACGGGTCGTTCCGTTTCACATCCTCCCTCGGGTGTCTGGGTCTTCTCGGAACAAAGTGACCCTCCATCTGTCCGCAGGCAGGTGGAGCCCGTCCCACGCGGCACGCGCCTTCCTTCCTCACAGCCGCGTGTAGACGCGGACCCTCAGGGACACTGCGGACGCGAGAAAGGACACGCCCCCTCGCGGGAGCATAAGTCCACCGCACAGAACTCGCGCGCCTCCCCTCGAACGAACGCGCACGCGCGCGCAGGGGGCGGGTCTTCTTCCCGACACCCACTGAGCGCCCGGCCTCCTCACCCCACCCCACCGAACTCCGGCCGCCCAGGCTCCGCCTCCGCGACGGGCCGTCGGGAGGAGGCGACCGGAAGCCACTTAAAGCAGAGATCGAGGTGACAGGCGAGCTGGCTGGACTCGGAGCGCGGTCGAGGCTTTCTGCGTTCGCGGCGGCGGAATGGCCCGTGCGCGGCTCGCCGCGTCGCGGCTCTGTGGTCCCTAGACGTCGGCTCCCGCCCTCGGCGCTGATCTCCGGCGCGGGCACTGCTTTCCACTCGGCTCCTGTCGTCCGTTCTCTCAGGCTCCCGTTCAGGTAAAGGGCTCCGGGAGGGCACTGAGGGGCTGAAGAACCCTAGCGGGGAGTGCGAGCGCCGGCCTCGCGGCTCCGGCCCCGGCCCCGGCCCCGCGCCGGCAGTGTGCGGGGCTCTCGCGGATCGGGGTGATTGATTTTGAGACTGCCCTTTGTACCGAATTCACTCGGGTCCCGTCAGCATGAAGATGGAATTGGTTTACACTTCTTAGGCACTTAGAGCCTGTGGCAGGTGTATACATCAGACCGAGGCGCCGAAGGATTTAGTTGGGGTCGCAGGCGCCTGCCCCTTCCCCGTTCGTCAGGGTGGGGGCGCGTCTATGCGGCCTCCCCCGCGGGCCGACCCCGGGTGCTCTGAGGCGCCTAGGAGCCCTTCCCAGACCCCGGGGGGGAGGGCACGGCAGCTACGGGAGCCTTCCGGCTACCCCGCGTTTCGGGCTGCAGCCCAGAAGTTTGGAAGATGTTTTCACATTAACTTTGAGAGCGCACAAGTCTTCGTCTTCCTCCCCGCCGCCGCGGGAAGCGCTCGCCGCCTTTCCCCCGCGCTTCGCGGCTCAGTTCTGCGAGCCCCCAAGACCCGTTGGACGCTCCTCGGGAGGTGAGCTGAGGGGGTAAAGAAGAATTAGAGAGAGAAGGCGCCGCGAGTAGTCTCTGGGATGCAGGGAGGCCGGGGCGGGTCGTTGGTCCGAAGGAGGCTGGACAGGAGTTGGGGGGCGCCCAGGCGCCTGCTGAGGGGAAGGCGGGGGCGGGGACGCCCGGGAACACCCGGAATTGCAGAGCCGGGCGGCGCCTCAGCTGCACTGCGCGGAGTTGGCGCGGCCCGGGACCAGGAGCTGAGCAAACCGCCGCGGCCAACAGGAGGCGTCACTCGGACCCGGGCTCGGCGCCGGGGTGTCGCGCGGCGGCGGGCGGGCAGGCTTTGGAGCGGCAGTTTTTTCGGAAAGTGCTTTTGGCCGGGAGTGCCGCAGAACCCCAGCGTCACGAGGTGAGGGGTGTCGCGGTGTGTCGCCTGCCGCTGGAGACCGGAGGATGTGTTCTTCTCATCTTTATTTTTCTGTTATGAAAACTAATTGAGGAGCTAGGTTCTAGTGGCTTTCCCCCTCCAGCCACTTCTCCAGTTCTCTGCTTCTTCCTCCCAGTTTTGTTTCCGAGTTTGATGAAAGGGCAATAATAGGAAAAGTTGCGCGCGCGCGCTTGCGTGTGTACGCGCAGACACACATATAAATAAAATCGATTTAGTGTCTATTTTACCTTGATTGGGTTTGATAGGAGTGGTTAGAGAGTGTGCGCGTGGGGAAAGCACAGGCCGGTTTGGTATGGTGGAGAGGGAATACCACAATCTGTGCCAATTGTGCCTTGAGGCAATAACACCAAATGATGAATAATAACGCCTGGCTTGGCTCCTTTCCAGTTGATTTATGTCTCATGTCAGATCCCTCCTTCTTCGTGAAGCTTTCCCTAACAATGCCAGCTTACAGTGAACTCTCCTTTTTCTGCCTTTTCCTTTTGTACTTATCATGTAAATTTAATACTTCGTTATAAACTGCTTTGTATTTTACTTTTCTGAATTTGATGGACTTCTTACACATAGATTTATGACTCTCCAATTAAATTTTTAATATTCACTTTTGGGGACACTCAGTTTTACCTTTTGTTGTTGACCCACAAACAACAAAGAACTAAGCATTTAATATGTGCTTTTCTTAACTAATTCAGCCAACAAAATATATATGGAACACCAGCTGTGTGCATTGTGGTAGCTAGGCACTTTATTGGGCACCTAGGATGCATATTTGATTAAGTCATGGGACCTTGCGTCACAGATCTCTTTCAGTTTATTGGACAAGAGAGAAGAGGATTAATTGCTCATCACCATTCCTTTCTCACCTGGCACAATCTCAGTAAATGTTTTCAAATTTCAGTTTTTTTCAAGGGGTCTGATTCTTGGAAGAAAGGACTTTTTCGTCTCTTTCAGTAGTTGATTAGGAATCTGAAATTTGGTGTGTGTTTTATATTTTTTTTTTATTTTTCTATAGTATGCCTTCATTTGCTCTTTAAAAATGTATGTATGTAACTTTTCTGAAGGCAAGAACTAGGAGGCTTTTTCTGTGTTACCAAGTTGTGCTTGTCTTCTGACACATCGTGCAGTGGTTGTTGCTAATGGGGCTTCTGTTACTAAACACACCCTTGTATTCCATCAGAAGCGGTAATGTTTTTGGGGGTTGTAAAAGTAGACTCTTAACATTCTTGGATAGTATATTAGAGCTTTCTGAATATAGAAATGCTTAACAGACTCCTGGCTTTCTCCCATAGAACATTTCAATTGAGAGCCCCTGTTACTTGTGTATGTTCTTATACCCTTAAATTGACTCACTGTTTTAAGTTTGAAGTTTATCTTTCATTTGATGAACTTTTAAAGAAACTTTTTGTCAACTCATGAGATAGGTGATACATAAACAACTATAAAGAGAACCGCAAAGCTGAGTGGAAATGTGGTTTCCCTGCTGTCATCATCTAGATACAGTTATTTCTACCTCCCATTTCCCACCCCACTCTAACCTTATAGTAGAAATTCTTAACCTAGCAGAATTGCAAACTCTTATGTATTCAGTCCACAAATGCATGCCAATGGCCTGTTGAAAGACTCTTCTACTTTTACCTGCTGTGTGCTTTTGAATAGCCTTGGGTGCTTTGGAGCCTTAATTTCTCGATAAAATTTAAAATTGACTTGTAAAAACTAAATATAGTATAAGAGGAATGGTTTCAGGGAATCAGTCAGGACAAAAACAAAACATTTTAATGAATGAATGAAATCCAGTTGCTGTCAGTTTGTAAATGATCATCTTCCTTCCTTTCCTCGTAGGATTTTTAGACTCTGAGGAGCAGTTGGAGCTAATCCACATTATGGAAATGGAAACCACCGAACCTGAGCCAGACTGTGTAGTGCAGCCTCCCTCTCCTCCTGATGACTTTTCATGCCAAATGAGACTCTCTGAGAAGATCACTCCATTGAAGACTTGTTTTAAGAAAAAGGATCAGAAAAGATTGGGAACTGGAACCCTGAGGTCTTTGAGGCCAATATTAAACACTCTTCTAGAATCTGGCTCACTTGATGGGGTTTTTAGATCTAGGAACCAGAGTACAGATGAGAACAGCTTACATGAACCTATGATGAAGAAAGCCATGGAAATCAATTCATCATGCCCACCAGCAGAAAATAATATGTCTGTTCTGATTCCTGATAGGACAAATGTTGGGGACCAGATACCGGAAGCCCATCCTTCCACTGAAGCTCCAGAACGAGTGGTTCCAATCCAAGATCACAGCTTTCCATCAGAAACCCTCAGTGGGACGGTGGCAGATTCCACACCAGCTCACTTCCAGACTGATCTTTTGCACCCAGTTTCAAGTGATGTTCCTACTAGTCCTGACTGCTTAGACAAAGTCATAGATTATGTTCCAGGCATTTTCCAAGAAAACAGTTTTACAATCCAATACATTCTGGACACCAGTGATAAGCTGAGTACTGAGCTCTTTCAGGACAAAAGTGAAGAGGCTTCCCTTGACCTCGTGTTTGAGCTGGTGAACCAGTTGCAGTACCACACTCACCAAGAGAACGGAATTGAAATTTGCATGGACTTTCTGCAAGGCACTTGTATTTATGGCAGGGATTGTTTGAAGCACCACACTGTCTTGCCATATCATTGGCAGATCAAAAGGACAACTACTCAAAAGTGGCAGAGTGTATTCAATGATTCTCAGGAGCACTTGGAAAGATTTTACTGTAACCCAGAAAATGATAGAATGAGAATGAAGTATGGGTATGTATTTATAACAACTTGTAGAACTGTTGTTAAATGCTATAGAGAAGGTAAAGAAGCTAAAAGCTTAGTAGGGTGGTTTCTTTCAGTAGTAACAGGTTTTCTTTTTTTCCACTATTATTCTTTTGACTGTGCTGTCCTGATTTTTCATGGTGGGTGAATGCAGGCTATTAACTCAACCGGACAATGAAAGTTTTACGATTTGAACAATTCATATGTCAGTTCAACGTGCGTGTGACTGAGAAGTTGCACATACATTAAATATTGTGAATCAAATACTGTTTTAATCACCCAAGGAAAGCTGGCTTTTGAAAGAAAGTCTGGCGAATCTTACTATAACATAAATAATGAATCTCCTAATTTATCTAATTTTAAAGCTCTGCACATTGAGCAGCTGTTATTTTTTAAAGAAAAATAGTATTGTCGAGAGATGTTTGTGACCCTCTTCATTTTGAATGGTATAAACATCTTTTCTGTGAATGATTCAGAAGTTCCTCCCATACTTCTGGATCTTTTATTAGTTTCCTTGGAACTTTTCACCATTAAGTTTATATTATAGATAAAATAAATTTTTCCAGAATTTAGGGTATTTTTTTTTTAACCTGGAAGAGTCCTTTAACAATCAGTGAAGGGATGAATTTATGGTAAGGTATGTTTAATACTCAAACAATTATCCTTGAGTTTTGGTACACAAGATGTGTGTATACACATAACTCAGTTCTTTTAGTATGGATGTCTAAGCAGCATTCACTGGCAGGCAACTGGTATTTCCACATCTGAATTCTTCTTTAAACTTTAAAATGAAGAAAATGATAGTTGCCTCATGTAAAGTTGCTAGTGCAAAAATGGCTATATAATAAGCATTAATGTTTACATCTGTAAGTTATTTCTCCTGTAGCATAGAAGGAGCTAAAGTGTGTGGTGTTAATAGCTATTTGTGTATGACCAAGAGTAAGGATTAAAATTAAAAGGGAGAGAAGAACACTTCTGTCCATGCTCCCTGATTGGGGAGGCCATGAAGGCAACCTAACAGCTTCATACTAATGAATGGCCTGGTATAGTACTGAGATGACCCATATTGGAGGGGAAAATACACTGAATATACCATCCCAGAAGTCCAAGAGAAAACAATTCCTTGAGTCATCTTTGTTCACAGATATGTTGATTTACACTACCTATGTGTCTAGAGAGTCAGCAAATGGTTGCAGTAAACCATTTCCAAGTTGTCTGATTCTGGTAGTCTTCATGTCAACCTTCTGAATTCTGACTGGTGCCCACAGAGCTTGTTCGCATTACAGAAACATGGTTTTTTTTGTTTGTTTGTTTTTTGTTTTTTCATTTATCTCGTTCCCATTCAGTAATGGGTAAATGGTTGTCTTTTAATAATTTTAATATTTCAGTTATATAGTACATAAATCCATGTGTCTTTTTAGCAACTTAATTATCATGAGACTAGAACTTTGCATCTTGTGTTTCAAAAGGGAAGTGCTGAACAAGAAGAGAAACAGTATAAAGCCCAAATTCAAAAGTATTACATAGAAGACCCTATGAGATAAAAGTAAGGTCATATCAAGAGTGTAGTTTTCCTGACTATAAATGTATTATCTTGATAATATATTACACTCAAGATTCCACCTTGCTTCAGTAGTGAAAATCTTATAATACAGCTAAGTACTTTTAACTTATTTTTTTAAGCCGGCATTGGAAGAGAAAAATGTTTTTCCATTTTATCTTAAAAATCTTTTTAATAAGGTATTTTCCAAAATCTCTGTTGCCCATGAGCTAGCAATTCTAATTGCTATGTCAAGGGTAATTAATTTTATATACTCTCAAAGCCACTCTAATCCTTCTATCTCCAGATTGCAAAACTTTGCAGAACAGCGGCTCCCACTTCACCTTCATGAAGCAAATTTCCAGTCTGCTGAGTACTTCAGCATCTTGGTACATTAAGTTTCTATCTGTTTGAATTGATCAGGAAGAAACTAGCAGGATTATTGGCCAACACATGACAGTCTGTTACCATGAGAACAAGGCAAGATAATCATTTTGATCCCAGAAAATCCAGGAATTCTTAGGTCAGGAGCATATGGCTGTTTTTTATCCTTTGGTAAGATTGTTTTGCTTAAGAATAGACATAGATATAGGCCCATAAGCCTGCATTGTTGTATTATGAGGTAGTTGCAGTGGGTGCTTGATTTCCAAATCAGTTTTAATGAAGTAAACTAATGTTTATCTGACACTTGGGAGAAGAAAAGTGTGAGTGAAGTATTATAATTACCATTGCTCCTACTACATTGTTAGTGGTAATAAGTGGTCCTGTCCTAGGAAAATAGCAAAAAGTATTAACTGTTAAATTACTAGTAAAGTGAAGTTCTCTGAAGATTACAGGAAGAAATGTTGTAATATAGTAGATAGCTAAGTGTCAAAAATTAGGCTTTTGGGAAGTTGACTTGTGGTCATTGCAACCTGGTTTTCCTTGTATTCCAAAGCGATGTTGTGTTTCCTGGCAACAAGATGCAGATAACGGCATGTTGAGCCTTGCTGAGAGATTCACAAACAAGCTGGAGCAGCCCAGGTTCACATGGTTACCACATTATTTGGCTAAAGCTATTAATCTCTGTGGTCAGGCCTGTAAAGCTGGTCTATCTGTGCAGATTGCGCATAACCAGGAAGTGTGTGTTCAGCTGTGTATATGTCGAAGTTGGAACCAGCAGTCTTTGGATTCAGAAATAATGAATGGCAGTTGTTTATCCCACTGTTTTCAGTAGTTTATATGGCTTGGTAAATCATTATCATATTCTGTATCCATAACATCTTCATTGTGTGATATACTTGGGGAAAGTTCATAGTTCTGGGTCTCTAGCAGAGATGAAAGTTCATAGTTTCAAACTGTACAGATAAAATCTTTTATTTAGCTTTGCAAATGTATTGGATTTAATACCTAAATCTAAATTATATGTATAGTGTTCATTTTGTTCTCAGGAATGAAATTGGAAAGGAAGTTGAACTAGATAAATTCACAGGACCTTTCCAACTTTTTAGTCAAGATGCTTAGATACTAAAAGCACATTAAAAAAGGATTTCAATAATACATGCTTATTTGTTCCTTGTAATGAAATTATGATGTAATCCCACTTTGCTTTCTCATTTTGCTTTTGTACATCTACAAACGTTCATTGCCAACATCAACTGCATACTAGTGTGTATGTACTTCCCAGATATAGATGCTGAGGCTTCTTTTTTGCACACGAGATGAGCCTTGGAGAATTTCCAAATTCCAAATATACAGTTGAGAAACAACATTGAGTGTTGTGTTTTCGATTAAGAAAACAGAGTCTGGAACAGTGTAGGCACTCATCCTTAGTAGACGATGACATTGGATGGCAGAATTAAGCAGTTTTAAAAGAGCCTTGCACACTGTGGAGTACTGTTGTGGATAATTGAAATTATGGAGGTTGTGCAAATCTCTCTTTAGCAAACAAGATCACCACTAGTTTCATATTACATTCATTTTAAATTGAGCCAGAACAATTTTCTATTTATTTCCACCTGTCAAGAAGGGACACACTGCAAACCTTATTTTGGAGGCTACCTGCAGGTGCACATGTGACCAATGATTATTTCTAATTCTGAATTTATTGAAAGAGAGTGGAGGTGAAGAGGAAGAGGAAAGTTGCAAACCCTGAATCCATTATTAATTTTTTTCAGAGGAC
Source organism: Homo sapiens (assembly GCF_000001405.40). Classification (NCBI taxonomy): domain Eukaryota; kingdom Metazoa; phylum Chordata; class Mammalia; order Primates; family Hominidae; genus Homo; species Homo sapiens. The sequence goes on from NC_000003.12 coordinate 156,682,328, forward strand.
AGGGTTTTTTTCTTTTGGGATTAATGCTCACTGATAAAAGAGGGAGCTTTAGTTGCTTTAAGGCTTAAGGCTAGAGTGTTGTCATAGTTTTAGTTGCTGAGTGATTTTGATTGCTAATTGCCCTTAGAAGTCTATTTTTAAACTCTGTCCAAGGGACAATACCATTAGATGACTTCACAGAAACTCTATATAAAAGAGAAATGTATATTAATGATCATAAAAAGCATATACTGTTACAGTCCCTATATGACTTGCATAGTGAATTAGCTAAACTAGAGCAAGCTCCTGACTGAACTCTACTGGAGTAGTTAAATTAGCCAAGTTAGCTCTGGCGTGCACAGCTGTGATGATGTATGAACTAACTCATTATGTGTTATTGATAACACTGGAGAGAGGAGAACAGCTGAAACTTACTATGCCTTGTGACTTTTTGGTAGTTCTTGAATATACACAGCTGGATGAGTTTAAATTTATTTTAAAAATTTCTGCCTAAGAGAAAGACAGCTCCATAAGCAAGAACTGTGTTTGAAGTGACTTTCAAAATGTGTGCCTTGTGCTTTAGGATAAAGCAATCCAATGAATTATTTTTTGTACTTCTTTATGCTACTATTTACATATGAAATAAAACTAATTGGCTTCTGTCTATACTAACCCAGAGAAGTTACTGGATCTGTGTAGAGCTGTCATGGCAATCAATAGCAATCATTTATTTATTCCCTTTTTGGTTTTTCATCAATAAGCAGATTAGACTTTTTGAAGCAGCTGCCACCTGGCTTCAGGTTGGGGTCATTCTTTTCCTGATGTATTTATGGTAATGAAAATGAACCTTGTCAAAATGATTTATAACTTTTAAATCAGACAGTTGGAGGAAATAGCTTGTAAGGTTATGTGGCATTCCCTAAAAATAATTGCATGATACATTATATATTTTATCATTGAGTTGAATCCAAAGCTCTTACTTTTTATTGTAAGTAAGAAAAAAAAGGAATACAAGTTGAATATCCCTTATCCAAAATTCTTGGAGACCAGAAGTGTTTCAGATTTTGGATTTTGGAATATTTGCATAGTACCCCAGTTAAGCATCTGAAATCCGAAATGCTCCAGTGAGCATTTGGGTATCATCTTGGTGCTCAGAAAGTTTTGGGTTTGAAGCACTTCCGATTTTCAGATTTGGGGTGCTCAATTTATAGTAGTAACTCCATTCAGCATTTAAAATTTCATTCTGCACATAGTGGGCATGCAAAAAAAAAAATGCTGACTTTTGACTGATAACTCTGTTGTGTCCCTGTAAATCTATTTCCTATTATACTAGAATTATCCTATTATACTAGAATTTCTAGATCATAGATTTACAATCTACCATAAAGTAAAGATAAACTTCATAAGTTCTTCTGTGTATTTCTAATCATGGTCAGTGATCCTTAGTTTTATTCTGGGTTTGGGTGCTATTCCTAAAGGATAAAGCAGTATGTAGTCTATGCAAACCTTGACTACTCAAGGAATGCTACAAAAATACAGCCATTTGAGATTATGACTTTTTTCCCATGGTCTCTTTTATTTTTATCTCCTGATTTGAGACCACCAGATTCTGCATCCTTTGTCTGATGGTGATGATTCTGGATTGCATTTAAATTAGGACCTTAAGTCCTCTTAACCTTAGCCAACAACCTTTAATAATTATCAGTCTCCAATTTGTGAGTTGCAATTGTCTTTTTGTGGAAGGAAAACTTAGTACATGTGTATATCATTTTTTGCAAAGGAAAAAACATATTTCAAATTGCAAGATAATTATTTTGGCACAACTTGTATGGCTAGTTCAAATTGGACACTGTAAAAGTTTTGAAAGAAACTCACTTTGTAAAAGTAGGAGAGTTTCTCTTTTATAATAAGATTGGGGTCTTAAGGTAAAGTGAGTTCGAGAGATTTTGTATCTTTGAAAAAGACCACAGTGCTGAAGGTTAAGCCATTTTCCCTTTGATTCTGGGTTTGAAATAGGTGATAGCCTGAGATCTTGATTTTACCGCTACTTTGCAACACCTTAAACAGAAACTGTACAAGGAATAAAATACTTCTGAAGTTCACCATTTCTAGGAGCAAACAAGCCACATTTTAGATGTGAAGGAATTCCTTTTTTTTGAGACCAAGTTTCAGGCTGGAGTGCAGTGGCATAATCTCGGCTCCTGCAACCTCCGCCTCCTGGGTTCAAGCAATTCTCCTGCCTCAGCCTTCCTGAGTAGCTGAGATTACAGGCATGCGCCACCATGCCCAGCTAATTTTGTATTTTAGTAGAGACAGGGTTTCTCTATGTTGGTCAGGCTCGTCTCGAACTCCCGACCTCAGATGATCCACCTGCCTCGGCCTCACAAAGTGCTAGGATTACAGGCGTGAGCCACTGCGCCCAGTGATGTGAAGGAATTTCTTTAACAAAACTAAATAGGGCTTATTTTTATATTTATAGATTGTTTATGACAGTGCTTTCTAGGGACTGAGAATTATACCGTATACAGACTCACCCCAATTTAAAATTTCTTCCTTCAAACGTTAAACCTAATCCACCTCAATCCCTGACACAGTAACTGAAAGCTTCAAATTTTTGAGATTAATTCACTTGTTAATAGTGAATTTGAAATTACAAGTGGTAGGTTCTGAAATACATTTTGAAATTTTTGAAAATTAAGGATTTTATGTACAATAAATTCTGTTTGTAAAGATTTATATTCAGTCTGTGAAGAGGACAGTATTGCAGACTTGAGCTAAATATAATCAATTCTGTGATTAGGAACTCAAATTTTAGAAGTTGATGACGTTAGTAAACTTCTAATTGTCATTTGTGAAACTTCCAATTTTCCTTGCTGACTTAGCTAGTTACTGTTACTAAGGCAAGCATTGAAGAGAGTTAACTAAGCATTCCTATTTGCCGTTTCCACACAACAAAATGTGTCTGTCTCCTGGATCTTTCTCTGCTCTATGCTGTTTACTTACTGGTAACACCCACTTGACAAGTAAAGAACCTTTGCATGGTCATCACAATGAAAGGATAAGTTCTTACAAGAGTGAGAATGCTAGAGCAACTATTCCTTTTCACCTTCTACAGAAACCAGTGACTTTCGAGTATGTGTACCACAAAAAGTTGTGTAAGGAGTGTATTGAGAATCTCCCATGACTAAGTTGTCTGAGGAAGAGTTCAGTAAATTTGTATTCTTCATGCAAATTGAAGTCCTCTGTTTTGGTGCTATTGCCTCTGAGTATAAGGAAGGATTTGTGAGTAATCTTATGTTGAAACATAGTACTTCTGGTAATGATTAGAAAATATGTTTAGACCACACTTACAAGAATTTCTCTTTATTACATTAGCTTTTCTTTTTGAATTAATTGAAGAATTCTTAAATTGTCCCACTTATACGACATAGCCAAAGAGTTTGGATGATCATCTTTGGTCTAAATTTTCACTAGCACTTGAACAGTCAGTGAAGAATGGCAAGGGTGAGGACCAAAGGGTGAACTTTGCTTGCAGTAGTGCATGTGCTTTCAGAATCTTGCATGCACCCTGTGATCTTCACAGTTCCTGCAGCTGATCAAGGTGTAGAGAGGGCAAATGGCACAAAATACTCTAAATAATTTCCTGCTGTGGTTGGTCTTTGGTTTCTGAGTGTCACCTGGCTTAGCTCTTTCATTACCAGGCATTTAGAGAGTAAAAATTAGCACAGGATAAACACTGGGTTTGCCTTCTAAGGTTTAATTACTCATCCTAATAAAAGAAAGACATCCTTGAATCTGTGCAGAGTATGTGAAACAGAGTCAGGGTAAAGTATGTGAAACAGAAGGAACTTTGCTTGCTTGCTTTCTGACATTTGGATTATCCAAATGCTGGCAGACATCAGAAGCATTATGTAAAGTGTTCTACAAATTTGTTACTCAGAAATAATTTCGACTCTCTTAACTAATTGATAAAATTGAATCTATCATAGAAACTTGGCTTTGTAGAATCCAACTCCCTCAGAAAAAGTTACCAATTTAAGACGATGTTTGAAAGGTTTTGTTATAGCTTATAAAACCTAGACAATAAAAAGACTCTCTGTCTTTTCTCTAGGAAGTCTTTTTCTCTAGCAATTTGTTTAAAGAACTATCAGAGTGATGAATTCTCTATATATAGGTTGCTTGTATGCATTCAAATCTCTAGTCTGCTGAAAGCTGTTTACTCTTCTCTGGGTTCTTAGCATCAAATACGTAATAAGTCACCAATGAGTATATTTCTGATTCTTTCATTGATCAGTTAGTTCATCTGGACTAATTGGGGAAAAAGCCAAAGCTAAATAATAGAAAATTCTGAGTAAAAACCTTTTTATGGGTATCATTTGTAATTTAAAAGTCAAAGCAGAAATAAATTAAGCTAATAGTTTATATCTTACTAGGCATTAGAAAATATTTTTATGATAACTATAACTAGTAGTTATGTGTAAATGAGTGCTGAATTGAGGTATTTGAAAGCAACTTATTTTTAAGTAATTTTATCATTTACATATAGTATTATATTTATGTAGAAAAAATTATAAAAACGTTTATTTTATCCCTTTTTAAGGGATGTCAAAGTCTATATTCAAAAAATTGAATTAACCACTATTTGTGCCTTGAATACATGGGAGGCATTTTTTATTGTTTACTTTGAGATAAGATAGAAACCTCTCAGTTTTAAAAATATTTTTCTTAACAGAGGGGATATCTACTCTTTATAAAAATCAGTGATTGCATAATTTAAGGTAGTATAAGGCATGCTACCAATTTATAAAAACTAACCTGTGCCTTCTATCCCAGCTGTTCTTACAGAAATTAAGTTTCACTTTCTCATCAGGCTATGGTTGAGAAGTATGTCTCATTTATAGTGCCTTCTGTGATCTTAGGACATGTGACTAAACTTGAATAAAAGTTAAGGCTGTATGACATTTCTGGTACCTTCATGATGCAAAATTTAATCCCACACTACCATAAATAGATGGCAGTGAGATCTTCTGATCTCATAAGTGTAATTTTTATTTATGAAAGATTTTAGACTTATCCACATTTTATTGGAAAGTGTTTTTGTGTTCTTTGCTTTGATCTGTAGTTGTGTAATAGAAAACAAACAACAAAAAAGCCAGCATAACAATATTTTAGTAGGTTCTTTTCCTTAAGTAGATACTGTAATTTGCTTTTAGTGGTTGCATTGGGGCCGGTGGACTTCATTGTATGGTATTATTTATTAGGGGTTTAGCAAACATCTAGATGTATTCAAATGGCTATGTCTTAGTATCAGTGTGTTTTGAGAATAAACTGTGTTATGTTTGTTTAGCTCCCCACATGCTTTTGGAGAATATACAATTAAAAAGCTTAAAAACAGATAATCTTTTTCATTTAGGAAACTTACCTGCCTCTCTTCATTTCACTGGGTTCACTTCTAGAATGACTTTTAAGACTACAGATGTCTAACGATTTATGAATCAGACATGAGGTTTGGCACACAGATAAATGTGATTTCAGACAGCATCCTTCTCACTAACTTGCTGCCTTCTTGGAATAAGAATTTCCAAGATGTCTCAGGAGGTACCAAGGGAGCAGCAACAAGGCCTAATGATCACTTCTTCAAGAATTTATCCCAAGAAATGCATTGTATCTTAAGTTGGGGAACACTTTTACCTACTCAAAAATCTTTTGAGGTATTCAGATAAATCCATGATCTGAGTTTTATGTTAATAGTTTTACAGTGTCATAGTGTGGTAATTAAGTGTAGAATTTTAACCTCTGAGGCTGGGCGCAGTGGCTCACGCCTGTAATCTTAGCTTTTTGGAAGGCTGAGGCAGAAGAATTGCTTGAGACCAGCCCAGGCAACATGGCGAAACCTTGTCTCTACAGAAAAATACAAAAATTAGCTGAGTGTGGTGGATCATGCCTATAGTCACAGCTACTGGGGATGCTGAGGTGGGAGGGTAGTTTAAGCAAGGGAGTTTGAGGTGGCAGTGAGCCTAGTTGGCACTATTGTACTCCAGCCTGGGTGACAGAAGACCCTATCTCAAAAAAAAAAAAAAAAAAAAAAAAACTGAAAGAAAAATAAATTTAATCTCTGGTGAGTATTAAAAGATGTTGCTTTGGATGTAAGCATTTATGAATAAGTTTTATTGCCGCCCCCCCCCGCAATAAGTAGCCCTGTGCTACTTATTTGAGGCAGTGTTAGCAAAAATCTTAAGTAGCAACAGAATAAACAATAGTTTTGCTTCTAAAGAAGAAAGTTACGAATACATAGTTTTCTGAAGTTTAATAACTACACTGTTTTCACAAAATGTGTTGGTATTGTGTATGCCATGGCTTTGATTCTCATCACCTTGTAACACATTTGAAGGGATATAAGCTGCCAGATATTCCAGCATTGCTAAATGAGTCCTGGAAATATCAAAGCCAGGTATCAAAAGCCAGCTATATTTTGTTCGCCAGTGAAATTTCTTTAGCAGCGGCAAACATATCCCATCTGCTGTGCCTGTCTCAAGCCAGTAGCGGAACCTCAAGTACTCTCCACATTGCATTTAATCTTTATCTTTCTATCATTATGACCCTCCGTGTTGGGAGATATTTTCACTTTACATCATAATAATAAAATAAAAGGACACTACTAATTGTGTATGGTGAGTCTAGCTGATTAGGGTGTGTGTTAATTAGTTTGAGGTCACAGGCTTATCCTTGGAGAAACCAGTTAGCTCTTACAGGCAGGAAGCCAAGGTTCTGAAGTCTAACCGATCTGGTTAAAACTGTACAGAGTAGGATTCAGAAAACTTTGTATTTAATCAACCTATGCCAAAGTCTGAGTTCTATGTTTTATTTCTATCACCTTCCCACTTAAACCTGCTGTACGTCTGGTAATTTGTCTTGTTAATAGCACCATTATCCAACCACCCAGACCAGAAACATGGGACACATCCTAGACTCTTTTCACTCTCTTCTGCCCCACGTGTAATTATCCTTCATGCAGTTAAATTCTAACTCTTAAATACTTCAGCTCATTCCTACATTGCCTCCTTAGTCCTCTTTCATCATATGTCTCTTGTGCAGTTCTAATAACTATACATGGCTGTTCATAGAATAATATTGATAAATATCCTAATATTTAGCAGTTGAATGGTTTTTCTCTACCTGTCCACTGCCAAAAATAAATAAGTAAATCATTCTTCTATACCACTACAACTGGAGTGACCTTTATAAAGGCAAGTCTGGACTTTGTTGTAAATTCACTGGTGTTTCCTACTGCCCATAGAATCAAGACCTAACTTCTTAACACAGTAAACAAAGCTCTTCATTATCTGGCCCAAGCCAACTTATCCAGTCCAGTTTTATCCCTTATCTCTCATAGATACATATACCCTAACCTCCCACATGAACTGGGTGTGCCTCTTGCACACTATTCTTGTGTGCCTTGTTTGGTTAGCTTCTACACATGGAGTCACTCCGCATGTGGTGTCCTGCCTCCCATTGTTTGCCTGGTAGCTGGACCTGGCTCACATTTTATCCACTCTGGAACAACTCCCTTGACCACCTTTCTTGACACCTTTTCCAGCAGAGGTAAGCCATCTGCTTCTGACCACCTTTGTGCCACACTTCACACTATGCTGCAAGGTTTCCTTTTCCCACTAGATTGGTGCTCTGTGTCATTTTGCCTTTTTCATTTTCTTATGGCCAAAGCAGAGCCCAGTACCAAATTAATGTGTCTACTTTAAATTACTTTGCTTTTTTTTTGGTCTCATTTTCTTCTTGGTTACAAACACTTTATAAACAGAGAAACTGCCTAAAATGGTTACACTCTTTACTGAGCTCCCAAATGTATAAACCCAAGAGCTATTTATCTGAGAAAGAAGTCGTGTTCTTACTATTTTCTGTTTCATTTAGCATCTTTTTCTTTTTTAGTTTTGGTTTGCATTCCAACTGTTTATTATTCATGTCATAGGTCCTTTTTACTTTCTTTTCAGGATCTTAAATACTAAGATATTAGTATACTTATTAAAGAAATATGTGCGGCATACTTTCTGACTTAATGTGGGTGTTGGTGCTCTATGCATTGGTAATGTATGTCGGAAAATGTTGGCTTAATTGGTATGTGCAGATATTTGTTGAATAAGAGGAGAACCATTGTTATAAAGCATCTAAATTATGAGAATGGGCGTCCTTTTCAGCATTTTAAATTAGTGTTGTATATGGATTCTTATAGTGGGATGTGTGGTGGTGAGATGTGGAAAAACAGAATTGTTAATATTTCAGCGGTTCAAGTTCATTCTTCCCTTAATAGCAAAAATCAGCAGTCTGTTCACAAGGTTTTGTTTTCTTCTGGTTCATGATAGGGCTGTATCTTAGATAAAACAATACTGATGGATTTAGCCATCTGATACAAATAGCAAGATATAAATCCTACTGTACAGTGGCTATTACCCATACTCTTTTTTGGCTGTCCCTCAGTAGAGATGCCTTTAGACCAGATGGGGTTTTCATCCACAAGGATTATTGCACCTTGCTTTTACAGAGACACCCCCAATCTCTAGCACTGTCTCTCTTGCTCAGTTTCCAACATCCTGTATTTACTGCTTTGACTCTAACTTCATCTGCTCAATACTGTAAATTCCTAACCTTATATCTTAAGGCTCTGACACCCTGGACTTAAACGTCCACAGTTTGTTGCCTGAAGTCTCTCACATTGCTTGTTTTACCCCCTTATAGGAATTTACAGGTTCCCATTTCCTCATCTCTCAGATACCCCTGTTTAGAAGGTCTCCTTTTCCAACTAGTACCAATCCTGTCTCCACCCGTCTTTCAAGAAGCAAAGTGCTTGGAGACCTCTTTTTCCTTGTTCTTACAGCTCTTTACTTACAGTGATATTTCCTGTTATTTAAACTGCTTCTAAGATTCTTCTTCTTGCAGAAAGCTATCTTGGATTGATAAAGTAAAACCTCTTAATTTTCCTGACCTTTATCCATTACTGGATGCCAATAACCACCTCCTCTCCCATATTGCTGCATGTTTATTCTTTGTCTCTTATTTCCTGAATGTACTTGCCACTGGTGAATTTAGATAGGCAGATGTACTGCTTCTTTGGCTTACATTTTGTTAGTTATTCCTTTCTTAACGCCCCTGGAAGACAGGGACTACATCTGTTTAATTCTTCGTGTATTGCCCAGTAGAGCCCACCATCACGATTATCATACATAGATGACTCATAATTGCTTTCTGATAATAGGAAGCAATAGTTTGATAAAGAAGAATGTGGTGGCTGTTGAACATTTGGCACCCATATTGCACACATTTATGCTGATGCAGATTGTGGAGAAAAAAACCTCTTGGCTTTAGATTTTTAAAGCATTCCCTGTTTAAGGGAGAGCAGGTGGTAAAATTAATCTTACAAAAAGATAATTTAATGTTTTTCAAATTTATGATTTTTGTCTCTGTCAAGTTTAGAAAAAGCATATTGAAAATCAAATAGAGCTAAAACAGTACTTTGATACATCAATCCAAAGAACAGTTGATTGTAGTAAATTAGGATTTGTCGTAGAAACTTCATAATGCCCAAAGGACTGACATGCACAGAGAATGTAGCAAAAGCTGCAGTTGTAGATGTCTTTCTCATGCAAATCATTATCTATGAAGTCTCAGTAATACAGGCTTAAACAGAAATTGCTAGAGTGATGTCCAGAATAAAATCTGACACTAAACAGCAAAAAGCATTGGCTGTTTATATTATAATGCATGTTAACATAATGACTGCTGTTCTAAGAACTCCTTAAAGGAAATACTGAGGATTTGTGACTCATAATTGGGAACAGTTGCTGGGCGATAAGCTTAAAGGGGGAAAAATATGTTTAGAAACTTGAAACAATCTTAACAGGGAGAAAGTTTTTTATCTCACTTCCCAATCATAACATCAGATTCTCCTAAAGTTAATGAAAATTGCTTAAGGCAACTTGATATGAAGTTTAATTTAGGCATAGGAGTTCCAGTTTACAGGACTTTTTTTGTTTTTTTGTTTTGTCGTGTTTGTTTCACTTTTTAGGATTTCCCAGAAACATTTTTCTATTTGAATTAAATATTCCTACTTACCATAAATCATTTTAAAACAGTGGCCAAATATTATTTTAAACTACATTATATTATCTTATTTCATACTTAATTAATATTATATGTTGTTTTTGAGACCATATCCAACTAGTTAGTACTCTTACTAAGCAAGAAGTTTGGGGTTTATTGGCAAGATCTTTAGGAATTTTAAAGGAGTATACTGCTTTTTTGTAAGTTCCATACTTTTTGGCTTCATCAGTTGGTTATATGGTTGTTTTTTCAGTGTAGAACCTGATTCATAAATTGTGAACATTGGGATAGAGGATGGCAAATATTTGTATAATCTGTTTTTCAAATATTTGTCTGCAGAATCTTTTGTGCACAGAATACCTGTTAATAGTTTTTGAAACAAGTATTCTAAGAGCAGATTTTGGAAAATGTGCTAGCTAGCAAAACCCGTAGATCAAATTTTTTTTTTTAGACAGTTTCACTCTTTTTGCCTAGGCTGGAGTGCAGTGGTGCAACCACAGATCAAATTTAATATCCTTTTCAAAATCCTAATTTACAGCAAGGAAATAAGTTAATTATTGGGAAAATCTGTCTCAACACCTAGACTTCACATGTACCAGTCTTTCTGAATGCCTGTAGATCTAGAGTATTTCCTGTGTTGTAGACATCCATTTAGAAATCTGTGGTACACTATGCTACAATATCTGTGCTGTTATCATATATTTAATTTTTTATATTTTCTTATAGTAACTTTCAAACATACACAAAAAAGAAAAGAGAGAAGAGTATAATGACCATTATGCCAGTTATTTGAAATAATGGTTCAAATGTTTCAAACTCTAGGTGAAGTTCCATAAAAGAGGAAACACAAATGTTTTTATTGGACTACCTTTTATAAATTATTAAATGAGTCTGATTCATATAGTGGGACTTCCCTCCAACAGTATGGAGACATTTGTAAAGGAATGATTCAGCAGCAGTCGACCAGATAATAAGATGACCAAAATATTCTCAAAGCTAAACCTCATAATAATCCAAACTTTTTTTTTCTTCATGTTTTGCCAACATTTTTCAACCCACAGGATAAAAGATAATATTGATGTTGGGTGGATTAATACTGGCTTTATCCGGATTCATTTTATTTTTCCCTTCTTTTATTCTGTCTTTGATCAGGCAATACTGTGTATTCCTGTATTGGCTCAAGTAAACTGATGGCCTCTGAAAAAAAGGTCAAGCTTGAAGAGAAATTTTCTGTCTATGTTTAGTTTCTACATATAGCATCATAGTAAAACTGACTCCCTGATTGGCTGAGGCCAGCCCACTGTAGAGTGGAGGGTGGGCTTATTTTGATTGGGTTAGGCCAGTGGTGCTGTGGGGTTAAATCAATCTTACTATAATTCCATGGCCTAGAAATTTTGGTCTTGATTAGAAAGGGCATGTAGGAAATGGATGCTGTGGAAACAACCGGCAATAAATATGCTTTTACTCCAAGTAAAGCAAGTTTTGAAAATTCTACAACAGGCTATGCTATGTATTTTTAATGTCCAATGATATTTTTAGATATTTCTGTTTTACAAATTTATTAACAGGTTTTTGGGTTTTTTTTGTTTTTGTTTTTTTTTAGAGGACAAGAATTTTGGGCAGATTTGAATGCCATGAACGTGTATGAAACAACTGAATTTGACCAACTACGAAGGCTGTCCACACCACCCTCTAGCAATGTCAACTCTATTTACCACACAGTCTGGAAATTCTTCTGTAGGGACCACTTTGGATGGAGAGAGTATCCCGAGGTATTTACAGATTCTTTGTTGACAAGTACATTTTTCAAATTTATTTTTTTCTTCCTGTATTCTTTTATTCTTTCTTTACAACAATGACTAGGCAGAACTATGCATATAATCAAACAGCTTATGAATATAAAATTGAGTCTCATTGATACAAGAAAACTTTTCTCTTTTTCTTAAAATTTATTTCTTTCCATTAATTTGAAATCCAAAGATAGCATACCACTATTATCAGATAAATAAAATGCTTTCCACAGAATCTTGCATTATAGAGATGAAATATTTTGACCTGTTGCCGCCTGTGGAGTAATTTTCACGACATGAGAATTGGTATAACTTTTGATTATATCTGGCTCTTGGGCTTATGGAGATTGGATCAAGTGTTACACTTAGCATTTTAGAAGCCCAATGGAAACAATCACTCATGTCTCTGGAAGAAGTACTTGAAAATGTTTATTGAGCTGTGGTCAGGGAAATCAGTTATTTACAATTTTCTCCTATGTGCACTTGCATCCTTAGTCTGAGACAGTGATAATAGCCCTTCAGTCTCAAAGCAAGGTTTTAAAATGATGATGGTTTACTTTGCTTCTGAATGACAATTCTGAGTCATTTAAACAACCTCAAATGGACTTTAGAGATTAATTTCACATTCCAAAGATCTGACTTTTTCAATTTAAGTTCATTTCCAGCATTACAAAAGGGGGGAACAACTTATCTACCTTACTTTTATTTTTAAAGACAATAGCAAAAGAAAAAAACCTAGTATGTTAATTATTGTTAAACACAATATTAAACTAAGTAAGTTTAAGTAATCACTAGTATCTACCTTCCAAAGAGAATACAAGGCTGTTTAAAATGTACTCTCAGAATACTTGGTAATCACTAGTTATCTACCTTCCAAATAGAATACAAGGCTGTTTAAAATGTACTCTCAGAATACTCAGACTGTTCCTGTGTTTTTCCTCTGAGAAGTTTTTTGGGTTTAGAGCTTGAACTTTATATACCACCACCTTTTCAAATTTTATTTATTTATTTATTTATTTATTTTGAGAGAGAGGTCTTGCTCTGTTGCCCAGGCTGGAGTACAGTGGCACAATCATAGCTCACTATAATCTTGAACTCCTGGGCTCAAGCAGTGCTCCTGCCTCAGCCTCCCAAATAGCTGGGACTACAGGTGCATGCCACCATACTCAACTAATTTTTATTTTTTATTTTTTGTGGAGACAGGATCTTGCGATGTTGCCCAGTCTAGTCTCGAACTCCTGGCCTCAAACAATCCTCCTTTCTCTGCCTCCCAAAGCGTGGGGAGTGGCTCACAGGCGTGAGCCACTGATACTGGCCAACATCACTATCTTTAATTCCTCTTTTGAAAACTCCCTTAAGAAATATGAACGAAAACTCTCTATGATATTATTAAGGCTCAAAATAGAATAAAATAGTTCCCTGGGCCCCACATGTTTTGTAAGGTGGAAATCCATGCCTTATGAACAGGGAGCATCTTTCCACCCTACATACTTGGAAGGGAAAAAAAATCTTAGCATATAAAGGGAGTTATTTAGACTCACTGTACTTTATTGAAATTCCTGTGAGGTTAACTTTTGCCTTTGGTTAATTTTCATTTTTAACCATGATTATTAACTTTCCTTTTTTTTTTTTTTTTTGTTCTGTTTTCTCCTCCATAGTCTGTCATTCGATTGATTGAAGAAGCCAACTCTCGGGGTCTGAAAGAGGTTCGATTTATGATGTGGAATAACCACTACATCCTCCACAATTCATTCTTCAGGAGAGAGATAAAAAGGAGACCCCTCTTCCGCTCCTGTTTTATACTGCTTCCATATTTACAGTAAGTGTCGAGTATGAAGTTGCAATATTTACTCTCATTTTATGTAAATGCATTCCTGAATACTAGAGATAAAAAATAAATAAGAGTCTACCTTGGTTAGTACTCCTAGAATGTGAAATTCCAAATTAGTCTTTGGATTTTAATTCCTCAACAAATTGAGTGTAAATAAGCTACAATAAATCCAGTTACACTAGAAGAATGAGTAACTTATTGGATTTTTTAGAGTTAACATTTTTCCACAACTAAATATAATTGTGTCTGGAATGAGTCACAGAACTTGCATTTACCTCCTTCATGGAAGATTTTTTCCTTCCATGAAACTACTTTCAAGATGAGACCCTTCTATGTTACAGGACAACTTAGCCAAACTGCCGGGGCAAGTGAGGAGAGTCCTACAAGGTGATTTCTTGTTTTCCTTTTACTTGAGGGAATTTGAATGGGGAAAGTTCACCTTTTCAAATAATTTACATTCTCATTTGCTAGGTAAGCCACCTCTTCTTGTGATACTCACTAAAATTACTTGTCATACTTACTAAGAATACAGTTTCTTAATGTAAGGTTAGGACTGAACTCACTCTTCTGAATTGTAGGTGAGCTTTTCTTCCATTTTGCCAAGAGTTGTTTCTTCCTTTGGTCTCCAGACAACCCAGTGGCACATCTTTATAGATACCAAAAGGTGGGGCACATTACCATTCACATGGCCACCTTTGAAAATTAGTATCTCTAGGGAAATCATTATCTACTCCAGTCAGATATGCTATTTTTAGAGACTGATTTTGAAAATGGTATAGGTTTACTTGGTTTTATGAACTTTAGAAGTCTAGCGTAATGGTTGGTTTTTTTGTGCTGATCTTTGAGGAAAAGATACCATTTTTATATTCCTACTGTTTTTATTTTAGCTCAAACTGTTTTCCCTAAGTTGTTATGAGAAAATCTTAGTGATTCTAATCCCATGTTTGGAAGGGGAACAGTAAAAACAAAATACAAATAAAAATCCCTGAAATGATCAGTATCCAAAAGAAATTTGTAGTAAGATTAATCTTAGAAATATATATTGGATTGGGTTAAGTGTGTTCTTTCTTCTAAGTGCCCGTTAGAAAAATTTTACCTTGTAGGGTTTCTTAAAAAATTAGAACTAGTAAAAATGCCATTTCTGTGATTTTACTAGCACAGCTGGAGATAGTGTCAGTGTCCAGTAGTTAGGAATATATTGTCCTCCTGGTGAGATAGTAGAACCCATTAGTGAGACCAGCAGCTTGGCATGCTGAGCCAATCAAGCAAGATAGAACTTCTGTGTGAGGGTAAGAATGCAAGTTCTGCATTGTTGGAAAGTTTCGGTGAATGGTGAAAATGCGTCTGTTTTTATCTCATGATAAGTAATTATGGAATATGCCCTCTTTTTTTTTTTTTTTTGAAGCTTAGGCTTGTTTTGTAAAAGTATGAACTATAAAGATAATATAAGCAGCAATACAATTAATGCCACAAATATGCCTTCATTATACAGGCATATCTTGTTTTATGGTGCTTTGCTTTATTGTACTTCACAGATAATTGTGTTTTTTACAAATTGAAGGTCTGTGGCAGCACTAGGTCAAGCCAAATCTATTAGTGCTGTATTTTCAACAGCATGCGCTCATTTTGTGTCTCTGAATCATATTTCGGGTATTCTTCGGATATTTCAGGTGTTTCATTATTATTGTATCTGTTATGGTGATCTGACCGGTGATCTTTATGTTACATTTGTTTTGGGGTGCCAAGAACAGCACCCACATAAGACGGCAGAGTGTTCAAGTGAAAGGAAGAGTTACACATCTCTAAGTCAAAAGCCAGAAATGATTAAGCTTAGTGGGGAAGGCATGTTGAAAGCTGAGATAAGCCAAAAGCTAGGCCTCTTGTGCCTTAACATTAGCCAAGTTGTGAATACAAAGGAAAAGTTCTTGAAGGAAATTAAAAGTGCTACTCTGGTAAGCACACGAATTATAAGAAAGTAAAACAGCCTTCTTGCTAATATAGAGAAAGTTTTAGTGATCTGGATAAAAGATCAAACCAGCTACAACATTCCCTTAAGCCAAAGCCTAATCCGGAGCAAGGCCCTAACTTTTTTCAGTTCTTTCAAGGCCGAGAGAGGTGAGGAAGCTGCAGAAGAAAGTTTAAACCTAACAGAGGTTGGTTCATGAGGTTTAAGAGCCCATCTCTCTTATAGAAGTGCAAGGTGAAGCAGGGAGTGTTGATGTAGAAGCTGTAGCAAGTTATCCAGAAATCTAGCTGAGATCATTGATGACAGTGGCTAAACTAAACAAGAGATTTTCAGTGTAGACAAAACAAACTTATATTAGAAGAAGATGCCATCTAGGACTTCATAGGTAGAGAGAAGTTGATGCTTGGCTTTAAAGGACAGGGCTATCTTGTCAAGGGCTAATGCAACTGGTGACTTTAAGTTGAAGCCTAGGGCCCTTGAAAATTGTGCTAAATCTACTCTGCCTGTGCTCTATAAATGGAAAAAGTGTGGATGACAGCACATCTGTTTATAGCATGGTTTACTGAATATTTTAAGCCCACTATTGAGACCTGCTCAAGAAAAAAAGACTTATTTCAAACTATTACTGCTCATTGACAATGCACCTGGTTACCCAAGAGCTCTAATGGAGATGTACAGATTAGTGTTTTCATGCCTGCTATACAACATCCATTCTGCAGCCCACTTATCAAGTAGTCATTCTGACTTTCAAGACCTCCTATTTTAACAGTATATTTTGTAAGGCTATAGCTGCCATACATAGTGGTTCCTTTAATGGATCTGGGCAAAGTAAATTGGAAAACTTTTGGGAAGGATTTACCATTTTAGATGCCATTAAGAACATCGTGATTCATGGGAGGGGGTTAACATACCAACATTAACAGAAATTTGGAAGAAGTTTATTTCAGCCCACATGGATGATTTTGAAGGGTTAAAGACTTCAGTGGAGGAAGTCACTGCAGATGTGGTGGCAATAGCAAGAGAGGTAGAAGTAGAAGTGTAGCCTGAAGATGTGACTGAATTGCTACTATCTCATGATAAAACTTGGATGCATGAGGAGTTGCTTCTTTTGGATGAGTAGAGAAAGTGGTTTCTTGAGATGGAATCTACTGGTGAAGATGCTGTAAAGATTTTTGAAATAATAAAGGGTTTGGAATATTACATCAACTTAGTTGATAAAGCAACAGCAAGGTTTGGGAGGATTGACTGCAACTTTGAAAGAAGTTCTGCGGGTAAAATGCTTTCAGATGGTACTGCATGCAACAGAAATCTTTCATGAAAGGAAGGGTCAATTAATGTGGCAAATTTCATTGTCTTATTTTAATAAATTGCCACTGCCACCTCAACCTTCAGCAATCACCACCC
Organism: Homo sapiens; assembly: GCF_000001405.40. Taxonomy (NCBI): domain Eukaryota; kingdom Metazoa; phylum Chordata; class Mammalia; order Primates; family Hominidae; genus Homo; species Homo sapiens. The sequence continues at coordinate 156,699,408 of NC_000003.12, forward strand.
TGATCAGTCAGGCCATCATCAAGGCAAAACCCTCCCACCAGTAAAATTACTATGACTCACCAAAGGCTCAGATGATTGTTAGTGTTTTTTAGCAATGAAGTATTTTTAAATTAAGGTATAAATATTGTTTTTTTAAAGAATGAATGCTATTATGTACTGAATAGACTATGGTATAGTATAAACATAACTTTTATATGCACTGGGATACTAAAAAATTGTATTACTCACTTTATTGTGATATTTGCTTTATTGCAGTGGTCTGGAATAGAATGCTCAATATCTACTAGGTAGTCATATATTGATAATATGGGCTTACAAGAGAACAAAAATAGTTACTCTTTATTTTCCTTTTTCTTTTAAAAATTTTCTATTTTAATCTTTCTGTCTAAAACTGATAATCAGGTATAAAGTAAGAGATCAGCAAATCAAAGAAATATTAAACTTCAGTGAGAAAAGAGCAGAGAAATAGCCAGTCCACCAGGGTGGGATGGGTAAATGCAGTGATCCTATCTACCCTAGAGTGTGGGGCTGAAGGACCTAGTAGGGAGAAAGATGAGGGGAATTGGTTCCAAAAAGCATATTTTAGAAGTAGATTCCAGAGGCTATGATCTTAGCCAGGGAAAATGTTTCTTTTTAAGTGGTTTTTGTTTTGTTAAATTTTTAAAACTTTTTTATTTTTTTATTTTTTATTTTTTATATTTTTTAAAACTTTTTTAGAGACAGAATTTCCTCTGTCGCCCAGGGTGGAGTGCAGTGGTATGATCATCATAGCTCACTGTAACCTCGCACTCCTGGGTTCAAGTGATCCTCCTGCTTTAGCCTCCCAAGTAGCTGGGACTTACAGGTGGATGCTGCCATCCCCAGCTAATGTTTTCTTTTTTTTTCTTTGGTGTAGAGACAAGGTCTCACTATGTTGCTGGGGCTGGTCTTGAACTCCTGTCCTCAAGCAGTCCTCCTGCCTCAGCCTCCCAAGTAGCTGGGATTACAGGCATGATGTTTTGTTTTTAAGTGTTATTAAATGCAAAGGATAAAAAAAAAATAGGTGTTAAAGAGGCCACAATTCTCAGGGAATCAGATGCCTAAGAGTAGAAGGGGTGGGGTAGGAAGTTGACTTAATTAATGAATTTTCTACAAATTCAGCTGTTTTTAAAAGGTTTCTCCTGCTTTTTAATGGGGCTGATCTTAGAATACTTGAACTGAGACTGCATAAGCAAACAAAGCTTAGGGGTTTGGTGGTTCAGTGCTTTCAGCTGAAAGAACATTTATCCCATGCAGTCACCTCATGGTCATGGGAATGCCTGGCACAGTTTCTTTAATCCCCCCTGAAAAGGATAAAATGAATTAATTTGTATTTCATCGCTGAAACTGATTTAGTAAACATCTTTCAAAATGGTAAGGGGAAGGAGGGAAAGTAATAAAAGGTGAGTTTGGATTCTGAAATTTCATTCTTCAGAGATCCTTGTGTAGAAGCTCAATTCCCTTTGACTCCCTCTCTAGAGAAGGCTGGTGTCCGTCTGTGAAACATGCAGTATATCTTTGGAATACCCATGCAGTGAATACAAACTCATTCTCAGAAAATAAAGGCACATTTGTAACTGCGCTTGAAACATATTTTTTTAACCCATGGCTATTAGAGTGTTGAAGCCCATCAGACAGATGTGTATATGCATTTTTATGTTTTAGGCAAGTTAGGATGTTGGCTTGTTAAAAGTAAGCATCTATGGGTTGGAATGGATGTTAACCATATACATAGTCCAGTTTAATATCTTAGAATGGATAGGATTTATTTATCTCGGCTCATCTTCAAGCATATGTTAGTAATAATGGACCTCCATCCCCTGCAAAAAAGGAAAAGCTATATTTGAAGTTTGCATTTTATGGAACGGGTCCATAGTAGTGATATCAGAAAGAAAAGGGGCAGAATCTCTTCTGTTGTCACGGCTAGGTTTGCTGTACAGGCTGACAGTCTAAAACCTCTAGAGGAGAGTGTTTGCAGAGAATCTTACCTTTTTCTTTCAAACCAGAAGCCTGTGTTGGTAACTTCAAGCCCTGATAATAATAGAAAACCTGGTGGGCTGGGGACTTACCCTTTTCTTTGCAAAGCTGGATAGAGGGAGGAGCTATTAAATAAAAATAAGGGGCTTATATTCTTTGCTTCCCCGCCATTCCTCCAGATTAGTGATGGCTTTTTAAGGAGTTATAGATATTTGAGAATCTGATTAAAGCAGTCAGACCTCTCTTCAGGAAAGTGTACCAGTGAAAAATGTACCATTGTACCAGAAAAATGTATCAGTACTGAGGATCCAAAGGAATCTGTGTGGGCTCTGAGAAAATGCTACAGAGGACAAGGACTGTTGTGCCTTTTGTTGTGAAGGTTGGAGAAACCAGCAGCACTTTAAATCTCCCCCTGTACTTAAAAGCACCTCGGAGATTCAGTAAGCCCTGGATCCACCCATCCATCCAGGACTCTGTCTCACAAAGAGACTTTGAGGCACATTGAATTGAAGGCACAGTCACTTGTAGAAGGTGGGGGTTAGAGACGGCAGTCATGCTTCCATTGTTTTAGCTTCTTGAAAGTCATCTCCTAAAAGACTGTGTGTTGATGATAATGCGGTGGTGGTGGTGGTGGTGGTGGTGGTGGTGGTGGTGGTGGTGGTGGTGGTGGTTGTGGTGGTGGTGGTGGTGGTGATGGTGGTGTCAGGCAAAACTAGGTTGGAATCCTAGTATCCTGTCGATCACTTTCTAGCCTTGTTTTAAAAAATATATATATAAATTGTGAAACATATGGAACTGAAAAGAGTATGAAATTAGAAACTATCTAGATGGGCCTGGCCTAGATTCAAATTCTGTCTTCGCTCTTTGCTAGCTATACTCGGGCAAATTATTTAATCTCTCTAAACCTCAGTTTCTTCATTTGAAAAGTGGGAATAACCAAGTCATCTTACAGGGTTATTGTGACAATTAGTGATATTGTATGTAAAATGGCTGGCACATAGTATTAATTGGTTATGATTATGATGAGAGAGATGGTCAGCTATGCTCTTTGGAGATGAGACACACAAAGTTGTAGTCTCTGTGTCACAAAGCTCTTATGAAAATTTCAGTTTCCTAATACATTTTGGCACACATTATTACTTCCTTGTGACCAGTATGTGCCAATGAGTGTTATAGCACCTGGCCCTGAACTAGGTCTCAGGGTCAGGATTTCCTTGCTCTCTTCCACTTCTCTTTTTCTCCATTTCGAAATGGCCAAGGAATATGATTTAAATTTAAGCATTTAACTAGGCAGGAATAAGTAACTTACCAAAGCTGCTGCTTATCTAAAATCATTGTTCAAAGTAACAGACATGAATTTAAAGGCTCACGGATATGCATTCTGGTATCTAGAGTTTATAGTAATTAGCTCCATCTTAAGCACACTCAAAGCTATAAAAGTTGAATAGTATTGGTGGTTTTGTTTCTATGTGTGATCTTAGAAAACGAAGCAAATGTCAAATATTAGCATTCAGGTCCTGCTCCATGATTTTTGTTTGTTTTTATACAGAAATTAAAGTAGCTTTTTTTCTCCCTATAAGCTCCCTCCTTGCTGCATGCCTTACTTTGTCTCCCACCCACACATCCTTTAGTAATGAAATCTTTTCTGCTTAGTATCAGCACATTTGGAAGAAAACATATAACAAAGTTTCTTTAGCTATAGGTAATAAAGAGGAGTCTAGGATTCAAACGTAAAGGTATTTGTGAATTGGCTCTTGCTTGTTTGCCTTGTAGCTATACATTCCAGAGTTTTCTTCACAGGAAGGAGGCCCACAGAAGGCTAATAATAGGTTATTCATGTACAGGCGATGTTTGCTCCAAGCCTTTTTTTTTAATTAAATAGATAGCATTTTTTACTTTTAAAATAAGCACTTAAGCTATACAGATTATAATATTAAGTAGACACTGATATAGATCACTATAATGTGAGGTGTACTTATTTCTTAATGTTTTACATTGATGTTTCTTCCTCTCCATTTTAGGACACTTGGTGGGGTTCCCACACAAGCTCCTCCACCTCTTGAAGCAACTTCATCATCACAAATTATCTGCCCAGATGGGGTCACTTCAGCAAACTTTTACCCTGAAACTTGGGTTTATATGCATCCATCTCAGGACTTCATCCAAGTCCCTGTTTCTGCAGAGGATAAAAGTTATCGGATCATTTACAATCTTTTTCATAAGACTGTGCCTGAGTTTAAATACAGAATTTTGCAGATATTGAGAGTCCAAAACCAGTTTCTTTGGGAGAAATATAAAAGGTGAGTCAGATGTATGAAAAGTTCAAGACGGCCGGGCGCAGTGGCTCAAGCCTGTAATCCCAGCACTTTGGGAGGCCGAGGCGGGCAGATTACGAGGTCAGGAGATCGAGACCATCCTAGCTAACACGGTGAAACCCCGTCTCTACTAAAAATAGAAAAAATTAGCTGGGCGTGGTGGCGGGCACCTGTAGTCCCAGCTACTCGGGAGGCTGAGGCAGGAGAATGGTGTGAACCTGGGAGGCGGAGCTTGCAGTGAGCCGAGATTGCGCCACTGCACTCCAGCCTGGGCGACAGAGCCAGACTCCGTCTCAAAAAAAAAAAAAAAAAAGTTCAAGAATCAAGAGAGCTTTATTGTAGCCAGTGTCAAATGAGGAACATAATAGTAAACATTTGCACAGAATTTATGTTCATATTTTCTGTGTATTGACTGACATATAATCCTCATAACAGACATAAGTAGGATTATTACAATTTATATCCTACAGAGAAGAAGAAACTGAGTCACAGAAAGCTTACTTTGCTGCAGGTCATGCGGCTATTATGATATGGTGCTGGAATTTGAACCCAGGCCGTCTGGCACCAGAGGCCTTGCTCTTAATCCCTTTACTGTGGTGCCTCTCAAGTCAACAAACTAATGAAGGACAAATGGAGGGAATACATTTAGATTTCAGGAATCTCAGAATCTAAGAGACCCTCAGATTGGAGGAATTAGGCAAGGAGGGCATCCTGAGGAAAAACATAGGAGAACTCTTAATAGATTTAAGATGAAAGAGAAAGCAAGTGAATGATTGGTGGAGAAAGAAGGAAAAGGCCTTTTCTACAGTGGAAAGATAAGTTTCAACTTTTAATAGGATCTTTGATGGCATTTTGCCCTTGATAACTCCTCATTAAAACCATAAAGAGAAGTTTATGACTACATCATGCCTGTTAAATTGACCTGTATTTCATCCTTCTGAATTCTCTGTCTGTTCTTTCCATTAGGAAAAAGGAATATATGAACAGGAAAATGTTTGGCCGTGACAGGATAATAAATGAGAGACATTTATTTCATGGAACATCCCAGGATGTGGTAGATGGAATCTGCAAACACAACTTTGACCCTCGAGTCTGTGGAAAGCATGCTACAATGTTTGGACAAGGCAGTTATTTTGCAAAGAAGGCAAGCTACTCTCATAACTTTTCTAAGAAGTCCTCCAAAGGAGTCCACTTCATGTTTCTGGCCAAAGTGCTGACGGGCAGATACACAATGGGCAGTCATGGCATGAGAAGGCCCCCGCCAGTCAATCCTGGCAGTGTCACCAGTGACCTTTATGACTCTTGTGTGGATAATTTCTTTGAGCCTCAGATTTTTGTCATTTTTAATGATGACCAGAGTTACCCTTATTTTGTTATCCAATATGAAGAAGTCAGTAACACTGTTTCCATTTGAAAAATCTTGGTACTGCTAAATTATTTGATATGAACTCAATCCAGCATTTGTAGCAGGTTTTGAATGGGTGGGACTGGGTGGGGAACAGCATTGGACATTAATAGGGCACTTTTCAGACCCATTTTTTAAAGTGCTAGAAAATGCTTTTTTTAAAAAAAAAATACAAGTTTTAAAATGACCACTTACTCTTTAATTATTTACTAATTGCTAGTGTACTCAGTGTGGAAAAGACTACAGATTACACACTCTTTTCATTCACACTTGTACATATAGACAGCAATGTTATTAGGAGCATTAAATTAAAAAACTGAACAGCCTAATTTAAATGTGGCTTGGGCCTGGTAGAAGTTTGACCAAATGGAATGGAGGCTGTGAGCAATGTGAGGATTCTATTTATTTATTTACGTTTGATAAAACTTACTGGAACTAGTACTACCATGCGTATTCCCTGTCCAAAGCATCACTGCTTTGGTATAGTATAAGTTCATGAAATTCTGGTGGGTAGAAAGAAATTTTTATTTCTATCAGCAGTACTAAAATGTATCAGCCAACCAGAGAACATCAGTGACTTTAACTTCTGCAGAGTTTGCCCCAGAATTCAGAGTTCTATTTAGAGGAAGTTAAAACAACAACAAAAAACAACCATTTGAAAAATTTTTGTCACCAGCAAAACTTTTCACTAATTAGTGATATGAAATGTGATTTTTGTGTTGTTAAACTTCAGCTTTGGAAAACTCAGTCTCTTTCATTATCATCCATTCCAATTTGAAGGAGTTGGGCAGCTAATTTGGTTAAAGGCAGTCTTGAGGGTTAGAAGTATTACTTCCTTTTCGGGTTCCAGACCTAGCTTGTGACTGAAAGTTTTAGAAAAAGGAAGTACATCTATAGCCAAATTGATAAGGTTATTACTGTGTTTTGCACAAAGTATATTAGCAAAAGTATTTGCTGGAATTATTGGTAGATGGCAGTCCCACTCCTACACCTGCTTTGTCAGATACAGCTGGGTTCCCTGGCTGACTCTGTACCTTACTTACACTACTTACTTAATAGAAACACAAACTTGGAAATTGTGCCAGTGGTCCAGCTGGAGCACAACGTTTGGTGAATATGCTGTTTCCTCAGTTCAGAGAGGTAGCAACTAGGTAAACTCCTTATAAAAAGCAAATACCTGGATTTACAAAAGTGAAAGTAGTTGTTCACAAAAGAATTCGCCATGGAATTCTTTCAGTTACCAAGCTCTCCTGGTAATGTTTGTGGTTATATCATTTACACAAAACTTTTCAGGAACTTCTGTGTTGTTTAAGCAAGATGTATCTGTACTGATGTCTCAGTGAATCAGTCTGTTTATTAAGCACTTATCAGGGCTTCCACACACTTATTTATTTTGCCCTAGTTAATCCTGTTGTTTGCTGCCATTGGCATGAAATGGCCAACTGTGGCTGTTACAGTTCTTTCATTCAATTATAACTTGTAAACCAGTGACTCCTAATCTTTTTCAAGTTAAGACACCTTACCATTGCTTATTTGGTTTTATGAGACTTGTTCCTTTTTTTCTCCCTAAGGAAAAAGAAAGCTTTATGACATATTTATTTTTTTAATAAAACTAAGCAAAAATAAAACTTATGGTAATTCTTTAAAATTTGTTGTTGTTTTGGTTCCATTTAAGATCACTGGATTAATACATAGTTGGTGATCTGTAAATGTTGATTGGTTGGTTAAATGTATGATTGAGTGACTGAATGAACAGACCTAACCAGAACTTGCTGCTTAAACTTTTCTGCAGTGTGAATCTACAGAAAGTACATTATCTAGCAGCCCATTATCATTTACAAGAGAAGAATCAATATTTTATTTTGCAGGTAATACTTGGAGGAAATGGAAAAGTTTTTTTTTTTTTTTTTTTTGAGGCGGAGTCTTGCTTTGTCGCCAGGCTGGAGTGCAGTGGTGCGATCTTGGCTCACTGCAACCTCCACCTCCCAGGTTCAGGCGATTCTCCTGCCTCAGCCTCCTGAGTAGCTGGGATTAAGGCAACCGCCTCTATGCCCGGCTGATTTTTTTTTAATTATTACTTTTAATACAGACAGGGTTTCATCGTGTTGGCCAGGCTGGTCTCAAACTCCTGACCTCAGGTGATCTTCCCACCTTGGCCTCCCAGAGTGCTGGGATTACAGGTGTGAGCCACTGCACCTGGCCTCCAAAACTTTTTGAGCATCAACATGATACTGAAAGAAAATGCTCATTGGAACATACCAGATTCTGGATTTTCAGATTAGGAATGTTCAACTGGGAAATACACAAATACTTAAAAACCTGAAATCCGAAACACTTCTAGTCCCAGGTGTTTCCCATAAGGGAAACTCAATCTGTATCAGCAGACAGCTGCAGAGAAAAACATAAGCAGGTTGTCCCTTTCACTGGGTGTGAAGGAAATATAAAAAGGATTTGTATGGCCAGGCATGGTGGTTCATGCCTATAATCCCATCACTTTCGGAGGCTAAGGCAGGCGGATTGCTTGAGCTCAGGAGTTTGAGACCAGCCTAGGCAGCATGGCGAAACCCCGTCTCTACAAAAATAGAGAAATTAGCCGGGTGCGGTTATGTGTGCCTGTGGTCCCAGCTACTCAGGGGGCTGAGGCTTAAGCCCAGGATGCAGAGGTACAGTGAGCCGAGATTGTGCCACTGACTTCCAGCCTGGGCAACAGAGTGAAACTGTCTCAAGAAAAAAAAAGTGGGGGAATGGAATTGTAGAAGTCTCATCAGCTCTCAAAGCCCCTTAGATTTCAGCCAGCTAGCAAAGTCATCTGATTAGTATACATAAGCATTTCTAACAGTGCTTTTAGCCCCAGTGTAATGATTTTTATATCCCTGTAATAGCATCGTATGTTGTTTTAACTAAGTAATAACTACCAAGTCAGTCTAAATTTTGTAATGGTTCTATGGATTTAAAACATACTAAAAGGCATTCAGTAACTTCTACCAGCACAGCTGTAATTTACACCATTTCAAGAAGCTGGAACTTGCTCTTAAACTATGGTTAAGATTTCCAGGAAAAGAGAGTCTACAAACTCCCTGAGATTCCAGTCATACAATCCTATAGACAGGAAGATTTTGTATGTGTCCAAAGTTTATAAATATTGGATCCTTGGTATTATGAATCTAATACCCATCTCTGCACCTTGTTACAAACCTGTTTGTTTTAGTAAACAATTAGTTGGTTATAAAAAGTCACTAGGGCCTGATATACTTGTAAAGAAATTTTATTATATAAGGTCTGAAAATGACTAAATAGGAATCCAATACCATACTGTCAGTTTAAAGAGAGGTTTTTTCCTCCTTCATTTAAGGAAAGTAAGATTACTGCAAGATGTTTCTAGATTTCCTTAGTTTGAATCTAACAGTCAAAACACATTTTAGAAAATCCTACATAGTACTTTTCTGGAATCTAATCCATACCACGTATGTTGTTGCTATTACCATGCGGTTTTAAAAAAATAACTTAAGCTCTTCTATTGTAACTAAACTATACAGCCTTGAACAAATCACTTAACCTTACCACATGGTTAGTTTTCTCATCTTTCTCATCTTTGACTTTTTTAAATGACTATAAATGATGAGACTATCTAACTTTAAAACACTACAATGCAAAAATTTTTTGTAAAGTGCTATACAAACAACTTATAGCATGTACTTACAAATTAAAAGCCAGATACATTTTCCATTAAAAGATAGTTTTAAAAACAGTCCCATCTAGTTTGTTGATTTAAGTACTCTTATTATGGCCAAGTTAAAGAAATTAAACAGTGCTTTTTACCTTCTTTAACTTTCTAATCTTACTTGTAAGCCATCATTATAGAAAGAAAAAGATGCTATTGAAAGATTTCATCAGCATTAATTAGTTGGTCTTATTTTATTGCTTAACTCATTTCTTCACGTATCTTTTGGAAGACAACTCCTGCATAGAACTGTCAGATGGCAGCTCTTTTGAAGCTTTAATCTTACGTGAATGGAAGTGTTTGTGTGGTAGAAGTGTTTCATGAACACTTGCCAAATTCTTCAAGCTAGAGGAGCAGTGCCCAGCCATTTTAAATATGTCAATTTCATCGATTATCATAGTAATTCTTAATTACCTAATGATTTCTAAAATGCAGAATGACCAAAAGCTACCAGGAATTCAATGATTTTTTTTTAATCAAACTTGGATTACTCGTCACAAATATATATATCTACATTTGATATGTGTGATATACTTAGTCTATAGACATATATGATGCTTAAATGGATTAATGGTTCCTTATGATAATTCCAATATGCTGCTGGTGTTCATAGTTAACAGGCTAGAACCACTGGGCTAGACTATTTCTATATTCATGTTTAAATAATTTCCTTTTTTAACTAGGTGCATGTCCTTAATTATATCCAATCTTAAAATAGCCTTAAATCAGATAGCTAATAGGTTCAACCCAGTTCAAGAGCCTCTAACCCTTCTAATGCTTAGCAAGTCTTAGGTGCCGAATTGTCCATTTGGTGGGCCTCATGTTAGATACATCACGCTGCTCTTCAAAGTGTATCACAGTATATTAAGGATCTTATTTAACAGATTTGAGTGGCAAGAGTACACTCAACAGGTGCTACACAACTACATGATAATATAGTACTCGTCAATAAGAATAAGAAATTCTTGTGCAACCATCAGTTTATAAATTGTTTTTTGAACAGCAGTGATAGATTTGGGGCATTAACCTACACTTTTTTTGTCAAAGGTCTCACTTGAAGGTCATGCATTTTATAGTATTTTGGATAAGGGTTTAAGTCATAGTTTCTAAACTGGGTGTAATTAACTATTCCCTATAGAAGTAGCAATCATGAATCTAATTAGCATTAGTCTCAGTGGTCTAAGCTAATTGAATCCAGTATCTATAAGCATTAGTTCCAACCACTCATAAATGTAGCTGGATTTCTAAATGCCAGTTTATATCCATTACTATAGATTTATGACTATATTTTTCTAAGCTACAAGTTTGCAGTCTTATTTATAATTATTAATAACATAGGCACATACAAGTCAGTGCTAGACAGGAGTGGGAATGCAGATTTTGTGGGTCATTGTTAGGGGAATTCAATTTTGTGATAAATTAGTGTCATTTACTTATCAGAAAGCAATGGCTTAGTTACAAGCCTGCCCAAGAAAGTTATTTGCACAATTTGAATATGTGGCTTGTTGGCTGAGATAAAGAATGTAAAGCAGAAGAGTGCCTGGCTCTTGATATACAATCAAATTTTAATGAGTGGTAGTAAGAATAGCAGTAGTAGCAGCAGAAGGAATAGTAAGTACTGTGGTAGGCTGAATAATGGCCCACAAAAGTGTCCAAGTCCTAATCCCAAGAACCTGTCAATATGTAACCTTATATGGCAAAAAAAGCACTATTGATTAGGAATCCCGACTCCTGAGATAGGTTATCTTCTAGTGGGCCTAGTGTAATCACAAGGGTCCTTATAAGGAGACAAGTCAGAGATGGAAAGATGCTCTGCACTGCTGGCTTTGAAGATGGAGGCTGAGACCATGAGCCAATGAATGCAGATGGCCTTTAGGAGCTACAAAACATAAGAAAACACCTTCTCCCCCAGAGCTTCCAGAATGAATGCAGCTCTGCCAACACCTTGATTTTGGGACTCTGACCTCCAGAACTGTAAGTATAAATTTGTGTTGTTTAAAGTTGCTAAGTTGTAATTTGTAATAGCTGCAATAGAAAACTAATACAAATAGTAAAAATAATAGTAATGATATTGGAGAATCATCAGAGAACTGTTCCAATATAAATTAATAATTAAAACGAGCTCTACAAATGTGAAAAATTCAAAAGCCTGTTGAAAGTGTTAAAATTTGTGTGAAATTCCAAGAGTAGACTACCAGTGGCTTTCCGAAAGTGGTATATCTACATGCTAAAGATAAACCCATTTAAAGTAAGGTTTCTTCAAAGGAGCAGTTAAATACTGAATAATGGCAAGCACTACAGTTAGTCAGATAGCCCAGTAAAACAGATCTCTTGTGGAAGATGGGGGAGAATGGAAATTGGTTAGTGAAAAAGATGTAGGATGGAAAATCTTAGCATTGAGATTGTCTAATAGTAAATTTACTTTGCAGATTCAAGCGTCCTTTAAGTGTTCTTCTTATGTGGGGAAGAGAACCAAGCTAGTTAGAAATTACTTATTAACTAGCTCAGAGCCCAGGAAATTCCTTTCTCCAGGATATAAAGTAGCTTTCTTTTTTTTTTATTACAGAAAAGTTAATTTATTTTTACATGAAAACATTTTGAAACCAATTTTGTGTTTATTGAAGGATTTTTCTCATGCATATTATCCAAGATTTTTTTCTGTCAGAGTATTAGCTTCCTAGGATTGCTGTAACAAATTACCATGAACTGGGTACCTTAAAACAGCAGAAATACGTTCTCACTGTTCTGGATGCTAGATGTGCAAAACCATGTTAGCAGGGTTGGCAACTACTGGAACTCTGAGGGAGAATCTATTCCATGCTTTTTTCCTATCTTCTGAGGGTTCCCACAATGTATCACTCCAATCTCTGCCTCCAGCTTCATGTGGCATTCTCCCCTGTGTCTCTATCTTCTCTTTCTTCCTTTTTTTTTTTTTTTTTTTTTTTTGAGACAGAGTCTCGTTCTGTTGCTCACACTGGAGTGCAGTGGTGTGATCTCGCAACCTCCACCTCCCGGGTTCGAGTGATTCTTGTGCCTCAGACTCCTGGGTAGCTGACATTACAAGCACCACGCCTGGCTAATTTTATTTTTAGTAGAGATGGGTTTTCGCCATGTTGGCCAGGCTGGTCTTGAACTCCTGAGCCTCAAGCGATTTGCCTGGCTTGGCCTCCCACAGTGCTGGGATTACAGGCGTGAGCCACCATGCCCGCCCTATCTTCTCTTATAAGGAACACCAGTCATATTGGATTAAGGGCCTGCCCTGCTCCAGTATGACCTCATCTTAGCTACTTACAACCACAACCACAGTATTTCCAAATAAGGTCACATTCTGAGGCTCCAGGAAGTACATGAATTTTGGAGAGGACACCATTCAACCCAGTACATTCAGTTTCTATTTAACATAAAAAATAATTCCCATACTATACAGGATGAAAAAATGACTTATGAAATAGGTGAAAGATTGTTGAATATACAAATGTGATCTTTTCTTTTCCAATCACATACAGAGATAAGAATTTTTTGGGAATATGTCTCATTCACAAATATGTATTATATGCAAAGAGAAATTTATACATTGTTCAAGTAGGATTCAGGGAATTAACCTAGGTGCGTTCTCTTGTTTCTATTTCAACCATATTGTTCTCCAGATTTTTTTCCTAATTCTGATTTCCCTGTGGGATTGTTCAGATTTAAATAAAGCCTGTAAAGCAGAAGTAGTGAACAAGCCTGGGTACTAAAGTTAAATATTACAGAGGCAGATAAAATAAGTCTGAGAAAAATTCATGCATTTAATTCTATCTATTTTGCCCACATAGTTATGCTGATATTTCATTCACTTGGATTCACCAACTTAAAATTTGTAACTATAATGGAGAATCTTTTTTCTGTATTTGAAAAAAGTGCACTGAGCAAATTAATAGTATAAATATGATTTCAAGGATAACTAAGAGAATATTTATTTCTATGTATGGTTAATCAACATGCCCCCTTCCATACTCCATGTGCCCTTTGACTAATTATCTCCAATTCATCTTTCAGGTCACAATTCAAGTATAAATAATAAATTAGAAGTACATATTACTATAAAAAATTGACATGTGAATTATGAATCAATCTCCTCAATTTGTTAAGGAATCTTCTACCAAGTACTCTTTTCTTGAATAAACTTTTACCCATATTACAGTTACCATATCTTTGTAACAACATTAAGGGAGCATTGATTTTACTATATTAAATAGACAGTTTTCTATTTCAAATAGACTTGGCTGAATTATTTTGATTAGCTCAATTAAAAAATACAAGATTCTAATAAGAGACTTTATTACTTACTAAAGGCATTGTGAGCTATTATTAAAATAAATACAATTGACATGAAATATAAGTTTTGTGAAACAATTCTCTGTAACGACTTTACATTTTTACTTTGCGATAGATGAACAAAATGGCCCATATCATACTGAAAAATCCCTTTAAAATAATAGACTATAATTTGAAAGATGAAATTTTATCAGTATAACACACATTTAAACTAATATTTTAAAATTTAAAATTTGTAAAAAGCCTACATTTGAGAAAGCTAATTATTCACAAGTAGGGACATTAAAATTCATTCCATAATCATCATTATTTGAGCCACAGAAAGACTGATGCAAATTGGAATATCTAAATTCAAAATTTAGGACATGCAGATGTGATTACAACATCTTTCTCTTTGGTAGCTTGAGTTTACGTATTTAGATAAACACAACACAGTATTATTTTTTAAAAAATTTCCTGGCCAGAGGAAGGATTGCCTTCAAGAGTCCAATATGATGCAAAGATTAACACATTTTTCCAGTCTGGAGGTGCTGCTGCTCCCTGAGTGTAACTTTCTCTGTCATGTATTTCCTACAGTTTCTTTTTGAGAAAAAAGAAATGCTAAATGCTATCAATTTTCAGACTGTCCCACACTTAAACCTATACCAAGACATTCAGGGACATAACATGAGTAAAGATTAGAGAAATTGTGAGAAAAAATTTGAAGAATAAGATGATGGTAACTTATAATTTGATAGCTGCTCTAAGCTTGGCTGAGCGCCCTCTGGGGTTATCTTGTACATCCTGATCTTGTGGACTAAATACCTTCTTGTGTATCAGTTCCCACATTAAAGGAGCTCTTCTCATAGAGACTTCTTCCGTGTTTTCATGATCTGAACCCAATTGAGATGTTTTCATCACTTGTTGTCTAACACTTAGGTTAAATCTTTCTGTCATGCTTATTCCAAGCAAAAATCTTTTGACGATGCGATCCTCTAGTGAATGGAAGGAGAGGGCAACAAGACGACCACCAAGTCTCAGAAACTTCTGAGCTGTCTTCAGTCCCGTGTAGAGTTCATTGAGCTCATTGTTCACAAATATGCGAAGAGCCTGGAAAGTCTTGGTGGCAATATAGGTAGATTGCTGTAGTAAGTCTTTCCGTGTATAAATAGCAGAGGGAGGAAATGTTCCTGCCACCATCCATTCTTATGTCCAAAGGGCCATCTTTCCGAAGGGAAGAACCTCTTTCAGGAGTATCAAGTTGCATGGAGGAACACCCAAGATCCATAAGAACTCCATCAAAAGTTCCTGGCTGCACTCCAGCTTTCATTAATAAGGCTTCTGCCTGGCTGAACTGGCCCAGCATAGCTCGGATTTGTTTAGGATACAACTCTGAAAGATGTTCAGCTAATGCATAAGCTGTTGGGTCTCTGTCCAAGGCATAGAGAACAATATCTGACTCCTTCTGCAGAATGGCTTTTGTGTGCCCTCCCGAACCAAATGTCATATCTAGAAAAATCTGTCCTTTTTGTGGTGACAAACAATGAACAACTTCATCCACCATTACTGGAATATGTAATTTAGCCATAGTTTCAAAATCTCTATCTTGAGATCTGTGTAACTCCTGGACTTGAGTTTGATCTGTTTGCTCCCGGGCTTCATATTCTCTATATTTTTCTGCTGTAGTATGTATTCTTTTTGGCCAGACACCTAAATTAGGTATGCCAGATTCCAACCAACATGAAAGGCATTCTTTATACATTCTACAAAAATATGGATACCGAAGCATTTTGTAGGTAAACAAATCTGAAGCACGAAGACTTCTCAGCTGGCCTCTAACTCGGGCCAGCGACTACCACTATGGTCCAGGAGAACCTGAATGCGCCACGCCTAAAGTAGCTTTCTTAAGCTTAGCAAGGTACAGAGTTTTCTTTAACCCCTTGTTCATAAAGAATATTATCTTTCATAAAGACGTTGTTAAGGTCTCAAACCTTATTAAGAATAATCCCAGCTCTAATCAGCTTTTTATTGTTCATAATCAGGAGCTTCTTACCAGAGGACCTCATTTGAAGCTTTGCTTTGAAGGATGGGACATCCACTTAACTTTGTTCTCTATTGTACCTTTCTCCAAAGAGTCATGTGGAGAGGGTCAAGGTGATCAGATTGTTTCAGTAAAGACACATAAAAGTATCTTAAATTATAATATAATGAATTCCATATGTCTCCTAACAGAAATCTAGAACAGATTAATTCAAGATTGATTAATTCAAAGGTGCAACATTTCTAAGGAATCTGTGTGATTCTCTTGGCTCTTCCCTCATGACTGCAAGGACTGCTCTGGCTTCAAATACCACATCTCATTTGCAACATCCAAATGTAGAAAGGGTTGATCCTCATGAAGTGCCTTTGTGTGTGTGTGTGTGTGTGTGTGTGTGTGTGTGTGTGTGTGTGTGTGTCTTATAAGAGTTAGAAAAACCTTACAGTAACACTCTAGTGGACTTTCAGTTATGTCTTACTATTCCGGGTTGCATCACAAGACCATGCCTAAACCAATCCCTGGCAAGGAGGACAGATTGACTATGAATGCTTTGAAATAACCAACATTCACTCCCTGGGGAATAGGAGTTATCCATTAAGCAAGTGGTCACCCATACCTGAACAAGATTGGGCTTCTGTTTGTAAGGGAAAAAGAAAATATAGTTTGGCCTACAAGCCATAATTTGCCAACTCCTATGCTAGCGCAACATTTTACAACTTCCCTGAGCCTTCTTATCACCACCTGGGAGTGTGAAAACTAGATTCTGGACCCTTTCTCAAACCTCCTGAATTTTGATAAGCATATTGGATGATGCTTAGACAAGGCAAGTTAAGAACCCTGTGCTCTGTGAGGCCTTCTCCCTCAGATTGTGTGATGGAAAAGATAGAGGAGCCCTCCACACTAAAGTAGATGCATCGGCTCTTTCTTATCCAGACGTGGGCTCACAAGAACATTAATGCTATGATTGTGTCTGAAAAAGCCAAGTGACATATAACTGAAACAACTTTTGGGATAATAGAACTCATAGGTGCCAGACACTATTCTAAGCACTGTTCATTCATTAGCCATTTTAAGCCTCATAACTTTGTGAGATAGGTACTGTTATTATTCCCATTTTACTGATGGACAAATTAAGGCCTCAAGAGGTTAAGTAACTTAACCAAGGTCACATAACAAGTAAGCAGAGGAACTAAGTTTAAACTCAAGCAGTTTGGTTCTGGAATTTGTGCTTATAGTCACTGTAGCCTGCTTCCACCTATACTATATACCACTTTCATTCAATCCGGATAATCAAACCAAAAGTTAGTTTTTGATTTGTTACTTGAGATGTTCAGGTACTGTTTCAACTTTTTGCTTCTAGCTCCTACTATAGAAGTGCTTCTAACTACAGGGAAAGCATTATTATTTTTTTATTTTGTTTTTGAGACAATCTTTTTCTATTGCCCAGTCTGGAGTGCAGTGGCGCAATCATGGCTCACTGCAGCCTTGACCTCCCGAGTCAAGCACGCCTCCTACTTCACCCTCTTGAGTAGCTAGGACTACAGATGTATGCCACCACACCAGGCTAATTTTTAAATTTTATTTTGTAAAGATGAGGTCTCACTATGTTGCCCAGGCTGGTCTCCAACTCCTGGGCTCAAGCGATCCTCCTATCTTGGCCTCTTAAAGTGTTGGGATTACAAGCATGAGCCACCATGCCCAGTCTACTTTTTAAAATCTGATTCCCATTCCCTCTCTGTTCTGTATTAGACCATATTCAGTTTAAAAAGAAAATGGAAAGCCTTTAGGAAGGCTGTGCCTTCATGGCCAATGTTGTTTGTGAAGGCATATGCCACAATGCTTATATCTTCCACTCAGGGATCAGTGATGGATCCTGAAGCTATTGCAAGAAGGCTTCCACCGTTGCACTGACACATCCTCCAAGTGAAGGCATTCCCAACCCTGCTGTTCTTGTTCAACAGAAATCTCCCATTTCTGGAGGGTGAGAAACCAACTGGCTCCAAGAGTGGCAGATGTTCAATCTCTTACTGGGGTGCCAAGTGGATTGAAAATTTTTCTGACTTTAGAGTTTTCTGTCACAGGATAACCAAGGACCTGAGGGAGCCGATAAAGGCAAGGGGTCACTTGTAATTACCATTACCCCTTTTCACGAGTTAGAGTTGTCTGGATGGCACTAGGTCCAGGAAATAGAACAGGGAGTTTTCTCTAGAGACAGAAGGAAACAATAGGATGAAAAGGGTAGAAACAATAATACGGAAGCTTGGTTACGTGCTTAACAAAGCTCAGGATCAATCCCAAACCTGAAGATGCCAATGTCAGAGCCTACAGTTGGGCTGGGTGGAAGCAAGAGATCAGGACTTGGACATGAGTTTTGTTCTATCCTTTTCTCTAGAAATGGAGGGAAAGGGTATCTGGCTAGTACACAAAGTCAGAAGCAGACGGCTGGCAGACATGCCTATAGAATTCCCAGGATAAAGAACTTTAGAGAGCTTTGGCAGCTTTTCAGACAATTGCCACAGGGCCTCAGAAAAGCCAAGTAGGTAGTGATGGCTGTAGTGATAGTGATCATTATTGTTGGGGTGATGATAGTGGGCCTTCATGTTGATGGTGATTGTGATGTTCATGATAGTAGTGATGGTGATACAGTTGACTCTTGAAAAACATGGGAGTTACGGACACCCCCCACCCAGTAGAAAATCCACATATAACTTTTGACTCCCCCAAAATTTAACTACTAATAGCCTACTGTTCACCAGAAGTCTTACTGATAGTGTAAAGTTGATTAACATATATTTTGTATATGTATTATATACTGTATTCTTAGAATAAGCCATAGAAAAAATGTTATGAAGAAAATTATAAGAGGAGAAAATATATTCACTATTTATTAACTGGAACTGGATCATCATTCAGTAAATGTCCATCAGTAAAATGGGAATAATAACAGTACCTACCTCACAAAGTTATGAGGCTCATCATCTTCACGTTGAGTAGGCTGAGGAGGAGGAGGAAGGGGGGGTTGGTCTTGCTGTTTCAGGGGTGGCAGAAGCATAAGAAATCTATACGTAAGTGAACCTGCACAATTCAAACCTGTGTCTTTCAAGAGTCAGCTGTATAGTGGTGATTGAGATGGTTATGGTGGTAGCGGAGGTGGTGATGTTCATGGTCAAGGCGATCATGCAGGTCATGATGATGGTGATGGTAATCATAGTATTGTTGCTATTGGCAGCGGTGGTGGTGAAAAGGGGAGGAAATCTAGACACACAGGAGTTGATTGAGAAAGGGGTTTAATAAATGTTTTATTGACCCAGTTCCAGCACAGAGACTTGTAGAAGGGAAGTACAAAAATGTTGACCTTGATCTCTGCCTAATAATTCAATCTAATAACTTTGGAGTCAAAAGCTTTTATTTATTGTTTGTTTGGGGAGAGATAGCGACCTATAGTGAATGGCATTTTTATTTAATATACTCTTAGCTAATGGGCTTCTTGATTTTGAAAGTGGAGTTTTCGCATTCACCCCATTCTTGATGGAAAGAGGCAGGGCTATCTTACTGTACAACTCCAGGGAGCATTCATTATTCAGTTGTCAGTGTGAATGGCACCCCCGGAGAAGTTTAGTGCCCAGACTGCAGCTGTACTCATGGCCTTGGCATAACAGAGTAGCCTGCAGTAGTCTGAGAAACTGGGGGCTGGGCTCTGAATTCAGGAAACATTTAGAAAGGCAGAAAGTTTTCTGAAAGGAAAAGAATAGTACCAACAACAGGGAAACAGGCCAGGCTCAACACTGGACAGAATTATTAAGACATTCCCAGCAATGGGCAGCAGTGCATGAACTTAGGAAGGGCATTGTTTTGATGCCTAGATTGTAAATTCTTTCCAGTTCTTAACTGTATTTACCCTGTGTTATCCACAAGTCTTAAGGAAAGTCTTACAATAGTTACTCTTGGAGTCATATAGATTAGGAATAGATAAGCCTGCAGGTGATAGAGAACTGAGCCAAGAGAGGGACATTAGGCAACCAGAAAAAATCTAACATAGCAGAAGAATTCAAGTACTGCTCTAGGCTGAATGTTTGTGTCTTCCCAAAATTCGTATGTTGAAATCAATCCCCAGTATGATGGTATTTGGAGGTGGGGCCTTGGGGAGGTGATTAGGTCATGATAGAGCACTCAGTGGGATTAGTGTCTTTATAAAAGAGACCCCAAAGAGCTCCCTCTTCCCTTCTGCCATGTGAAAACACAGCGAGATGATACCTGTCTTATGAACTAAGAAGTGGGCCCTCACCAAATCTGCCAGCACCTCAATCTTGGACTTTCCAGACTTCAAACTGTGAGAAATAAATTTCTGTTGTTTATAATTTCCCAGTTTATGGTAACTTGTTATAGCACTCTCAATGTACTCAGACAGGACTTTCTACAAAAAAATCAGGGGCATATAGTAGCTTTCCCATAAGTGGGATGGGAGGAGTTGAATTATTTTATTGAAATATTAAAGAAAAGGGTGACCCTGGAAAGCTGGAGAACTTGGAGATATATAGGTACAATAATTATATTTACTGATATTTATTGAACATTTACTATGTGCTAGGCTTTGTATTAAGTGCCTTATGTGCCTTATCTCAATTTACCATTAAGAAAATAAAACATACAATAAATTATTTTAATCAAGAGAATGTAGCCAATATGTGACAGAGCCCTATTTAAACCTAAATCTACTAAATTTCAAGTTCACACTACAAATTATTGATCACTAAATATTTTGACTATAAATTTCTATCACTGAAAACTTTGGGAGCATCCACTCCAATCTATGTATATTTATATATTCATAAATTAGATATGTATTTTTTCCATTAATAAATACATTATAAAACAAATACAAAAATAGAAATAAATTAAGAAATAGATTAATAAGTAATATAAAATAAAAGATAAGATTTTTTAAAAAGAAATGTATTTTTATATTTATTAAATATACACAAAATGCTTTTTTGTTCTCACTAAAAAATATTAATAGTAGCTGGAAAAAGAATATCCCAAAGACACATCTGAATGGAAGAAGCCCATCACTGGCTGAGCTTACTAAATCATAATACCACTTTTTCATTCTTAATCTCCTTAAGCAAAAATTTCTGTTGAAAATCAGCTAGGAAATATTCATAGTTCTAGATGTCAATCAGTTGTTCTTGCAAACTAATAGAAAAACGTATTTTTATATTTTTAACATATCTCTTCAAATTTTACTGAAAGTCTTCATTTAGATAGCATTTAAATGAAAATTCTGCTTCCAAGTGTTTCTAAGAATGCAGATGTGGACATTTTTATGTGATAATACTTTTTAAGAAACAATTACATAAAATGGAAACATATCAAAATTTTATTTTTCAGAATTTTTCATAGTAGGTTTCTTGTGAAATTACATATGTTTTTCTCACTATTTAAAAATGTCCTTTTACCTTGAAAAGACAGTTTAAATTTTGAGTCTTTTTTTATTTTTCCCCAAAATATCTTCTAGGTCACTAGAATCAGCTGCTTGTCGTCAGGGGAAAAAAAAAAGGTCAGCAACTTTGAGATATGTGTTCTCATAAAATAAAAATATCGTGAGATAACCTGGGTGTAATGTAAAGATTTTCATGGGTACAATTCTCCTTCCCACTCTCATCACCCCCCCCCCCCGCCCCCACAGTCTTATAACATTTTGCAAAAGTGGAACTATTTAGGACAAGGTTTGCCAAATGTTTTCTGTAATGGGTTTGATAGTAAATCTTTTAGGTGTTGTGGGACATATGGTCTCTGTCACAACTACTAAACTCTGCCATTGTCTGAAAGCAGCCATAGACAATATGCAAAAGAATGAGCATGCTGTGCTCCAGTAAAACTTCATTTGCAAAGATAGGCAGCAGGCCAGATTTGGCTCAGGGAACATAGTTGGCCGACCCCTAATTTAAATTATATAATCCTAAACCCACTTAACCAAGAACCAACAAAATGCAATATGTTACAACACCTTGAAAGGGAAAAAAGGGTGGATACTTCCCTCTGCTCCAGGAACCTCTCATTCTTTCTGGAGGGTACTATGCCTACTGTACATGATATGTGCTCATTCAACAGACAGCCCCAATGAGAGTGTTAAAATATGAGGAAACAGCATTTTTTCATTTTTTAAAGATAAAAATAAATATAAACATGTTATAATATTTGTCTTTCATCTCAATTGATCATTATATGCACCCCACTTTCAAGATACTGGCTTAAAGCTACTGCACATTTGCCTGCAAAAGCAGGTCATTGAGGTAAAAATGGTAAAGGTACACAGGACCTTTACTGTCTTTTATCCAACTTTCAGATGTGAGGCACCAATGTGATAGCTTGGTGCCTTCAAGGATGAAGTTCAAGTGTTTCAGAGATGAAACAATGGACGAAGAAACAGAACAGGGCTGTGGCTCTTGGTCAAACTTGTTAATCACCATCCAGACAAGGTCTATCTAGACAAGGTCTAGAAACCAGATGTGTCAAACAGTGAATAAATAATTTTTCCTTAGTGAATGACTGCAGAGACCACAGCGAGGTGCAGAAAATTTGGGACCCATTCTTAAGGAATAAGTTTAACTTTAGATGAACTAAGACAGACACATCAAAATATAGTCTATGTCTGCCAGAGTGTCACTGTGCATCACAGACCCACTCCCAAGTAAAGGAGGGAGGAAATCACTCTGACTCAGCAGAATGGTGTATTTCACCATCTCTAGGAGATGTGTTACCTGAGTATAAGATAAGGCACCAGATTTTTTTAATTGTGTTCTTTCACAGATAGCCACAGTGGCAATAATTTAGTTGATTTGATCAAGATAGACTGCCAAACTGGAAAATTCTGGTAAAACATGATCTACTTGATGTAAAGTGATGTGGTTTGTTTAGACTTATTGAACTGGAAAATGCCAAATTTCTTTTTCCTTGGCACCACATGAGTATTGTCTGCAATTACTAAGTGCAGAATCCCAGACCAAATCAAGACATCACCGAGCTGACAGTGCATTGTCCTTAAGCAGCCATGGCTTCCCCTGAAGACAAAGGGGAACTCTATCTTCTCTATTTCATAAGTTTGAGCTGGAGTCAGTTTCTATGTGTCAAGTATTTGTAAATCTGGACATTATTTGTCAATGAAGATTCCTCTGATCACATTAAGTTTTGTAGGCCCTTGTAGGTCCCCACCCCTAACCCCCTCTGGAAATTCCTGCTGAATCAACATATTCTGTTCTCTTTGGGACAGAGAAATGGACCACACAATTTGACACAAAATGAATAGAAATGTGAATAGAATGTGAAAGCAGGAAAGTAGTGTTACTTTTCAAGTAGCAAAGGACTCTGCCTAGAGAAAGCTTGAATTCTAGTCTCAGCTTTTCTGAGAGCTTTGACCAAATAACTTAACCCCTCTAGGTCTCAGTTTCCTTATCTTTAAAATAGTGGGGCAGATCTTTACTGTCCTTTCCAACTCAATTTCTCTTACAAGAAATTGTAAATCTGTAGCTTAAATCATTAGTAGTAAAGACTTTGACCTTAGAGACATAATAAGCTTCATAGGGAATGTCATCTGATTTCAACTGAGTGACTCCAAAGAGGGATGTCAAAAATAGAAGGTGGAAAATACAAGTCAAAATTCAAGATTATTCGTAATTGTCACGCAGATCTCCACAGGACTCTCAAGGCATATTTGCTGCCTGTATTAGAGCAGTCCCTCCTTGGGATGGAGCTCCTTTCAGAGTCTTGAGTTGTAGAATTCTTTCTGAATTATTGTTTCTCTGTCTCTCTCAGGTTTTTCTCTCTCCACCTCTGCTATCTAGTGCCCACATGGCATCACTTTCCCTCCCTCCCACAAGAATACTAGAGGATGTGTGTTGTTAAGAGCCACAAAAATAAAAGCCTTCCCTGAAACCTGATCATGAGGACAAGGAACCCTGATGTGGAGCTAGCCCAGCCTTCTCTAGTGACCCACTTTTTGATAACTTCCTCCCCTACGACCAGGTTCTGTCAGCACACATAAGAGGCCTGAGTTTGGAAAGGCCTGCACTGGGAAAGGCCTACACTTGGAAAGACCTCTTGCAATACTGACTCTGGCTTTCTCCCCTGGGGCTTGTGACGCAGTGGAAGACCAATGGCCAATAAGCTGGTGTTCAGAAAGACCTTTCATCTGCACCCTACTTCACAGAGTGGGTAGACTCTGCCACCAACTGATAGCATTCATTTCTTGAATGGAGTATTCAAAGATTCTGCCAACAAGATGATGAGCAGTTTCTGTCCTCTTTTCCCCTTCTTGGTCAGGTTGTGCTCTCTGACTCAGCTCCAAATGCAGCTGCTCTCTGGGGTGTTACCATAGCTTTTTGTAATGAGCCATTTCTCTTTCCTGCAGCCCCAATGGGACTCAAACTGTAGGCCACTCTGCCAATTCTCCAAGCTCTGCCCCTGTGCAAATTCTCACATCCAGCTTGTAGTAGATGGAAATTTTTACAAGTGACTTAATTTCTCACAATTCCACTAGATACATATTTAATGCATTTTTAAAATAGATAATGTCATTTCCATGGCTCTTTCAGATTATCGATGGGACATTTTCAAATAAAACTTGTGTGTGCTTAAGTGCTTTATTTAATAGGAGACAGATTTTATTTCCACAAGAAGCAGAGATTGTAAGTATTATTTGGTGTCCTTCCCTGGCATAGCACTGTAGGAAGCAACAGAGATTGTGCTCAAAATACAGACAGCTAAAAAACATTTGATTTCCATCGTGTTTCTTAAAATTTTACTGGTAGCTAAAGGCTCTTATCAATCCGTAATTTTAAGTGGTCCAGAACATAAATTAGCTGTGAGAACTGAGAAAAACATTTCTGCTGGAGCAAGTTCATTCTTAGAAACCAAGGCCTACCCTACCTTAGAAGAGGAAAAATTATATATGCGTTGGAAAGTTTTTCAGAAAAAAATCAACTTTTTCCAATTCTCTATCAGAATATTGGTCAAGTTAGTTATTCAAATCTTTCAATGGATCAGAAATGAGTGCACTATCTTCCAAAGAGGATATCTATCCCACAAGAAAATGCCTTTCCTGAAATGTTTCCTAAGCTCAATCTTACAAAGACCATCATACTCAAGCCCGGGCTGAGAAATGCCTATATATTGGGCCAGCCAAGAAGGTAACTACACAACTGATTTTAGGAGCTTTTCCCCTTTTAACATTTAAAATTTATTCCAGCTGAAAATGTGATGTGTAAATACACATGGAAAGAACTTTGGATAAAATATATCTGTAATTATTTATACTGCAATGCTTTATTTTGCAAAACATCTGTTTATTTAAATAGCTAATATATGCACCAGTAAAAACAATGTGAAAGTTACAGAAGGACATACAGAGGTTATAAGTATTGTTTGATGTCCTTCTAATTCTAATTCTCCCCTAACCCCTGCTGAGGCAAAAACTGTTATCAGTTTTTTTTAATATATCCTCCCAAAGATTATAGCATATTAAACAAAACACATAGTTCTTGCACCTTGCTCTTTTTCACTTAACAATTTATCTTGGACCCCAACCTCATTCTGTTTAATGGCTGAAAAGTGTTCTCTCATATGGATGTTCCATAATTTACTTAACCAGCCCCTGACTTGCATATGTACCATTCTTTCTATAGATTTAATTCCTAGAAGTGGGATTGTTGGATCAAAGGATAATGCATTTTAATTTTGGATAGATACCACAGTGTTGCCCACCTTAGAGACTGAACCAATTTACCAGCATTCCCTGAATACGTCTGTCCACCAAAAAAAAAAAAGAAAAAAAAAATAGTATGAGAGGACAATGGTCTCCTAATCAGTCTCTTTGTTCATTTGACTTTATATCCTTGTGGATTTGCTTTAAAAACAGAAAAGTAAATGTAACAGAATGTGATACAATTAGCATAATATTATCATTCAGGTCTCAAAATGCTACACCCTCAGCAAAGCTTCCCGGACCACCTCAACACTCACATCCTCACTCTCTAGGCCATTATCCTTTGTGCTGTCTTAATATTGCTTGCCACTATCAGCAATTACTTTGCTTCTTTGTTGATTTGCTTATTTTTCCCCCTACCAGCCACCCACCACTAGAAGTCTTGGGAAAGCAGGAAGCATTCATATTGTTTGCCCAGCATTTTGAACAGTACCCTGGCACTAATCAACACTCAATAAATGTATATTGAATGAAACGCTGGGTCCAAAGATAATGGTACCAAAAGATGTAAGTTTGCTCTGGAATGATTTTCCAGAGCCCTCCAAGAAAGACACAGGCTTCAGGCTCAGAAGAGTTTCTAATACATTCTGAGTATATTCTACAGGGTTTGGGGGAGGAAAAAGAGGTTCCCATCAATTTCAAGGAAAACAAATGGTGCTGGTAGAAACTATCCAGTCCTTTGATTAGGACCTGAAGAAAAATAAACTGCATTATTCTTGGTTCTGAGCAAACTATGAGTGAAAATGAAATATACATTAATATTTGTAAAGTGGTTTGAAGAACAACATTTTAAAATGAAAAAGCAGAGGTCTTTGACTTTTAGTCTATGAAGCACTGTGTTTTGAGGAAGTTCCGTCAGGCAGTATCTGCAGCAGAGTGATTCACAGAATACAGGTAGTAATAAATGAGTGTTTGTCGAAGGGGTGTTTCTAAATCCTGGAAAGGTTATTCGGCTGGGTCCTGGGTGTGGCTGACAGGTTTAGCTAGGCCTAATTAATTGGATTCAGCCCTGTGGGAAACTTTAGTAATGACTGTTGGTATAAACATTTCACACCACCCATTCACTGGCTTGGCACCAGGAAGACATGAAAATGTCATTTGAGTTTTTTAGACGTTATATATCCTGAAAGATAGAGGAGACTCCATGTGAATTTTCCCGCTGGAAAATATTTCTCAGTTTTGATTAATTAAATACCTGAAGCAGGTTCCTCTTAATTGCCGAAAAATGTGAATTTCTCAGAATAGTGAGAGAGTCTGCTGCTCAGTTTCTTATGTAAAAATTGCATCTAGGCTTTTAGGCATCAGTCCCGTGCCAAGGGGTGGCTTTGGGACTTTAGGCCCACTTTATCACCATTGGGCCCCCTTCCCCAATTCTTTATATGAACAATTGGTGTTTTCTTAAGCTTATATGAAGTGCTACGAAAGCATGGCTTCAAGGTCCAGCTGGCACCCACTTCCATCTGAAATGCTGCTCCTAATCATCCCTATAGAGAAGACACTCCTGGGCATGGTCATCCAGACTTGAAGACAGAGGAGAAAGCAGCCATCCCTGCACTGTCTAAAGACAGCCTCCTTTGTCAGGTTCTTCTGACAAATGAGGTTCTTCTTCTAGTCAGACGTACCACCTCCAGGAAATTTATTCTTAGTAGCCTTTCATAGAGTTTTCTGCTATAATCTCAGTGAGCCCAGCCATCTAAGTGAACTTCTGACTTTGTGGAAGAATGTGGTGGGACTGGGTGATCCTGTGTAGGACAAACCAGCAGCACTTGGTTTAGGAGAACTCCAAGTCTGCCAAGTGGTTTCTTCTCAGGCTCAGGCTCTACAAGTAGAAACTTCCAAATATTAATATTTAACACTTAGCAAAAGGGCCTGATTGTCACACAGGACCCTCACTCTAAGGGCTGTACCAAGTTCTGACCCCTCTAGACCTGGGCACTTGAACAGCTGCCCTCTCCAAAGCTTGGAAGAAAAGACAATGTAGAATTGGGAGTGACCAGAGGCATTTTGGGGTTTGTTTGAATCACCTGATTTCTAAGATATAAGGACCAAAGTTGATCCAAAGGGTTGATACTTTTTCACTTAGTATATTTTCCCTAGCTCTTTTGTAAAATACCCTTCACAGAAAAATGAGCTACACATTTGGATTTAAGAAATGTACAAGACTCTGAAAAGAGGTAATGCTAGAATTCTGCCATAAGTAAGATTCCCCAATATATTTCCATGGAAGTTGTCAAATATCTATCTGCCTGCCTTGGATTTTCTATCCAGAAAATAAGAATTTTCCTACAATTAAGTTTCCTGAAGAAAGAGGAGGAGAGAAACACATACTTCCTAGCATGTGAAATGGGGAGCACTGTTAGATTCCCACTCATATGAACCACCAAGATTGTTTCTGAAACAAAATACCCTCTAATTGAGTTGCCCCTTACAAATGCTCATTTTGCCAAGACTGGCTTAGTCTTCACAATGTCTGCCCTTCAAATGATATCTCATAGCAACCTGTGTGTCGACTCAGTTTTCCAGGGCTGAGGGCACAATGGTAAGGATAGGGCTTTCTCTGTAGTTTCTAAATCTTCTGCATAACTGTTCAGTCCAGGACCTGTGGACAGCCAGCGTGGCTATAGCTATAGCCTAACCCTGAGGCAAAACTGTATTTTAAAACCCAGTGTGGGGTATCAAGTCAGGAGATCTGAGATTTTGTCCTAGCTGAGGGAGTGTGAACAAATCATCTGACCTCTATATATTTGTACTTTGTCTGTGGCATAGAGGCCATTCTATGAATGGCTATAAATAGGCTTGTGACTGACTGTCTCTGAAGAAATCACAGATGATCAGATCTTCTGTGATTTCTTCAGAGACAGTCAGTCACAAGCCTTTTTAAATGTCCTTTCTCACTGAGGTGGGTAAGAGGAGTGCAGGGTTCTCAGGGGTACCAACAAGGCAAGGCCCAGCTGTTATCCCCAGTGGCTAACATAATGTAGTCAAGGTTCATTCATCACTCATCTAGTACTTATTGAGTCCCTACTGACCTGAGCCATGCATGGGTCTAGGCCCTGGGGATAGAGCAGCCAAGAAAACATCATCATTTCCTGCCTTCAAGAAGCTTCATTTGCATATGGCACGAAAGGCTGGCCCACAGTCGTTCTGATACAGAGCTAGAGCCTTTAGAGAGCTAAGGGGCTAGCCCTCAACCAGTGCTTCATTTTTCATATGTATATTAATGTTTTCTCCCTGTCAAGCTTGCAAGATACCCCAAGAGTATGTGTTGTCCAGAGGCAGTAGAGCCACCCAGGGTGGGAGCAGATGAATGTGAGCCTAGCCTCAAGAGTAGCACTTGACCCTGTTGCTGAGACACTTGTTGTGCACCCCTGGACCAGCAGCTCCCACTTTGGCCCATTTCTTTGTTGACAAAGTAGGGATGATGCTATGTGCTTGTCTCCTAGGGATGCCTGTGAATCATTCACCAGTCACTATTGGAAAAGTCCATTTCAGACGTAAGGGCAAGTCAATGAAATGAGCTTTGCAACTTGCCTCCGCACAGCTAACTTGCTGCTAGCCTTTCAGGAGACCCACGTGTAAACACAGGACCGTGTAATTAACCTGATGTCAACACCAGCTGTACAAAGGCACAAGGCTAAGGGGAGTCAGGTGGCCCAGGAGAGAGACAATCAGCAAACTTTGGGAGAGAAAGAGCCCTTTTCTCTGGCTTTTTATTCACATCCCTTTAAGGGAGGAATGACCTACCAAATGTGTGTAAACAGTTTCCGGGACTGGTGAGTTTCATTCACACAGAAAGAACAGAAAGTTACCCTGGAAGGCATTTATTTTCTGAGAGGCCATGGGCAGCCAGCGGCTGTGGGCACTTATCCAGGTTCTTCAGGTGGAAGCCTGAATTGCCCCCAGCAAATAATTTGAGATGGTGGTGTCTGTTGTGCTAAGTAGGGCATGGAAGATGCACTGTGTTTGGTCCTGGCGGCTGCTGACAGAGTTGGGGGAGAGGTGGAATTTAATGGTTAAATTTCTATCCCCCATTTTTCCCAATGTTTTTCTTCACATGGGAAAAACCTAGATATTTTGATGAGATGATTTATAGTGAATAAAGCAACTTGAAAATTGAAGGAGTGAAAGAAAGCCATGTTGTTATTATAGCAACAAAAATTGTAAAAGTGAATTCAACATGAGGCTAAAACATAAAGAGCTTTGAAGAATGTCAGGGCAAGACGTGGCATTGCTAAGGACTTCTTGTTTCCACAGTTTAAAGGAAAACTTTTTAAATCAACTTGTTATCCCTCCTCCCCTCAGAAATAATGTAAAGCTTATCTTAAGAAAGGTAGAGCATCCTAGCAAAGGAGGAAATGTTTTGGGTTTAAGCTAATATAAATTAGGAGCCAGACCTCTTGCTTATCTGTGACTAGTAGCCAACTGTCCACCAACCCTTCCTGCCTTCATTCCTTTTCTTCTTTTTCTTCTTGTCCTTACTCCCTTCTCTCCCCCTCTTCTAATCAGGATTAACAGGTTTTAGTAGTTGAAGTAAAAATGGACACCTTTTTGACCTCTCTGTCCTCTAAGATGTTCAAAGTGCATCACATGCCTAGAGTGACTGAAAAGTAACAAGACAGAGTTCCAGATCTGGCTCTGGGAGATCAGTCCCATCACTTTGTGGTCACAGGGCACTGTTTGGGGGATTATCAGCGTCCAGAGAGGGAGTTGGGCAGGCAGGCAAGTGACCCGGCAGGAATGTGAGTATGTGGCAAGCAGTGCTCTGAGTTAGTTTCACAGTAAGCTGCCCTCATTGCCTTCACTATGGGAAAGCCATCCCTTTAGAGCACCTGGAAGGCACAGGGACATGGCAGAGGGACCAGGTGCTGCACAGCCTTCTCAGGACAAGGTGTCTGGCTGCAAGGTTTCCTGGCAAATTCCACACAGTAAGAACAAGACAACAAAACCAATCACTGCTGCCATGGACTTGAGCCCTTGTGCCTTCTTTCTCTCAATCCCAGACTTCCTGAGACTTCAGTGGGTGCCTCAGAACCTGCTGCAACATGCCATTCCTAACAGCACACTCCCCTCCAGAGGAGCCATCTTTTGCCCTGGATTCATAGAATAAGAACTAGATGATGATGAATCCTGACTTCAATTCTGAACAGTCAGCAGAGATGAACTCTGAACTACATTGGTGGTTGTGTGTTTTTTCCCTTCCTTTTCAAATTTTGTTTGTATGGGCTCTGGTCATTCTTTGTGAAACTGATCCATTTTTTATTCAACAGTTAACTTATGAACAAACAAACATTGGGAGCTGTAAGTTCTCACTGGGGTTGTTAGTATATTAGAGTGATGATTTAAGAGCAACGAGCCTTAGAAACGGCCAAACACAAGGACCACATGTCAGCTTGTCAACATGCTAACACCTGCGAGGTCTTTTGGGAATGGAGAAGTCACAAATGAATGTGCTTCATACTCTCAAATGGCAAACTTTTGACCCAGCACACCAGGCCCAGGATTTCAGCCTCACAGTGCTTTCTTCACTCCGACAGGAGCTTCTTGGACACGTAGGTTTCTGCACACGATGTGCAATGGCTAGAAGGACATGTTGGATGTGACTCTGCTGTGTGGTTTTTCCAGTATCACACTGTTCCTGTGCTCAGACCAGCAAGGTTCCTTTGCTTTTCGTGAAAACACATCTGTTGGACTTAACCTTCCAATACCACTGATAGCATGTTACCACAGCTGTTAGGAACTATCTGGCCCAGGCAGTGGACTTGTTTGTAGATACACCACACAGACCTATGGGACTGCATTGGGATGAATTTTGTACAGTTAGAACTTTGGGAAAAAGTCATTACTGCTTATCCATTTGTCAGGGATAAGTGCTGACTTACACGGGGTTTTCCTAGTGTATTTTTTTCCTTCCCCAAAAAGGTGGTATTATCTTTTAGAAGGTTTAAAAAATACTAAGCATAGGTTACCATAGAAATTATTATATTTCTTACCACTTAAAAAAATTAAACAGAATTACAAGAAGGCAGAGCAATGTGTTGATAATTGTAGGAGCTAGGGAATAACTATGAGAAGGGCTATTATGCTATTTTCTATATTTTTATGTATGTTTGAAAGCATTTAAATAAAAATTTTTTAAAGACTCTGAACACCCAATTGAAGTGATATAAAGACAATTTTTTTCTTTATTCAACTCAACTACTATTAAGAATTATCAGGCCGGGCACAATAGCCTGTACCTCTAGTCCTAACTTTTCAGGAGGCTGAGGTAGGGAGACCATTTGAGGCCAGGAGTTTAAGACTGTATTTTGCTATGATTGTGCCTGTGAAGAGCCACTGCACTCCAACCTGGGCAATATAGAAAGACCACATCTCTTTAAAAAAGAAAATTAAAGGATTATTAACTGAACGTTTGGAGGATATTCTATGTGCCAGGCTTTTATATGCATGATTTCTAAGCCTCACAACAACCCTGCAAAAACTGGATAATTGATCCAATTTACAGGTGACATTCATGGGAGCTAAATGATTAGCTCAAGCCACTTGTCTAGTAACAGAGTCAAGAATTAAACTCAGATCTTTCCATAAGAAGAACAACTTTCCACAACTCCATTCTGCCTTTAGCTTTGTGTGAATGCAGAGTAGGTGATCACCTAGACCAGTGATTTCCAAGCTCAGCTGGTCACAAGAATGGTGCAGAACACAGACTTTTAGGTCCCGCTCTTAAAGAGCAAAGGTCAAGAGTAAGGCTGGGGAAAGTCGAGTTTTACCCTCAGGTGATTCTCATGGGGAGAATTTAGGAAATGACTATACTATACAGTTCTTCTTGATTGCTGAGTCTTGTATTCCTCCCTCCCCTACAGCCAAAAAAGAAACTTGCTCCCTTCAAAGTGTCTTTAGAAGTTGTCTTTTAAAATGTATTGCTTCTGGGCAGCATAGACCATTACAACACAGTCTACTTCATTTCCTTTGAATTAATTCATTACATAGCTGCTTTTCCCCTGTTGGGAGAGGATGTAACATCCTAAGAGCATGGAACATCTCCTGCAGGGGAATTATTAAAAGATGATAAAAGGTTGCAAAACAGAGGGTGTGGAAAATCCAAGGTCCTTTCCTTTGCAATTTCATCTAAGACCAGCCAGCACCACATGCTTATGGGTGTACATTTGATCACTGTACATTGTAAAGTCTGAAAATAAAAGAAATCTCATTGAAAGAGAGCATCATGCCCCCAATTTCTATGGAATATTTGAATCCAGTAATCAGTTCTGTTTTGCAAAGGCCAATTTTGATATCTGAATTTTCTTCCTCATTGCCTATTCTTGACTAGTGTAGTATTTGCTGAACGGATGCAAGGGTCAGTCCCAGGCCAGAAAGAAAGTGGATGTATTAGAATTGCCAAGGGTCAGAAAGAGAAGCATTTCACATAATAGGTCTGAGTTCCAGAAAACCATGAAATTCCTGAGCTCTTTGGAGACACTGGCATTCAAAGAGGGATGGATTATCGCAGCTTCTTTTCATGTCTCAGGGGACTGCACTGGGTTGTGAAAATCTGCAAGAACGAACACACGCACACACACACACACACACCACCTAAGAAAACCACGTAATCTCAGTGACTCCTGACAGTCTTTGACAAAGGTTTATCCCTCTCAATACCATATTCACCCCCAGTGAGAGCGATCCAGAGGGCTTTTTAACACACCACTGTGAGAGATGAAAACACACACAGGCTTTTTTTCCCATTTGTTTGCTTCTCAAGGCTAAGAAAACATTCAAGCTGATGGTTTCTTCTCTCAGCCAGCTGAATCAAGGGCAGAGGGATAGTGAATAAGGTCTGCACTGACCTCAAGTCCAAAGATGGCAGACTTCTTCAAAGAAAGACTTCCTTGAATGTGTCTGTGTAATCTTGAAACAGGGGATGAGGGTGGTTTAGGTCTGTGGGCACCCAGAGTAGGAATGGATCTTGTATCCTTCCAACCAGCATGCTAGGTTGGCTGGGGAAATGACTCAGACACATCACAGAGATGCTGGGGTTCACTATCAGCGATCACTCTGAGAAGAGACTGTATGGCCAACTGCTGTCAGAGTCTTCTCCTCTTGGGCCCTGTAGGCATCCAACGGGGACAGTGGCTGTTCCAATAGACAATCTCCTCAGAACCATTTATATCATTATATGACCTTAGAGGCCCAGGCCTCCATGCATATAAAATCTTCGGCCTGGAAAGCCCCCTGGAGCCACCTCACTGTTGTGCCTGCTCATAGGAAAAGACAGATTTCGTAAGTGAACTTTCCACTTATCCCTTTAAGCTCTAAAATGTCTCTGGTAAGCTATTTTGAAGGAAACATTTCTAATCTAGGTTATCTACTATCCTGTTTGATTAAATAGATGTTAAACATAACTCAACAGTTTCTTAATAACTTGATGTCACCCTTAAGCTTGAGTTTTCCCATCTGTAAAAATGGATAAAACAATAGCCCTGACTTTATAGAGTTATTGTCAGGATTGAGTGAGACATGACATATAAAGTGCTCAGTCCAGAGCTGTACCCACCATCAGTGTTAAATAAATAGCAGCAAGAATCAGGACACCAGAAGTCCTAGCCAGAACAATCAGAAAAGATAAATAAAGAAAAGGCATCCAGGTAGGAAAAGAAGTAAAACTCTGTTTGCTGACAATCTGCTTCTATACCTAGAAAACTCCAAAGACTCCACCAAAAGGCTGCTGGAATTGATGAATGACTTCAGTAAAGTTTAAGGATACAAAATCACTGTACAAAAATCAATAGCATTTCTATATATCAATAACATTCAAGCTGAGAGCCATATCAAGAATGTAATCTCATTTACAATAGCAACACATACAAAAAATAAAATACCTAGGAATATATCTAACCAAGAAGGTGAAAGATCTGTACAAGAACTGCAAAACACTGCTGAAAAAAAATTATAGATAACACAAACAAATGGAAAAACGTTACTGCTCATGGATTGGAAGAATCAATATTGTTGAAATGACCATACTGCCCAAAGCAATCTACAGATTCAATGTTATTCCTATCAAACTACCAATATCATTTTGCACGGAATTAGAAAAGAACTATTCTAAAATTCATATGGAACCAAAAAAAGTGAATAACCAAAGCAATTCTAAGCAAAAAGAACAAAGCCAGAGGCATCACATGACCTGACTTCAAACTATACTACAGTTATAGCTACAATAACTAAAACAGCATGGTGGTACTGGTACAAAAAGACACATAGACCAATGGAACAGAAAAGAGAACCCAGAAATAAAGCTGCACACTTAACCATCTGATCTTTGACAAAGTCAACAGAAATAAGCAAGGTGGAAAGGATGCCCTATTCAATACCTTTTCCATATACAAAAGTTAACTAAGTCATTGAATAAAGATTTCAATGCAAGACCTCAAACTATAAGAATCCTAGGAAAAAATCTAGGAAATACCCTTCTGCACCTTAGCCTTGGGAAAGAATTTATGGCTAAGTCCTCAAAAGCAACTGCAACAAAAGCAAAAATTGACAAGTGGGCCTGATTAAACTAAAGAGCTTCTGCATAGCAAAAGAAACTATCAATGGAGCAAACAGACAATCTAAAGAATGGAAGAAAATATTCACAAACTATCTATCTGACTAAGGTCTAATATTCAGAATCTATAACGAACTTAATTCAACAAGAAAAAAAACAACCCCATTAGAAAGTGGGCAAAAGACATGAAGAGACACTTCTCAAAAGAAGACGTACAACAAGCCAACAAACATATGAAAAAATGCTCCACATCACTAATCATCAGAGAAATACAAATCAAAACCACAATGAGATACCATCTCACACCAGTCAGAAGGGCTACTATTAAAAAGTCAAAAATAACAGATGCCGGCTGGGCTGCAGAGAAAAAGGAATGCTTATACACTGTTGGTGGGAATGTAAATTAGTTCAGCCACTGTTGAAAGCAGCTTGGAGATTTCTCAAAAAACTTAAAACAGAACAACCATTCAACCTAGTGGCTCTATTACTGGGTATATATCCAAAAGAAAATAAATCATTCTACCAAAAAGACACGTTCACTCATGTTAATTACAGCATTATTCACAATAGAAAAGACATTAAATCAACTTAGGTACCCATCAATAGTGGACTGGATAAAGAAATATGGTACATATACACCATGGAATACCGTGCAGCCATAAAAAGGAATGAAATCACATCCTTTGCAGCAACATGGATGCAGCTGAAGGCCATTATCCTAAACAACTTAATACAGGAACAGAAAACCAAATACCGCATGTTCTCACTTATAAGTGGGAGCTAAACATTGAGTACTCATGGATATAAAGATGGCAACAATAGACACTGGGGACTACTAGAGGGGGGAGGGAGGGCAGCAAGGGTTGCAAAATGAACTATTGGGTACCATGCTCCTATCTGGGTGACAGGATCATTTGTATCCCAAACCTCAGCATTACTCAATATACCCATATAACAAACCTGCAGGTACCCCCTGAATCTAAAATAAAAGCTGAAATTATGTATATGTAAATTTTATATGTATACATATATACATTATACACACACACACACACACACACACACACACACATATATATGTGAACCAGGATACCATCACAGTCATGGCAAACCAAACTATCAGATATCATCTCGGTTGGCAACACAGTGACTGTCTCTAACAGCTCCCGGCCACATTCTCATTCAGATTGTTGTTTCTTATTTGCTGCATACTGGGGAACCAGAAAAATCAAACACGTCCAGACCTATCTGTTTATATGATCAATTAGAATCAATGCAAGTCAAAGTGAATGCTTCGATATGTAGCTGTGTGTGTTATATTTGATCTGGAGAGACTTCCCCCAACCCAGGGATAGAGTCTGCATTTTGAAGGGTGGAATATATCATAAATTAG